>NC_000014.9:59611713-59914743 GCF_000001405.40 Homo sapiens
CTCCTCAATCAGGAAGATTTCGAGGAGGTTTCTCAGACAGAGAATAGGAGGATAGTTTGGAAGGGATACTCTTGGAGTTCTTGGTTAGGGATCTAATTTGGAAGGCCTTCTGTCCATCTCCTCTTTGTCTGTGTTTGTATATGTGGAAGGGATCTCAGAGACGGTTGCTGATGGAAATCCAGCAGGCCTAACTCAGGGAACCATCCTTATCTGGTCACATTCCATGAGCCCCAAAGAAGGCTCAACAGGCCTCTTGGGGTGACTATCTGCTTTTTGCCTTGCCCAGAGACCCCATTGTGAATTACCATTTGGAGGTCATCTGTCCCCACCTGGAGTGGATTAAAGACAACAGGGACCAAAGGGAAAAAGTTTCAGCTTTTCCAGGCTGATATTGGGTGCTGAATGAGGTGACTAATGTCTGTTTTGTTATGTGTATTTTGCTGGG
Source organism: Homo sapiens (assembly GCF_000001405.40). NCBI lineage: Eukaryota > Metazoa > Chordata > Mammalia > Primates > Hominidae > Homo > Homo sapiens. The sequence goes on from NC_000014.9 coordinate 59,612,159, forward strand.
ATGGAAAATGTTAATTCGGTTCCCCTTGCAGCCCATTGGGCAGCATCTTGAAAATTAAGAATCTTGCCTGTGGTTCCATAAAACAGTAAAGGGTGATTTTCTCTTGTAAAGTGGCTGGAACCCCACTGCTATAGCACAAGTGAGCAGGGTCATCAGAAGCCACTCCATTCTTCTGGAAGCTGCAGAGAAAAGGAACCCAGAAACCTGGTATGCCAGCAAAAAGGGTAAGAAATTCTTACCAGCCAAGTTTCTGGTCTCTCTCTCTCTCCCTTTCTCTGTCTGGGTAAAACAGTAAATTACTGGTCTCCTCCGCAAGGTTTGATTAATAGAAAAAAGGATTTGTGAAACTAGTCTTAGGCTGTAGCAAATGTTGTGTACTTTGTGCTAAAAATTTGTCTTTCTGTGTTCTGTAACGGAGAGGGGGTATTGCAGGATAGAATGTGGGTTTACAACCCCTATAAGCCTGCTTCTCAAGCCAGCTTGGCAGGCTCGTCAGTTACAAACTTTGCTACAGGTCCCTGAAACCAGTACTGTATAAAATTTCTGTCTTGTTTTGTGTCCTTAGGAGCTTAACCTTGTGACCATGCGGGGATACTTTCTTTTGGTTTCCACCATCCAGAGGACAGGAATTTTGGGGTTCATGTCATAATTAGTCCTAAAAATTTTTCTTGGGCAGTTAAAAGCTTTCCAAGCTTGAAATTTGCTTCTCTAGGCCCCTTCTGGGAAAAGCAATAGAAACTGCTTAATGCTGTATAGCTCAGTAGCTACGGCTTTATCTTTTGACAGTGGTGGCCGGGGTTCAATTGTTGGCTTCTGGAATAATTCCTTTCTGGTTTATTTGTGTAATTTTGCCATTTATTGAGGTTTCTTCCCCCCATACTTAGCTTCTAATTTCCTCTCTTGAATTTTCCTTTCTTTGAACTACCTTGCGGAAATTCTAAATCTTATAAAAAAAGAAACTGTTTACCATGCCTTTGAAGCACCTAGGAGGTTACCTTTGGTAAAGTTCAGAAAGTAAAAATATTGGCCACTTGGCATGGCTAACATCAGGTAATAAGAAATATGAAAGGATTTCTTCTTTAAAGAGCACTATGGTTAAAAGTCAGTTTAATTAAAAGTGGATAAACAAGCTATAGATTTATTTATTTATTATTTTTTGACATGGTGTCTCACTCTGTCGCCCAGTCTGGAGTGCAGTGGCGTGATCTCAGCTCATTGCAACCTCTGTCCCCTGGGTTCAAGTGATTCTCTTGCCTCAGCCTCCCAAGTAGCTAGGACTATAGGTGCGCGCAAACACGCCTGCATAATTTTTTGTATTTGTAGTAGAGATGGGTTTTCACCATGTTGGCCAGACTGATCTTGAACTCCTGATCCTGTGATCCACCTGCCTCGGCCTCCCAAAGTGCTGGGATTATAGGTGTGAGCCACCGCGCCCGGCCTATAGATATATTTAAAAGGCCTTTATGTTTTTCTCTTCTTGGAACTTGTTTTTCTGGAAAAAGGATTTTTCTTCTCAGTCGACTGTATTATTTTTCTCCATTTTTTTGCCTTGTCCTTCTTAAAGCACTCATGAGAGGCCCTAAGATAACTTCTGGTAGCCTGAGATTCATTGGGAAAAACAGAGGAGGCACCACATACCCTGTTTTGGAAAAAAAAAACCCTCTGATTTCCTTATAAAACCCCAGGAATTTAAAAGCAGATAAATCCCTCTCAAAATTAAAGGATCTGTTCTGTTTTGCATACTGTTATCTGATGGTTTTGAGTTTTGGGGGTATCAGAAATTACTTCGTATTATGATAATTAGGTAGGAAATATAAGGGATGGCTAATAGTAGTTATGGAGGGATACTTAATTCTTTGCACACTTGGATAGGAGAAGCATGCTCTTGGCTACTTGGAAGACAAGAAAACGCCCCCACTACCCCCACTGGGAGATGAGACTCCCAGGAGAGATGGGCTGATTACAAAATGGGCTGATTGGCTTTGGGTTACCTTGCAATAAAATGCAGGGTAGAAGCATTGCACTATCTTCTCCTGAGTATTTTCCTCCTTTTGGGGATCCGGGATCCGGTATAAAATGGTACCCTTAATTTTGGGGATCTGTCTTTGCCTTCAGCTGCTTATTTGGCCCTAGAAATTCATGTTTTCCTGGCCCTGCTCCTCCAAGGGCTCCACCCTGAAGCCAGTCATCCAATTAAGAAACTGGCAAATGAAAAATTTCACAAGTGCTAAATCTCCTGTCTGTGTATTTATATGTGTTGTATGTTTACATATAAAAAAACTCTAATTGGCTTAGAAACATAAGTGCTTAAATCAAATATTTTGTCAGAAAAATAGAAACTTTAATGCCGTTTTGTTCACGTGACTTTAGGAATCTTTGGGAAATAAAGACAGTTTTAAAGATTATTGGTAAAATAAAATGTCTTGAAAATGTAGACATTTGGTCTAAATTAAGGTCAAATATCAAATTTGCTAAATGCTTTAAGGTCAAGCTGTTTCTTTGACTTTTGAAAATTGTTCGATTTACCTACTTTGGAGCAGATTATAGATAAGGCCTGGGGACATACGGAAAGCCAAGTCCACTAGCTATGCTAAAATGAGTCAGATCTTCATTTCTGTCCGATGTCCTAGGCTCCACCCTTAGTAGATAATTAAAATCTCTTACTTATCAGGTTTTTCACTAAAAATAAAAGTTTCTAACAGTTAACATTGTAATATGTAGTTGAGACCACTGAAGAAGCAGTTTTACATACAAGGTATGTAGGGAATGTGTTTTTGGTAAAAGATTATAAGAAGGCATGGGAATATAGCTTTTGTTAAAGGGAATGTAATTTTGGCTAGTTCTGAGGGTTTTAAAAATTGTCTTAACCTAAAAGAGTAACAGAACAAAACTGAAGGCTTAAGCAAAGTGAAAGGGTTAATCTTGTAAAAATTCTGTGGGTATAAACCAGTTGGCTAATATTTAAAAGAAATTATTTAGCTTTTTTCCTTAGGTTAAAACATTAAAAGCGGCTGGGCATGGCGGCTCATGCCTGTAATCCCAGCACTTTGGGAGGCTGAGGGTGGTGGATCACCTGAGGTCAGGAGTTCGAGACCAGCCTGACCAACGTGGAGAAACCCTGTCTCTACTAAAAATGCAAAATTAGCTGGGTATGGTAGCGCATGCCTGTAATCCCAGCTACTCGGGAGGCTGACGCAGGAGAATCACTTGAACCTGGGAGGTGGAGGTTGCGATGAACAGAGATCATGCCATTGCACTCCAGCCTGGACAACAAGAGTGAAACTCCATCTAAAAAAAAACAAAACAACAACAACAACAAACATCAAAATCATACTGATGTGGGGCCTGAATCTGGGCCCATGTGTCTGAATAACAGGGCTTTCTTAGAAAATTGATCTGCTGTTTAATGGAAAATTGTAAAGGGTTCTAAAGGGTTTGTGAAAATCTTACCCTATGGTCAAACTAATTAAAACTGAATAAAGATACAAAATTTTATTTAAAAACACTAGCTTTAACATTAACAATGCACGAATGCAAACATGAAATATGTTTTTCTCTTTTAAAGATGATTTTTATGTAATGTTAAAAGATAATAAAAAGGTCTTATTTTCTTCTTTGGGTAAATGGCAGGGAAAAAAAGGAGGAAAGAAAGAAAAGAGATAGATTTATTTGGCCTCATGCTATCTTCATTGCATCTTGTTTGGAAAGCTAAGTCTCCTCTATTAGAGTAAAGGTTTTTCTTTTTTAAAATTTTTTTTGGAGTTATCATTTTGGCCAAATGAATTACGTATGGTAACCTAGGATTCTATTTTGTGATAACCAGTATTTTAAACCTTTGATATTTAACAAACTTTCCAACATCAAATTATAAATTATGTCTCTTTTTTACCTAATATTTTAGATATTAGGTCCTCTAAAGTCCAAAAATAACATTTGGCTTATTTGGTACAAAAATCATACAGAAAGCATTGTCAAATATGAAATGGTGTTTGGCTTTCTTTGGTCTATATTTGTGTAAATGCGTTATTGGTATATGCTCTGAAATTATGCAAAACTCCTGTTATTCTAATATAACTTAGTATATGTTATCAGTAATCATCATAATTATTATGTTAACAGACTGTGTGCCACAGAGGTAACAAATTTTCTTGTCAATTGTGTCTTTAACTGTGGCTGCCTTAAAATATTTTTATCATCCACAGACAATTGTCTCATTTTGGTGAAAATTGTTTCATACTCAGCTATCAAATTTAACAGGTGCTCTTAAATGCAGGATTCTAATTAATAATGCTGAAAATTGTGACATTAAAATAGAGGAAAATGTTTCAAATAGAAGACTAAGTGGCATTTGGTTTACTTTGGACTTTATTTATATAAATGTTATTAGTATGTGTTCCAAAATTATGGGAAACTTCTATAATGTTGATACAATTTAGTGTACATTATTAATAATTATAATTGTTATGTAAAATTGTTGTATGCCACAAAAGTAAACAAAACTGCTACATAATTGTAGCTTTAATAGTGGCTATAGCCTTTTGTCATCCACAGACATTTTGTCTTGCTTTGGTCCTTTTCAAAAGGCAGTTTATAATCAGATATACGACTCTTAAGTGCAGGTCTCAAATAACTTTAAAAATTGTGCTATTGAAAGAGAGGAAAAGAACAAACTTTTAGGGCTCTCATGGAAAGCTAATGTGTTAAACATTGCTAAACCTTTTCTTTCAGAGTCAGGAGGACTTATTTCTTTAGAGCTATTTGCAACTTCTAACAAGTGAGTAAAATATACTCCTATAAACAAAATTTGGAGCACATTTGTTCCTCTCTACCTAATTTCTCCAGAATTTGAAAACTATTTGTTAATATTCTCAATTTATGGAAGTATAGTTAATTGCATAAGTGTAATAACAATCTGTTTTCTTTTCTAACAGGACACATTTGGAGAAACTGGTTATTTTACCAAGGCTTTAAGTGAAATGGCACGCTTCCTTTAAAGAATCAAAGTTGACTTATAAAGCCAATTAAAGCCCGTTGGGGAATCTGTTCTCATACCTTGTTCACAAAGTCCCTGTACAAGGTTCCTGACCTGTGGTAAGTAAAGAATGTCACTTTATAACAGGGCCAGGAACCCCAAGTTATTTTGGGACCTCAAGAGAAGAGGAATTTTCCCACCTCATAGGTATTAAAGGGTATAAACCCATTGCTGGGCTCAGCTTTTAAAAAGTATTATCTAAAGTTCTTAACAGAACAGAGTTCTATCAAAGCCAATTGAAAAAGCTTACATGAAAAATAATTACTCTTGCTGTACTTTATGCAAATAATCAGGCCAAGTACAGTAAGAGTAAAATTCATTTTATAAACAAACCATTTCTTGATTTGTTTTTAATAAAAATGATGACTGGAGAGAGAAAAATTATGATTCAAAAGAAAAACTATACTACACTGTTGTTAGCTGTTCTTGAGGTTTTTTCTGCAGTTTAAACTAAATTCTAAATTCTTTGAGGGTTAGAAGCAAATCTTTGCTTTTAAAACTGGTAATTGTACTCCTAATCCTAGCCCTCATTATTTACCTTATAGTAGGCTGTTCACTTAAACACTGTAGTAAAACTATAAATAAGAGTACTGTTTCTGCCATGCAAACCTTGAAAGCCCAGCCAGGCCTGCATGAGTACGCTCAGACAGTTGCAAAGCAGTTCCACTCTTCTCACCTTGGGGTTCACTCCCATTCCCACTACATCCCCTGTCAGCAGGAAGAAGCCAGAGCAATCAATGGCCTTGTCCCATCTTCACAGCCTACTCCTTAAGATTAAGGTGTTATAAAACCCAAGGGAAGGACTGAAACGGCCTTTGCAAAATTATGACCGAGACAGCGAAAGAGATCTAACTTAACTAACTCCATCTTGCTTCTAACCTCTAAGCTGTCCTTGTTCATTCCTGGGTGTAGGCTGAACTAACTTTGGAAGAAACTTAGTTCATAATTTAAACAAAGACAGTAACAGCCCTTTCCCAAAGCAGACCTCCTTCTTGCCTGGGGACTAGATTGCCTTTGCAGGACTAACATTAGCCATAAGATGAGAAATTATGGTTTAGGAGTCATGCAGCTGGAGGCTACAAGATTCTGACCCTCCCTAAACTGCTCCTAAGATCAGTGCTTGAGATATTTTGCAGACCCTGCACTTGATGGATCAGCTGGCCCCACCTAGATCAATAAACTGGCTCATCTGATTTTGTGGCCCCTACCCAGGAACTGACTGAGCACAAGAAGACAGCTTTGACTTCCTATGATTTCATCCCTGACCAATCGGCACTCCTGGCTCACTGGCTTCCGCCCACCCACAAAGTTATCCTTAAAAACTCTGCTCCCTGAATGCTCAGTGAGACTCATTTGAATTACTCTTTCTCTATTGCAATTCCCCTGTCTTGATGAATCAGCTCTGTCTAGGCAGCAGGAAAGGTGAACCCCTTGGGCAGTTACACTTGTATCTTGGCTAGTTAATAGGAGAATCAGGATCAAACCCTAAATCTGATGCTTCTTCCAAAACAAAATAGTTGCCTCTCTCACATTACATGTTAAGTGTCCCCAAAAGTTATGTAAAATTAGTTTAGGGAAATCTGATTATATTTAAAACTGCTTTTAGAACTAGATATTTAAAGAGAAATTTCTTTGAGTGAAAAGTCATTTCAATAGTAAACAGTTATTGATCACCTATTATCTAAGTAAGCACAGGAATGAAGAAATCATAAAATTTGGATCCTGCTTTTAAGGAATTTTAGGTCTAGCTGGGAATATTGAACAATCTTTTGACAAATGTTGTCTCGATGCCAACACATCTTGTACTGTTGTAGGTGGCAAAAGTTGAGTTTAAGGAAGAGATAGTACTAGAATTGACAAAGAAAGAGGATGTGGGATGGTATGTGAGTGTGGCGGACAATTTGTTAAGGAGATGGGGTGGATAAAAGGAAATATTACAAAGGATTAGTTGACAAGAATGGTGACTAACTGTGGGAGAAACGAGGAAGAGCTAATTAAGGGTGAAAACAGCATTTCAAAGCTGGGTGACTGAGTAATTAGTATCACTGCCAAAAACAGGAAATCTGAGGGTGAACTGGTTTGGGGAAAAGCTGACACTTGTCTTTAAATCTCCAGATTCTGACATGATGACATCTAAGCAGGGCATTCTGACACAGCCTGGGGCAGAGATGAGATCAGAGATGAAATGAGGCTGACAATTGCACACATTACTAAGTGTTTTAAAAGCTTAGAAGTTAAATGACTTGCTCTTTAGGCTCTGTCACAGTAGCCCTCAGTTAACATGGTCCTTAATATCATATATCCAATGATATTCAGATGAATATGTACAGTAGGCCATTGGAAGTGCAGGGCTAAAATTTAGTACAGGGGGCTGAACATTTACTTTTGGGTGTATTCTATGTGGAAACGATGACTGCAGCCATGAGAGTGGAGGAAATCTCCAATGGAGGGTAGGCTAAGGGATGCAGTCTAGGATGAAACCAACCTTTGGGATTGAAAGGAATAAGTGGGTCCAGAGAAAAGAGAGGTCCACCTGCTAGAAAGGGCACCACAATAGTGCAGGTTATGGCAGCCAAGGAGAAGGACATTTCTCAGAAGGAAGGGGTAAGCTACAGTGTGGAATGCTGTAGACATAACAAGGAAATGGAAATGTAGAAAGGACCACTGGATTTGGAGACTGAAAGGAAGGTCATTCATAACTTTGCAGGGGGCACTGCTATGAGTAGTGGGGACGGAAGCCTTATCGTAAGGGGCTGGGTGGGGGGAAGTTCAAAGTAATAAAGAAGATGGTAGTTTGGGGAGTAGTAGCAACAAGTAAACCTTTAGGTTGAGCAAAACCTAGGAATGTTAGAGGGAAGGGAGGGGTGAAGATTTTGGAAAACAGACTTGATGAAGCAAAGTCTCCACTAAGGAAGGAAAAAATGGGATTAATCACAGTTGTTTTCAAAGAAGGAGGGAGAAAAGAGATAGGTAAAGATGGAAGGACATTTTGGGAAGTTACAGTTGTGGCCACAGATACGTGTTGAGGTGGAACGGAAATAACCTAAAGTGGTAAAATAACATAATGAGGGAAATTAACTTGAATTTTCCCTGGAAAATGAGTCAAGAGGTTCCTGAGACTAAGTAGATTAAGGGCGGGGCTTGAAGAGGGTAGGAAAAGTCAAGGCCTGCATTGTCCAATACAGTAGCAATGAGTCACATAAGGCTACTGGGTGTGTGAAACGGGGCTAGTCCCAAATGAGATGTCCTGTAGTGTCAACTACATACTGGATCTTAGACTTAGTACAAAGAAGGATGTAAAATATCTCATTAATTCTTTTTGTATTGATATTTTGAAAGGCTAATACTTTTGATCTATTAATACAATATATAATCAAAACGAATTTTACCTGTTTCTTCTTACTTTTTAATGTGGCTATTAGAAAATTTATATTTGTGGCTTATATTATATTTCTATTAAACAGTGCTGGTCTAGAAACATACAATAAGGCTTCAAAAAGGAATGAATAAATGGACTGCCAAAAAGTGAAGAGGGCTTGGTTAAAGTCAAGGGTTTCTTGGGGATCCATTCAATAGAATTAGATGCTGAATGTTCTGATCAATGGGTGGTGGGGCTGGTCCAGGGCTGTGAAGAGGCACAAGGAGCATGATCAGAAGACTCTAAGGTCCAAGAGGACAGAATTGAAATGAACAACCCTGGGGTTCAGGCTGGGAATGACGGACAGTCTAGATGGCTGGTGACTGATAGGCTGGGAGAGTGGCAATGGCCATGTGTGGTCAGAGTGCCAGGAAATGGCCTGAAGTTCTGATGATTCAGTGGGAAGGGTAGGAGGTGATGGGATCAGAGAAGAGAATTTCTGCATTCCAAATCTGCTGTGTAAATGCCAATTTTTCACATTTTAATTTTGCTTAGAGTGGTATCAACTTGCGTAGGAAGCTTTATACTACCCAATCCAGAAAAGTAGGTATTTGAATAAAGTTTCCTTAGAACCCAAGTAAGAAAAATATAAGTAACCCTGTTACTGGAATTAATTACCCCCAGTGGTCTTCTGGTATAACAAAATATGATCAGCTTTTCTCTTTTAATATCCTCCTAATGCAGAAAAGCCAGGCGAGAGTTTCAACATCTGAGTATACATTAACTAAGAATACTTACTAGGATAGGCATATTACTATATTGCTTTGCCAGTTGTAAAAATTAAAGCTACTTTGCTAAAAACTGAGGAGAAACACATTGGCTTTGAAATGAGAGATCAGTGTGTCCTATCAATTTGATAAAGGAACTGGGCTTGGTGATCACCATAGTCCTCAAACCACAGCTATGAGCACACACACTGCAGCCTGCCTAGGACTGTCTTAGAATAAATTTGGCCAAAAGTGAAGTGGCAGATTTGAAGAATTCTAACATCAAACCAGTGCTCCCCTTATTTCTAGAATCCAATCAATAACAAAAGAAGAATAAGAGAAGTGATCCAAGGTTTGAATTAATAGCTAAGTGGAAATTAAATCCTATGTCAAATTTCTAGAAAGAAAGTCCTTTGCTGTAGTCCAAATTTTTGTTTTGGTAAAAATACTTTAAATGCATTCAAATGGCCCAACAGTGGCCACAGTATTCAGAAAGTTTATTAAAAATGTATGAACTGAAAAGACAAGTAGTGCAGCTATTTATATTTTATTTATAAGGTAAAATGTGACATAAGCGGATACTATAAAATAGCAATAAATTGTGCATAATTATCTGCATTATGGTACCATATTCTTAACTGTGTAATTTTATTCCATCTTGGCCCAGAAAATACTTCAGGCAGCACTACACCACTTGCTATGTGACAAATTAATGCTACTTTTTAAAAGGCCAAGTGAGGCCAGGCCCAGTGGCTCACACCTGTAACCCCAGCACTCTGGGAGGCTGAGGCGGGCGGATCATCTGAGGTCAAGAGTTTGAGACCAGCCTGGCCAACATGGTGAAACCCTGTGTCTACTAAAAATACAAAAAGAAAATCAGCTGGGCATAGTGGCACACGCCTGTGATCCCAGCTACTTGGGAGGCTGAGGCAGGAGAATCACTTGAACCCAGGAGGTAGAGGTTGCAGTGAGCCAAGATCGAGCCGCTGCACTCCAGCCTGGGCAACGGAGCAACACTCCATCTCTAAATAAATAAATAAGTAAATGCCAAGTGAGAAAATGTGACAAGTTCCTGTTCATTGATAATATCAGCATTTCAACAAAAGGACTGTTGAAAAATGATATGCTGTTGAAATTTATTTACTTTTTAGCAAGCTTCCAATGATTTAACTACAATAATTGACTACTTTGTGGACAGAGTAAGAAGGCTAGACAAACCTCAGTTGTTTCCAACCCAGTGTCCAAAGAGGTGATTAAGAGCCAGTTTTTTTCTGACTGATTTTCATGAAGGAAACAAAATATCACCACAAAATGTTAACAAGAAAAAATAGAAGTAATTTTTCCTACTTTAATCTTCCCTCGTTTGACATTAAACTGGAGAAAGAAAACAGAAGTAGATGTAAACATAGAGACCTTCAAAGATGACATCTTCTAGTCATGAGTTTCATTTACCAAGATAGTATCCCACATCAGTTGAAGGTTCACATGGTAATCTAGGAGCCCTGAGCCCAGAGGGAAAACTGCTGGCACGGACTTCTGCTGATAAGACACCTTTGATTTCATTTTCCAGCCCTTCCCTCACACCTCCTAACTACAACCTATATGACTGTCAAGAGAAAAATGCCAACACTATTTCTAGACTCTTAAATAATTCTGTGGATGTTTTGAAAGGAAAGACACATTAAGCCTGGTGCTTTCTATAGATAGTAAAAGAGCATAGCATTTAATCCACCACTTTAAATGAGCTTTGGTGGAACAAAGGAAAATGAAGGATTTCAGTGTCAAAGCCACAGCCAACAGCAATTTCTGCTGCTTTTCTTCCACGAGAGACAAAAGGAATTATACTATTCCCGAATGACTCCTCCTCGGGCTGGACTGAAGGCAAAAACTACTTTATCCTTATGGAGGGCTTAACATTTTCCTTGGTTAGAAATGAATGTGATTCCTGTTTGCTAGGTCTAACCACTAGGACTAGAACATTCCCATTCTTTCCAAGCTGTCAAGTTAACATAATGATGTGTAAGCCCTTGGTCACCATGGTGGGGTGGGCCTGCCCAGGAAGTGAAACAACAGGTCCTGTGAATTTCAGACAGTTGGGCAAGCTCCTCCTCCTCCTAGACCTCTTGTAAAGCCAAGGCTCACTTGGAGGGATCTTCACAGGATAACCGGGATCAAAGGAAGAGATGGTCACAGGGAGGAAAAGACGGGCTTTGGAAATGTGATAGTTGAGGCATGAAGAAATAATTTTGAGATACTCAAGAATGGTTGTCTTCATGTACTATTTCTTTAAGCTTTTTGACCTCATCAAAATACAAACTGTTCATTTGGTCTATTGGTCATCAACCATAATTAGCCACAAAATCTTAAGATTGTGTCATCCCTTCTTAAAACCCATCATTGTAGTGGAATAGAAAAGAACCAGGAGGTAGACAGCTGTTGGTTCCTTTTTAAAAAAAATGAATACGTTTAAAATTTGGGCCAAGATGATAACAGCAAAAATATTTCTTGAACTAAAAAGACAAAAGGATTGATTTCTCATTGTACCTCTGTTCCATTCAATAAAATATTATGTTCTTCTTGATGCCAATTATCACCAAATTTGAAATTTGCCAATCTGCAGTTTGGTGAAATATTTCTGAAGAAAGGGGATAAAATATGACCACATTTAAAGCATTTTCTTTGTAAAATGTGTAGAACTGCAATACTTTCTAAAAATTAAAACTTACAGTTGTGCTTTTCATTTGTTCAACATTAACACCAGCTTTGTCAAAGAGCTCAAGAGTAATGCTGAGATTATGTTTTTTCCTTTGGCAACATATAAAATAAGGAAGAATTTAGAATTTTATTTCATGAAACAATAAGATAACTTTGCTCAGCTTGAACTTAAAGATATAGCTCAAACATACTTTGGAAAAATAGAACACTATACTTTTAAGTTGTAAAACTCCTAACAGTTTTCTTATTTGAAATATATGCTGTAAGTTTGGAATATAATTTTAATTATCAAGATTTAAAGTAGTTAGCATTATTAACTGTCACCTAGGCAGAAGATGGCTTTTAAAGAATCATTAATGTCAAATTCCTAGCTTTCAAATTATGAGCTTAATTATAAGGCAGCCATATTTCTTTGAATGGCTGTATTTTCTTTTCTTTTTTTTTTTTTTGAGACGGCGTCTTGCTCTGTTGCCCAGGCTGGAGTGCAATGGCGTGATCTCAGCTCACTGCAACCTCTGCCCCCTGGGTTCAAGCAATTCTCCTGCCTCAGCCTCCCGAGTAGTTAGGACTACAGGCGTGTGCCACCACGCCTGACTAGTTTTTGTATTTTTAGTAGAGATGAAGTTTCACTGTGTTGCCCAGGCTGGTCTCGAACTCCTGACCTCAGGTGGTCCACCTACCTCAGCCTCCCAAAGTGCTGGGATTACAGGCGTGAGCCAACTGTGCCTGGCCTGTACTTTCATAAGAACTAGAAAGGTGACAGTATATCAACAATACATGGGTGCAAACATGCACACAACTTAGGAGGATGAGAAATTTGCCTGTGACAAACATTTAATTATTTTCAAAAAGAAAAGTGTTATTCTGAAAGCTAACCACTGAAGGCCCAACTCATAATAGATCTGGTTTTCTTGGATTCAATGGATTTTATAATTTAATTCTATTATAAGGTAACTTAAAATATACCAATTACTTCACATTCTGTTCCAGAACATATTAACTGGTCTAAAGATGAGAAATAACTGTGTACAGATTATCATTTCAAATATAAGGGAGGGAGGGAAGGAGGGAAAGAGAGACTTTTTAAAAATGATGAAGAAGGAAGGGCCTGGTAACTATAATGGACGATGTCATCCACAATCCCTATTGATATATAGTAATCATAATATTTTTGTCATAGAATATTAGGATTATCGTTTTTTAATGAAACAAGTATTCACAGAAATCTGAGAACAATAATAGATTTGAAGATGTAAATTTAGATCAGTATTTCGTCAACCTTTCTAACCCACAATGAATCTTTAAAAAAAATGTTGGACACTGCAGAGTGTCCCTCTGTAGGGTCTAAAACTGCAACATGTAACTAAAAATGATTCAAACCTTTTGATGTTTATCTAGTCTTTTTCTCAATTTCCAGGAAAGAAAAGCTCATATAGTAAAGAAACATGGATCTGACGTTCCACAATTCTTTCAGTTTCATGTCCACTTCTTCCGTTAAATTATTTTAAATACTTTTTGTAACATATTCAATCTTATTTTATCAACACTGTTTTTGTTGCCTACCTAGCCCTTTAGTTTCATTTTTATGCAATATCTAGATAATATTCAGCAAATCTTAACAACGATTAACTCTGGGTGGTAGGATTTTGGGTAATTAGTGGCTTTTATTTGAACTTCTCTTTGTACAAATGAAAATGTTCATAATGTGCCTTCCTCATTTTTAGAAAAAAATAAAGCCATTATTCCCCTCCCAAAGTTCGAAATATTTCCTTAAAAAGTTTTTCTTGAAAATGTTAATACATTTTGAAAAAGAACTTTATTTTTCAATGGAGTGATTGATTACCTACATTTGGTATATTATCTGCATAATACGAGTTTTCTTTCACTAAGGGGGAAAAAAAATCCCCTTCTCCCCAGCTAAGGCAGTTTTCCCATTGGATCCCATTAGAATCTTTAGAGCCAGGGAGTCTGCAATTGTTAATATTTACATTGTAATATTTGTATAATACTTTAATAATAATGGGTCTAAATAAAATGCTGATTTTCATAAAAGGTGATATTAGTCTGCCTTTATGTATATGTGTAAAATGTCTTTCCCAAATACTATTCCCAAAGGCATGCTTTTTTTCAATTACTGTGGCTAAAACAGATTATTTCCTCGGTGTATTCTGGAATGCTTAGCTCTTTAATGTTTCAGACTAGCTCCTTTCAGAACAGACTATCCTGAAGTGTTTCCACGAACACTGTAGACCAGCATAAAAGTTTCAAAATATTTTATAAAAAAAGATTGCCTTTAGGTTATGCTCTCTGGAAAGTGTTTCATCTTCCATCAATAACTTACATTCTGGCAATCTGTAACTACAAAATGCTGCCACGCAGAGTAAAGTGGGAGGTGACCTCTAGCCCCAGGCACACATGTATCAATCAACCATACTACTAAGCATCCTGCCAGGTGAATTTGTTGAGTACAGTGAGATCTGGGGAGAAAAAATGATCTTTAGAGAACAAACAGAATCATGTGGATGCATGGTTCTAATCAAACTTTGTTCCCCTAGTACAACACCATTCGGATTTGGGTAGTACAGTCGAAGTGTTAAAAGAATAGGCTTCATGATCATAATGTTCTGTGTTCAGAACCCAGTTACGTCCTGGGGCAAACTGCTGCCCCTCTCATTCTTAAATCCCTTAGTTACCTCCTTTATAACATGAGAGTAATAAAAAAAGTCTCACGGAGGCTTAATTAAAGCAGGTATGTAACAAGAACTTAGGACAGCACCTGGCACGTAGCTAATATTTACGGAGAATTTAGAATGATGAATTGATGATGGTGGTGATGACAGTGACAACCATGGTATAAATTGGTCAAGATCATGGCCTTGCTGCTAAATTTTGTTGTATTTGTAAAGGTTAGAATGTCTGTGAAAATATCTCAGATGAGGTAGATGAGAGTTCACTTTCTCTAACTTAGTGTTAGTAAGATAGGCAGTGAGTGCTGAGATGGGAGGAGTTATGGATTTGAAGCCAAGAGAATCACCTTTTACTACACAATCTGCTACCAAAAAACCTTGGGCAAGTCAGTTAACTTCTGAGCCTCATAATGTCCAAGAGTAAACTGAAAAGCTCAAATGAGAAGACGTCTGGCAAAATGAAGACTTGTAAATGTGAAGGGGTTATTAAGCCTACACAATCACCATTACATAGATAATTTAAACCTTTAGAAAAATCATTGAGGAAAAAGCCATCAACCTCAGCGGCAGAAGGTGGAGCAGTGGGAAGTGAGGGTCTCTGGAGACAGCCCAGGCTTGCAGCCAGCCTCTGGCATTACTATCTGTGTGCCCTTACCAAAGCCTCAGTCATCCCCTCCAAAATGAGGACAATAATAAAACTTACACCACACAGGTTTTGTGGGGACTAAATGTAGTAATTCAAACAAACCACTCAGTAAAGAGTCCTGTAAATTGTAGGATGGTACTGATCTGTAAGATTGTTATCTATACAGGTGTTTTGCTAGGTTGTCATTTAATTCTCATTTTGTTTTCACTGAGTAGAATGTGCTTTGATTTATTAACCAATATTTGGTGGTAGTATAACTTTTTAAAATTAGAAGCAGAATTGGTGTGATGTAGTATATATAAGGAGGACTTTAGCCTCCCTTTCTTTAAACATTCTTGTCTGTAGCTGAAATTATATATGTTGATAAGGTTCCTTCTGCATGTGCACTACAGTGTTTATGGCACACTATAATTAGTTTCAGTGGAGTCTTCATGAAATATTCAATCTGCTGCAATTTCTCCATGTAGTATTTAATAACATGAAGAAAACCTAAAGCTCACATTATTTCCTTTCCAAGCAAAACTTGTCCCTCCTAATCCTTCTGGAGGACATCATCAACAGTGTTGCACTGACCTTTTTCCACTGCATTCACAGCTGCTTCTAGATCACACCCATTTTTTTTTTTTAAATTGGTATCCTGGACCTCTGCTGGTCTATGGGTTTGGCTCACTAAGAATTATTACACACCATGCCGGGCATGGTGACTCAAGCCTGTAATCCCAACACTTTGGGAGGCTGAGGCAGGAGGATTGCTTGAGGCCAGGAGTTTGATACCAGCCTGGGCAACATAGTGAGACAACGTCTCTACAAAATAATAATAATATTCCAGTGACTTCAACCCTGGTTACATATTAAACTCACCTAGGGAGCTTTTCAAAAAATACTGATGCTCAGCTCAATTGAATCAGAATCTCAAAAGGTGGGGCCCAGGCATCCTTCGTGGTTTTTAAAGCTTCCCAGGTGATTCTAATGGGCAGACAGGGTTAAGCACAACTGTTTTTGATAATAAGGGAACTAAAGGGAAGAGGATACACTAAAAATGCTAAACAACAACAACAACAAAACCTCAATGTAGATTCTGTTAAGGTTAAAAGTTCTCACAGTGAGGAGAAAAAAAAGGAATAATTCACTCCTTACAATTTCTCTTTTGTGCTCATAAGTCCTCCCACCCAGTTACTTATTAGTCAATTTTCAAGATAATGGATTTGTTCCATCTAACAAAAGGAAATCAATGGTACTAAAGATGACCAAAGGTCGCTGAGTATAAAAGATTCTCAATGATCTTCAATTAATCTTCACAAGTAGCTCTGCATCAGAAATGAAAAATTATTGTCTTCAATGGCGAAACTATGACATTTTGTGTTAATTTCTAATGATAAAAGTCCATGTGTTTTTTTAAAACCTCGGAGACATAAACTGAGGCAACCGAGTCAAACCGCATAAGATTGTGATGAAATAGATTAAGATATTTAATTCATAAGATTTTGTGAATATCTTATACAAATAGAAAAGAAAACCTGCCATCTTTGGATATCTACTTTTGTTAAAAATACTAGAAACTCATAATCATGGTCTAAAATCCAGTGTTTATGTCCAACTAAATTTGATCTTATACCAAGCCATAGTTGTTTGTCAGGTGTGTATATCAAATAAACTGGATGGATCTAAACACAGAACAAGAATAAAATGTTACAAAATATTTTCACAGCTGCCTTCTATATTGAACATATGTTCTTCCACGTAATTGTCATCATTCTTCAAAACATTGTGCCTCAACTGGCATACATTTCTTATTTACTGGCTTTTAAATTTATCAGCTCCATCGATTTACTTTTGACAACGGTATTTCCAACACTCACATAATTTGAAGTAGACGACTGTATTTTATGTCATTGCCACCCAATCCAACAAACAAGAGGCAAGGTAAGCAGGCTTTTAATTCTGAGATTTATGTTTACTTTTTCTTAAAATATATACCGAAGCAAAACCCTACAGAGGCATTAAAGATAAAAGGACATCCTATCCTTCCTGTGATATAGAATTACAAGGGGAAGATGCCAGGTTTTTACAAAATCAGCTGCTGCTCCAGAGTATTCTTGGTCTCCTGAGGGATGCTGCAAAACCCTGCAGGTTAAATTAAACGCGCCTTCTTCAGAACCATCTTTGTTAAATATGAAAAGACACTACCTCCGACAAACACCCAAGTTACTACACACAATTCATTCTTGCAAATTATCTTTCTCCTCATACTCTGTAACTGCAAGGTGAATTTTAATGTAACAAAGGAGAGATGGATGTGTGAAGTGTGAGGCTGAATAAAAATGGCTGAAAAGCAATCCAAGCGAGGCTGGAGGGTAGCCACACCCAGTGCTAATATGGACTATTCCAAAATAAATCTGTTATACCAAGGGCCACGGGCACTGTTTCGTTCTTTCCCTCCATTTATTTCACAGATACCTATTATTAATAAATAGTAGTCACAGGTTACTCCAATGACAGAAAAAAACCCCAAATATTTCAAAGTGAACCATCCTAATATGTGGCTACGCCATCATATTTTCAGGATTTCGAGAGCTAGTCTGCATCTCCACTCTCCTTTGTGTGACCACAAATAACAACCCTGAAATGGGTGTGTCCCTCTTAAAAGGATGCACTCCAGCCCTCTCAGTTAATGGTTCTGCCAGGAGATTTCAACCTTTGGGCAGAAATAAATGCACTGGGATGCATGGAACAATAAGAAAGCACTTTAACTCCGGGGATGAGAAAACATTAAACAAGTACTGAATGATGCACAGATCCCAAAAGAACTCCCGGAGGAGGCGATTGATGCATTATTTAAAATACCAGCATTACAACAAGAAAACAAAGGGGTGGGGGTGGGGTTAAAAAAAAAAAGAAAAAAACAACAACCAAGCACCATCCATTTTGATTCTTGAAATAAGAGGTTTACTACCCCCCAACACAAAGCTCTGGGGTATAAAGCATGCACAGGTCCCACAGGTGAAATGATGCACAATGGACGAGTCCAGGTCCCGGGTTTCCCGTGCGCCTCAGGCATGCACTACTGAAATAAAGAGAATACCCTGACTTTTCCAGTTGCTCCACACACAGTCCATCTTGGTGGAATCGGCAGTGGCCTGCATCGTGCGGGCTTTGGGGGCTCGCCGTGGCTCTCCTCGGGGGCGCCGAGCGTGCACTCAAGCGTTGGTGCCCGGCTGCTGCGGCTGGGCTCGCAGTGGCCGCGCGGCTGCGGAGAGACTGAGGCTGCACCAGGCGGCGCGCGGTGAGGGGCGGGAGCGTCGCTGGCGCCGCAGTCTGCGCGGCCGGCAGCGAATCAGCGCGGCGCGGCCCCGGAGCCGCCTGCGCGCATGGGGATGCGGGCGCCGCTCCACGCGACAGCGTTGGCTGGGCTGCCCAAGGGTGCTACCCTGGAGACGGGTAAAGCGGTTCTGGCCGCGAAGGCGCTGACGCGGACAGTGGGTGGGAGGTTTGGGAGGAGGGGAAAAAGGGCTGACGGTGGGGGTGAGAGGAGGAGGACTTGGGCTGTTCCTGGGAGTTCTTGACTCCCAGAATATGCGAGGTGCATATTCTAGAAATTTCTGAGAAACCCAAGAAACCTGCTGGACAAGACCAAGTCAACGGCATCATAAATGTCAGGCTTGCAGCATAATGTTCCCTAATTGTTGCCACCGTTTACCTTTCACTTCTCCCTCTAACTCTTAAAAATCTGAACTCGATGAATTTTAATTGCCCAGAATCTTCTGAAGAATTGCCAGATTCTCTCCTTTTGGAATATTCCACAGATATCCAAAACCTTTGTTGGCAAGCAACAATCACTGGAGAGAAAGCCTACTGCTCTGTCCCAGAGGGCTTGTGTATTTCTTGGGTTACCCCTCTCTGTTTGTGGGTTGAAGGAATCCATGTCAGAATGCGGTGCCTGTAGACCCCAGACCAAAGCCCTTGGACTCTGGTACGTGGAGTCATTGGTCAATGCAGTGACAATCCAAGGGTGTCATTTGTGGGGACGTTCAAACAGAACTCAGGGAAGCAAAGGGCATTCTGTCTCAACAGTGTCATCTTTGGGATTGACCACTGGGGGGCAATGGAGGTGGGTGGTGTGTATTTGGGAGATAAGACTTTTGGCTTCCAAGCCCAGGTAGTTAAGGATGTCAGGAGTCCACAGTTAAAATGCAAATGTCTAAGGAAGGAACAGAACAATGGGTGGTGACCTGCTTTTTAAATCTTACCATAAACTACTTTATCAGAACATACATCAAGACCCTGAAGGAATGGATGGGATAAATGTATTTTGATGAAGAAAAGGTAGAAATAGGAAAGAGAAAGGACTGGAATGTGGGCATTGTCTGGAAAAGAAGGTACTGTTGGAAGGGGTCCCTAGAGGAGACAAGACACTGCATGAGGACAGAGAATGCCCTGGAGACCACGGGAGCATACAGAAGAGTTCAGAGGGAGCAGGAACAAACTTTCCACTTCATCTTGTGGCATGGCCTTATCCATTACAGGGTCTTTTTCATAGAGAAGTGGAGCCTTCCCGATTCTTCTACAGTTGCCAGAGGTGTTCTTTCCCAGATCAAAATCTACATTTGCATACCCCACACCAGCATGGGCCTAAGGACAGTAATCTCAAGGTTATGCTTGTAGACATGATTTATCATCTTTCATTTTAATGAAGCATATACACTTTAAAATACGATCTTTGGGATCATGTGTATTCTTTTCAGAATACAAGCTTGTGGAGAAACCAGCTGGGCCTCTCTGCGTATCTTTGTAACATATCTGAAATTATTCTTGATAAAGCTTAATGGGGTGTCAGAGCTCCCACAGGGCTGATGGGAAGGAACAACAATGACCACATTATTACAAAGCACTTTTCACAATGACCTACTCTAAGGTTATTCTTGATTATTTTTTCTATTTGTATTCCCTACCTTTCCTCCCTCCTCCCAATTTTTTTCATTGCCACGTCATTTTTGGGAATTCTGTCAGTTAAATACTGAAAAGACTGGTATATGATGATAGCCTGATCAGCACCGACTTCTCACTGCATGATATGAGGACAAGACTGAGAAGAAAGGAGAGGGTAAGGCAGGGGTTGCCTGGTGGGCTTTTGCTGCCCTGGCTGCTTTTCAGTTGGAGGGAGATCTTTAGAGCTGTGGCCACTAGGAGGCACTGCCAGTCCAATGATAGCCCCAGTTATCATTCCCTAAGTCCAGAAGGTGCCAGCAGGTACCTTTACTGATGAGTATTGTGTCCACCACATTACGGGAAACAGCGTGTACTGCCAATCTGACAGTCTGTATAGTGTGTATGGTGAATACACAATGTTCCCAATAAGGAACAGGGAGAAGCAAGCTCTCTTTAAAGTGGAGGATACATTAGGTCAGACTTTCTGGGCCAGGCGTTTTCATTGACCATAAAGTTGACCTTGGGGCCAGGCGCGGTGGTTCACTCCTGTAATCCTAGCATTTTGGAAGGCCGAGGTGAGTGGATCACTTGAGCCAGGAGCTCAAGACCAGCCTGGGCAACATGGTGAAACCCCATCTCTAAAAAAAATACAAAAAAAAAATTTTTTCCGGGCATGGTGGCATGCACCTGTACTCCTAGCTACTTGGGAGGCTGAAGTGGGAAGATCACTTGAACCCAGGGAGATCGAGGCTGCAGTGAGTTGTGATCGCACCACTGCACTCCAGCCTGGGTGACATAGTGAGACCCCGTCTAAAAGCTGACCTTGGAATGTCAGCTTGGCTGAAAGATCACATTATTTTCATTCATACTAAGTGTGGAGAGAGATGTTGGATGGCACACAAAAATCCACTCTAACAGTTTGATAGTTGAAGGTTGAGGAAGTAAGATGGCTATTTCACAGACAGATTCACACTAGTGAAGTAAAAATTGGCGGGCTTTAGCTTAATGTGTAGGTGGTAAGAGAAACATAAATGAACTTATTCACGGAAAACTAGGAATCACCTGTATTGTAAAAGTTAGCTACATGGCCTTCAGCAAGTCATTTATCATCTCTGGACCTCTCATAATTATAATACAAATAAATGGAAGCTTTAGGTGTTTGTCATTATGAAATAATAAGAATTTATTTCCCATAAACATCGTAAATGGGTGCTTTCTTTGCACAACTGCTCACACAGTATTAATTGAAAGCTCTTGCCAAGATCAAAACGATAAAATGGGTAGAGAAGATATGTAAATTTTCCTTAAGTGGTGAAAGAAAACAGAAAGCAAAATAAAGCTTGCTAAAAGTAGGCAGGAACTGCCACTATCTTTAAACCAGTAGAGAACAGACGGGCTTTATCTGCAGCCAGCTTAGAACTTGGTTAAGGTGCTTGCCAGGAGAGGAAGTGATTTCTTTACTTTTCAGGATTAAATCATGCATTAGGCAGTCTGTTCTCAGGAAAAGCAAAATAGTCAAGTTTTGTAATCTCATCCCAGGTCAAGATTAATATTGAAGGCTAGCATTCCCAGAGTGGCTTTATTGTGTCTGTCTCCTCTGGCACCAGAATTTTACTGATGGGAATCAGTGGCATCTGCATTGATACATTTATTCAACAAATATTTATTGAGTACCTGCTGTGTGCTGGACACTGTTCTAGGCATAAAGCAGAGTTCCTACTTTATACGCTGGTGTTTATGTGTGGGCAAATAATAACCAAAAAGGTAAATATATAATATTCATTTGTAGACAAGTGTATGGGAAAAATAAAGCACATAAAAGAGGACAGAGTGGAGGTGAGGTGAAAATTTGCTATTTTATAAGGAGGGTCAGCAAAGGCCCGGAGCAGACACCTAAAGGAGCAGGAGAATGCCATTAAGATATATGGGAGAAGAACATTCACAGATGCACTGCGTTTTCATGACAGAATGTAATAATTGGTACACTATATAAGCATCTTCATTTTTTTCTTGTTCTGAGAAATATAGCAATTGGAATAAAAGGCACAGAACCAAAAATATACTTCATTATGATCAAAGAACACTGAGAACTCTATGCCATATGGAATAAGGAAATTTTAAAAGGCAACCAGTTTGGCACATAACCCACTGTAGCAGAATAATGCATGAATATGGAGTTTCAAACAATAGATTAGCACATGTTATTTGCCAGGTGCTTCTTCATGTGGTATACATTTAGTTGTTACAAGATCCCTATGAGTTAGTGTTTACCCTTATTTCTTGATTCATTTATTCATTTGATCTACAAATATTTATAGAGCCCATACTAAGGACCTGTCTCCATAAATACAAAGGGAGCTGCCCACTGGGAACTCGAGTCCAGAGGGGGAAAATTTTACACATAAATAGATAAATGCAATAACTAACAGACCTATGAGCAGGAAAGAGTGGGTACACAAACAGAGAGTGGCTAGGGAGAAGAACAGGTTTCAGGAAAGGCTTTAGAGGGTAGGTAAAGTTGAGCTGAGTTATGAACAAGAAATAGCATCACCAGTTTGAGTCATGGGGATTTCCTGGCAGACAGAAATGGAATTAATGGGAAACTTAATTACAGAAATGTGCAGGGGCTAGATCATGCCAGTCCTGAGTAGTAATACTGGCAGTAAATGAGGGAGACACTGAAGGGTTTTGAGAAGTGGACTAACACGGGAACTTGAATAATTTATCCAAATTTGCAGTTTTCCAGAAATGATAAATTCTAGGGTTATGACAGTCAATCAGCCCTTAGCAAGACAAGTAATAAATCAATACCCCGACCCACATTATAGTGAACATGTAAGGCATCGCAGACAAGGAGAAAATCTTAAAAGCAAGCATAAATCAAAGGCAGATTACCTCAGAGAAACTGTTAGACCAACAGCAGTCTTTAATAGAACCAGAATCTAATAGTTTGAGAAAATAACATCTTCAAAGTAGCAAACGAATGTAATCATCATCTTGAATTCTATACCCAGCAAGACTAACAGACCTTTTCAAATATGTAATCAATGAGAAAATTTACTAATTGCAGACCCTGAAGAAAAATCTACCAAAGGTGACACTTTAGGAAGAAAAAAATTGAACCTTAGAAATGAATTGCATGAAAAAAATGCTGGACATAAAAATTATTAAAGGCCAGCTTGAGGATTTATAAAAGAAAGGTAAAATTAAAACAGGAGACAAAAACAGAACATAAGGTGGAAGGGAGTGGGAAGAGTAAAAGCATTCTACAGTCCTTTCATTGTTTAGGAGGAAAATAGAAGTACCAGCTGTAGACTTTGGCAACTCATATTTGTGTATTAAATATTTGTCAGCGGAAAAGAAAATAATTAGAATATATAACTTCTAAATAAATAAATTGCATAAACTAGAGAATTAATCAAACAATAGAAATTAGGAAAGGGGAAAATAAGAAAATACAAAGAACTGGTAAATGGAAAGCACAAAATGAAGTGTCATAAGTCCTCACTTAACATCGTTGATAGGTTCTTGGAAACTGCAACTTTAAAGAAAAAGACATATAAGAGAATGAATATTTTTTTTCTCATCAGTGTTAATAATGAATCTACCTTGCATGAAATGACATTATTGAAGAACCTGCTGTACATCTTTTCACTTAAAGTTATAGTTTCCAAGAACCTATGACATTGAGGACTTACATTATTGGAAATACATCTAAATATATCTAACTTGTACCAGCTGGAAAGATGGAAACTATCAGATTGGATGAAAAAAATCTAGCCAGAGGATGCCTACAAAAGAAAATCTAAATACATAGTTGAAATAGGAAAGTTTAAAGTAGAAATGGAAAATGCTATACCGAGTGATGTGGTTTGGATATTTTTCCCCTCCAAATCTCATGTTGAAATATGATTCCCAATGTTGGAGGTGGGGCCTGGTGGGAGGTGATTGGATCATGGAGGTGGATCCCTCATGGTTTAGCACCATCCCCTTGGTGATAAGTGGGTTTTCACTCAGTTCATATGAGGTGTGGTTGTTTAAGAGTCTGGGACCACCCCTCTTGCCCTCTGCTCCCTTGCTCCACTCTCGCCATGTGATGTGCCTGCTCCCACTTCACCTTCTGCCATGATTGTAAGCTTCCCGAGGCCCTCGCCAGACACTGAGCAGATGTTCGTGGCATACTTGTACAGCCCGCAGATCCGTGAGCCAATTAAACCTTTTTTCTTTATAAATAACCCAGTCTCAGGTATTCCTTTATAGTAACAAAAGAACAGCCTAACACACTAGGTTAATAGAGTATTATATAGTGACCTTGCTAAATTTACTTATTAATTCCGTTTGAAGATTCTTTAAAAATTTTTATGCACATAGAGGCATACCTTAGAGATATTGTGGGTTCTGTTTGAGACCACTACAATGAAGTGAATATTGCAATAAAGTGAGTCACATGATTTTTGGGGTTTCCAAGTGCACATAAAAGTAATGTTTACACTATACTGTAGTCTATTAATTGTGCAATAGCATTATGATTACAAAAAATTCACATGCCTTGATTTAAAAATATTTTATTGATAAAATGCTAATAATCTTCTGAGCCTTCAGTAATTCATAATAATCTTTTTGCTGGTGGAGGGTCTTGCCTCGATGTTGATAGCTGCTGACCAGGGTCATGGTTATTGAAGATTGGAGTGGTTGCAGCAATTTTTGAAAGTAAGACAGCAGTAAAGTTTGCCACATTGATTGATTCTTCCTTTTATTAAAGATTTTTCTGTAGCACACAATGTTGTTCGAGAGCACCTTACCCACAGTAGAAGTTCTTTTAAAATTGGAGTCAATCCTCTCAAACTCTGCCACTCTCTATCAACTAAGTTTATGTAATATTCTAAATCTTTTGTTGTCATTTCAACAGTGTTCACAGCATCTTCACCAGGAGTAAATTCCATCTCAAGAAACCACTTTCTTTGGTCATCCATAAGAAGCAACTCCTCATCCATTCAAGTTTGATCCTGATATTGCACCAATTCAGTCATATCTTTGGGCTCTACTTCTAATTCTGGTTCTTTTGTTATTTTCACCATATCTGCACTTACTTCCTCCACTGAAGTCTTGGACCCCTGAAAGTCATCCATAAAGATTGGAATCAGCCAGGCACGGTGGCTTACGCCTGTAATCCCAGCACTTTGGGAGGCTGAGGCAGGCGGCTCACGAAGTCAAGAGATCGAGACCATCCTGGCCAACATGGTGAAACCCCATCTCTACTAAAAATACAAAAATTAGCTGGGTGTGGTGGTGCGTGCCTGTAGTCCCAGCTACTCAGGAGGCTGTGGCAGGAGAATCGCTTGAACCTGGGAGGCAGAGGTTGCAGTGAGCCAAGATCGTGCCACTGCACTCCAGCCTGGCAACAGAGGGAGACTCCGTCTCAAAAAAAAAAAAAAAAATTGGAATCAACATTTTCCAAACTCTTGTTATGGAGGATGACCTCCTCCCATGAATCACAAATGTTCTTAATGACATTTAGAATGGTGAACCCTTTCCAGAGCATTTAATATGGCAGCTATAGACTTACAATTTTTTTTTTCCCGAGATGGAGTTTCACTCGTCTCCCAGGCTGGAGTGCAGTGGCGCGATCTCGGCTCACTGCAACTTCCGCCTCCTGGGTTCAAGTGATTCTCCTGCCTCAGCCTCCCAAGTTGCTGGGACTACAAGCACCTGCCACCACGCCCAGCTAATTTTGGTATTTTTAGTAGAGACAGGGTTTCACCATGTTGGCCAGGCTGGCCTCGAACTCCTGATCTCAGGTGATCCGCCCCCTTCAGTCTCCCAAAATGCTGGGATTACAGGCATGAGCCACTGCGCCCAGCCACAAAATGTATTTTAAATATAAGACTTGAAGGTCAAAATTACTGTTTGATCCATGGGCTGCAGAATGGATGTTGTGTTAGCAGGCAAGAAAACATTCATTTCCTTGCACATTTCTATTAGAGCTCTTAGGTGACCAGGTTCATGGTCAATGAGCAGTAATATTTTGAAAGGAATATGTATTTTTTCCTAAACAGTAGTTCTCAACAGTTATCTTAAAATATTCAGTAAACTATGCTGTAAACAGATGTCCTGTTATCCAGGCTTTGATGTTAAATTTATTGAGCATAGACAGAGTAGAGTAGATTTAACATAATTCTTAAGGGCCCTAGAATGTTCTGAATAGTAAATTAACATTGTCTTCAACTTAAAGTCACCAGCTGCAATGTAGTCACCTTCATCAATGATCTTTGGAATAACTTGCTGTAGCTTCTCCATTAGCACTTGCTGCTTCCCCTGGCATTTTTTATGTCATGGAGAAGGCTTCTTTCCTTAACTCTCATGAACCAACCTCTGCTAGCTTCCAACTTTTCTCCTGCAGCTTCCTCACCTCTCTCAGCCTTCATAAAATTAAAGAGTGAGGGCCTTGGTCTGGATTAGGCTTTGGCTTAAGGGAATGTTAGGGTTGGTTTGGTCTTCTAACCAGACCACTGAAACTTTCTCCATATCAGCAATGAGGCTGTTTTGCTTTCTTATCAATCATGTGTTCACTGAAATAGTACTTTTCATTTCCTTCAAGAATTCTTCCTTTGCATTTACAACTTGGATAACTGTTTGGCCTTGCTTTTGGCCTATCTTAGCTTTCAACATGCTTTGTTTACTAAGATTAATCATTTCTAGCGTTTGATTTAAAGTGAGAGATGTATGACTCTTCCTTTCACTCGAACACTTAGAAGCCACTGTAGGGTTATTCATTGGCCTAACCGAAATACTGCAGTGTCTGAGGGAATAAAGAGACGTGAGAAGAGGAAGAGAGACTAGAGAATGGCCAGTTGGTTGAGCAGTCAGAACACACACAACATTTATTGATTAAGTTAGCCATCTTCTATAGGTGCAGTTTGTGGCACCCCAAAATAATTACAACAGTAATATCAAGATCACTGATCACAGATCACCATAACAGTTGTCATAACTAGAAAAGAGTTTAAAATAGTATAAGAATCAGCAAAATGTTACAGAGACATGAAGTAAGCAGATGCTGTTGAAAAGATGGTGCTAATAAACTTACTCAATGCAGGTTTGCCACAAACCTTCAATTTGTGTTTTAAAAAAAGCAGTATCTGCAAAGTACAATAAAATGAGGTATGCTTGTAATCATATCTTCTGTGAATAAAAATGGGTTTATTTTTTCCGTTCCAATCTTTGTACTTTTATCTCTTTTACCTTGTCCTACTGCACTGGCTATGACCTCCAGTATAATGATGAGTAGAAGTGGTAACAGATTATTCTTTGTCTTACTCCTGAAGTAAGGGAAAACTGTGCTCAAAATTTTTACTATGAAGTATGATGTTGGCTGTGAGTTTTTAGCTGTCCTTTATCAGATTAATAAAGTGTCCTTTGTTTCCCAGTTTTCTGAGAGTTTTTGTTATGAACAGATATTGAATTTTATCAAATACTTTTTCTAAAGCTATTGAGATGACCACATGGATTTTTTTATTTTTTTAATATAAAAATTACATGCATCAAATTTTGAATGTTAAACTTTGCATTTCTAGAATAACCTCACATGGCTTCTATGTGACATCATTTTAATATATCACTATTCAATTTGGATTCAATATGCTAATATTTTGTGTAGAATTTTTGTATCCATATTGAAGAAATATTGTCCTTCAATTTTCTTTTCTTGCAATATGCTTGTACATCTTGTGATAGCTTAGATTTTTGTATTAGGTTTATACTGGCCTCACAAAGCAAGTTAGAAAATGTTACTCCCTCCTGTATTTGCTGAAAGAGTTTATGTAAGATGGTATTATTTCATATTGGAATATTTGGAAGAATTCACCACCAAGCCCATCTGGGCTGGGACTTTTCTTTGTAAAACAGTTTGTAATTATAGATTTCTTTAATAGATGTTAGGATTATTCTAATTCCATTTTTAAATTTCTGCTTATGTCAATGTTGGTTTTTATTTCCAAATGAATTTGTCCATTTTATTTAATTAATTAATTTATTTATTTATTTTTTGAGATGGAGTCTTGCTCTGTCACCAGGCTGGAGTGCAGTGGCGTGATCTCAGCTCACTGAAGCCTCCACCTCCCAGGTTCAAGCGATTCTCCTGCCTCAGCCTCTTGAGTAGCTGGGACTACAGGTGTGCACTACCACGCACAGCTGATTTTTGTATTTTTAGTAGAGATGGGGTTTCACCATCTTGGCCAGGATGGTCTCGATCTCTTGACCTCATGATCTGCCTGCCTCGGCCTCCCAAAGTGCTGGGATTACAGGCGTGAGCCACCGTGCCTGGCCTGACTTTGTCCATTTTAAATATGTTGTCAGTTTCTTGGCATAAATTTTTTATAACATCATCTTATGTTTTTTAACAAAATGGAGGTGCCATAGCCATGTCCCTTCTTTCATTTCTGATATTGTTAAATTTTATTTTCTCTTTATTTCTTGATCATCTTGAAGATTTTTCAATATTATGAATTCATTTTAAAGAATAAAATTTTTACTTTTTTCTTTTTATCTATTGTATATCTGCTTTCTATTTCATTCCATTTTGTTTCTTTGTTTTTATTTTCAATTATTTCTTTTCTTTTGCTTTAATTCACTATTGTTTTACTAACTTCTTCAAATGAAAGCTTATTTTCACTTTCCTTCCTTTCCTTCTGAGACAGGGTCTTGCCCTGTTGCCCACACTGAAGTGCAGTGGTGCAATCATGGCTCACTGCAGCCTTGACCTGGGCTCAGGTGATCCTCCCACCTCAGCCTCTAAAGCAGCTAGGGACTACAGGCATGTGCCACCGCACGTGGCTAATTTTTTTGGGGGGGGTATTTTTTGTAGAGATGGAGTTTTGCCATGTTACCCAGGCTGGTCTTGAACTCCTGGGTTTGGGACATCCACCCACCTTGGCCTCCCAAGTGTTAGGATTACAGGTATGAGCTACCATACCTGGCCTGTTCTTCTTTTCTTGCCTTCTTTGAAATTAATCAAGTATATTTTTATAAATCATTTCTTCTAATAGCTTATAGTTTTATCTTTTTGGACATTTTATTTATTTATTTATTTGTTTGTTTTTGAGACAGAGTTTCACTCTGTCACCCAGGCTGGAGTGCAGTGGTGCGATCTCAGCTCACTGCAACCTCTGCCTCCTGGGTTCAAGCAATTCTCCTTCCTCAGCCTCCTGAATAGCTGGGATTACAGGTGCATACTACCACACACAGCTAATTTTTTGTATTTTTAGTAGAAACAGGGTTTTACCATGTTGGTCAGGCTAGTCTTGAACTCCCGACCTCAGGTGATCCACCCGCCTTGGCCTCCCAAAGTGCTGGGATTACAGGCATGAGCCACCATGCCAGGCCTCTTTTTGAACATTTTAGTGATTATTCTAGAAATTACAATGTTCATCCTTAATATGTTGAAGCCAATCTTAAATTAGCAAGTTTACAAATTCTTGTACAATACAAGTTTCTTACAACATCAAACTCCCTTAGTCTCTGTCTCCTTTTGTGCTAGGGCTTTTATATATCATTGGTGCTATAAACACCAAATTATATAACAGTTTTTTGTTGTAAAAAAATTAATAATCTTTCACATTTACTCACATATTTATCCTTTCCAGTGTTTTTCATCTCTTCCTGTC
The DNA here is from genome assembly GCF_000001405.40 of Homo sapiens. Classification (NCBI taxonomy): domain Eukaryota; kingdom Metazoa; phylum Chordata; class Mammalia; order Primates; family Hominidae; genus Homo; species Homo sapiens. The sequence goes on from NC_000014.9 coordinate 59,641,952, forward strand.
ATACCATTCATACCATTCCTTCCATCTGAGATCCTTTTGTTTCAGTCCAAAGAATTTTCTTTACCATTCCTTTTATCTCAGGTCATGGCAAGTATTTATATTAACTTTTCTTTGAGAATAACTTTATCTTATTTTCATTTTTGAATGATAGTTTCATTGGGCAGAGGTTTAATTTGGCAGTTTTTTTCTTTCAGCAATTTAAATATTTCATTCCACCAACATCTAGACTTAATAATTTCAGTTGAAAGGTCAGTAATTAGTCTTTTTGTTGCTTCTTAGAAAGTAACTGTTATGACTGTTTTTAAGATTTTCTCTTTAGCTTTGGTTTGATGCAGCTTGATTATGACAGTTTTATTATTCCTTTTGGGTTTACTGAGCTTCTTAAATCTGTGGATTGATGCCTTTTATCAATTTTGAATAATGTCTCATATATATTTCTTCAAATATTCCTTCCGACCCATTTTCTTTTCTCCTCTTCTATGAAAGCAATTTTTCATATGCTAGACCTTCTGAAAATGTTTCACAAGTTTTTTATACTCTACTCTTTTCTTTTTATATTTTTATTCTCTTTATCTGCCACTTCGGATATTTGATATTGAGCTATCTTTGAGTTTACTAATTCTGTCTTCTGTGTTCAAAGTCTTATTAAACATAGTCAATTAAGTCATAATTTCAGAAATTTTACCTTTCAGTTCTAGTAATTTTACTTTTTTAAATAGTTTCCATGTCTCTGTTGAAATTCTTCATCTTTTTTATCAATTTTCTTTCACATATTTATAATAGTTATTTTGAAGTCTTTATCAGCCATATCCAATATCTGGATCATCTATGGGTCTGCTTCTATCATCTCCTTTTTTGCTTGATTGTTGGTCTCATGTTTTTGCCTGTTATATGTCTAATAATATCTTATAGCATGATGGGCTTTGTGTATTAAAGAATCACAAAGACTGACAGTTGATGCTATTTTCCTTCAGAAAAGTTGCTCCTGCCTCTAGTAAGTAGCAACTGAGGAATTGATAAATTCCCATCAGAAATTAAGCTGAGTTATGGTGGGTTGCAGTTTTAGTTAGGCTAGGCCTACCTCTGGTTTCAGTGATCTCATAGATGGCATTTGAAATGTGATTGTTTTAGGCCAATAAGCCTCTGGCTAGTCTAAGAAAAAAGAAAGAACACAAGGCCAAGGATGGTGGATCATTCCTGTAATCCCAGCACTTTGGGAGGCCAAAGTGGGAAGACTGCTTGAGACAAGAAGTTTGAGATCAGCCTGGGTAACTTAGGGAGACCCTGTCTCTACAAAAAATAAAAAAAAAATTCAGGCATGGTGCTGTGCACCTGTAGTCCTAGCTATTTGGGAGGCTGAGGTGTTCAAGCAACTCTCCTGCCTCAGCCTCCTGAGTAGCTGGGATTACAGGTGCCTGCCACCATGCCTGGCTAATTTTTGTATTTTTAGTAGAGATGGGGTTTCACCATCTTGGTCAGGCTGGTCTCGGACTCCTGACCTCATGACCCATCCGCGTTGGCCTCCCAAAGTGCTAGGATTACAGGCGTGGGCCACCACACCTGGCCTCCTGAACTTTTAATGCATGCCTCAGACAGATCTACTAGTTGAAGGCTGAAACTTTGTGAACTTGAGACATTTGAGCACTACTATCATTAGCCGTCTGCTGAACTATGCAGACAAAAGGGGGATGCTTAGTAAGACAGGATACACAATAAAAACAAAACTGAGCAGAGATATCAGCAGCTATATACCATGGAAAAGATAGATCAGTCAGATTAAGTCAGAAAAGTTACTAAAAACAAACAAAAAATCAAAACAATAACAATAACTCTCAGTTAAAATGTCAGAATCTAAAGTTGTCACATTATATTAACCAAATGTTCAATTTTCAACAAAAAATTACTAGACATACAGAAACAAAAGAATGATCCATACTCAAGAAAAAAAAATAAAAACTTACTATGACTAGGTCTAGATATTGATTTAGCAGACAAAAACTTCAAAGCAGCTACTATGAATATGTTCAAAGAATAAAAAGAAACTACATTTAAAGACTTTGTGAAAAATAGGATGATAATGATTCAACAAATAGGAAGTACTGATAAAGACACAGAAACTCTAAAAGGGAGCTAACAGGAAATTCTGGAGATAAAAGTACAATAACTCTCTAAGTTTTAAAGATGGGCAACTAGAAGCAACTGGTGTGTGTTGCTCTTATGGAGAGCAATAGAAGGGGCGAATAAATACAGCACCTTCAACTGAAACATCCAGGTACATGTATTAGGATTCATCAAGAAAACAACTCAATCCACAAAGAATGGAGAAAGGCAAGGCAGGATGATCACTTACCCAGGAGCAACATGGAGCCAGGGGAGCCTCCCCTACCTGGGAATCGGTGAGTGAGTGAGTGACCCTAAGACCCATGCTTCTCCCAGGTCTCTTTACAACCCTCAGGTCAAGAGATCACCTCATTGAACCCACTCCATCAGGGCCTGTGGTATGACATGTAGAGCTATGTGGAGTCTTGGCAGAGCAGCTGCTCAGGCACACGTGGAGCCCCGGGAGCTTTAGATACCCGGGCTTCCTGGCAAAAGCAGCTGTAACTGACAAAGTGGGAGGTTAGACCCCCATACATACCCCGAGGAAAGGGGCTGAATCCAGGGGACTGAGCAGTGACAGTCTGCAGACCCTGTTTCCATGGTACCTCACAGGACGAGACCCACTGGTTTGGAAGTCTAGCTAGCCACCGATGGTGGCATTATACCTCCCTGAGATGGAGCTCCCAGAGGGAGGGGCAGGCTGTCATCTTTGGTGTTTCACAGCCTTGGCTGTCGTTGCCTTCAGTACAGCCACCCTACAGAAAAGTGGCCAGACTGCTTCTCTTTCCATGGGTCCCTGGCCTTGCTTCTCATGGGGCAGGATCTCCTGACTGGGGTCACCAGCCGCCCTTGCCAGTGTTTTCCAGCTGGCAGTGGTTCCAAGCCTCCCTGGAATGGAGCTCCCAGGGGGAGGACAGGCCACCATCTTTGCTGTTTCACAGCCTTAGCTCTTCTTGCCATAGGGCTCTAGAGAGTCCAAGGCAACTAGGGACTGGGGCAGTTCCCCAGCACAGCAAAGCAGCTCTGTGAAGCTGCAGCTAGACTGCCTTTCCTTATGGGTCCTGGACCCTATTTCTCCTCACTGGGCAGAATCTCCTGACCAAGATTTACAACTACCCTCGCCAGTATGTTCAAGCTGGCAACAGATCCATACCTCCCTGGGATGGAGCTCCCAGAGGGAGTGACACACTGCCATCTTTGCTGTTTTGCAGCCTTGATTGTTGATACCTTCAGGTGCTGGAAAATCTGAGGTGATTAGAAACTGGAGCAGACCTCCTGCATATTCCAGCAGCCCAATGGAAAAGTGGCCAGACTTTTATATATGTTTGTTACATGTTTTCTATATATTACATGTTTTCTATATGTTACATGTTTTCTACATGTTACATGTTTTCTATATGTTTGTTACATGAGTCCCTGTTCCCGTATCTCCTCACTGGGCAGGTTCTCCCAGCCTGGGTCTCCAGCCTTTCCCCACTGGAGCTATTGAGCCAGTAGCAGTTCTTCAGCTCTCTGGGACAGAGCTCCCAGTGGGAGGGGTGGGTTGCCATCTTTGCTGTCTCACAGCCCTCACCCTTCTTGTCTCCAGGCTCTAGAGAGTCCATGGGGACCCGGCACTGGTCTGAACCCCCAGCACAGAGCATCCACCTAATGGAAAAGTGTCCATACTGTTCTCCACGCAGGTCCTGGTCCTCACTTCTCTTCACTGGGCAGAGTTACCAGGCCCAGGACTCCAGTGCAACCACTCTGCCCCTGCCTGACCGCTTCAATCAGAGGCAGCCCAGCAGTTAAGAGAACACCTAAATGCAGAGATGAGAAAGAACCAACACAAGAACTCTGACAAGTCAGATGACCAGAGTGTCTTATATCCTCCAAATGACTACACTAGTTCTTCAACAAGGATTCTTAACCAGGGTTGGCTGGAATAACAGAAAGAAAATTCAGAATACTGATAGGAACAAAGATCATTGAGGTTCCAGAGAATGGCAAAATCCAATCCGAGAAAACTAACAATCAAAATAAAATGATACCGAAGCTGACAGATAAAATAGCCAGTATAAAAGAACTCATCTGATAGAGCTGAAAAACAAACTGCAAGATTTTCACAATGCAGTCACAAGAATTAACAGCAAAATAGACCAAACTGAGGAAGAAATCTCAGAACTTGGAAGACTGGCTCTTTTAAACACGACAGTCATATACAGATAAAGAAAAAATAATGAAAAGGAACAAATAAAACCTCTGAGAAATATGGGATTATATAAAGAGGCCCAAACTATAAATCACTGGCATCCCTGAAAGGGATTGGGGGAAAGCAAACAACTTGGAAAACATATTTCAGGATATCTTCTGTGAAAACTTTCCCAACCTCACTACAGAGGCCAACAGTCAAATTCAGGAAATACAGAGAACCTCTGCAAGATTCTCCATAAGAATATCATCACCAAGATACACAATCAGACTTTCCAGGGTCAAAATGAAAGAAGGAATGTTAAAAGCAGCTAGAGAGAAAGGGAACCCCATCAGGCTAGCAGCAGACCTCTCAGCAGAAACCCTACAAGCCTGAAGAGATTGGGGGCCTATATTCAACATTCTCAATGAAGAAAATCTTCAACCAAGAATTTCATATCCAGCCAAACTAACCTTCCTCAGTGAAGAAGAAATAAGATCCTTTTCAGATAAGCAAATGCTGAGGGAGATCATTACCACCAGATCTGCTTTACAAGAGATCTTGAACGAAGCACTAAATATGGAAAGACCATTACCAGCCAATTAAAAAAAAACACAAGTACAGAGGCCAGTGACACTATAAAGCAACCACACAAACAAGCTGGCATAAAAAACAGATAACAATACAATGACAGAATCAAATCCACACATATCAATAATAATCTTGAAGGGGTCTTGCTTCTTTAACCAGCTTGTCACTCTGTGCCCCATTTAAAAAGCATATAGTAACAAGCTGGATAAAGAAGCAAGGCCCAATGGTATGCTGTCTTCAAGAGACCCATCTCACATGCAGTGACATCCATATGCTCAAAATAAAGGGATGGAGGAAAATCTACCAAGCAAATGGAAAACAGAAAAAAGCAGGGGTTGCAATCCCAATCTCAGACAAACAGACTTTAAACAAACAAAAATCAAAAAAGACAAGAGCGTTACATAATGGTAAAGGGTTCAATTCAACAAGAAAACCTAACTCTCCTAATACGTATGCACCCAACACAGGGACACCCAGATTCACAAAGCAAGTTCTCAAGAGACCTGCAAAGAGACTTAGACTCCAACACAATAATAGTGGGAGACTTCAACACTTACTGACAGAACTAGACAGATGATCAAGGCAGAAAATTAACAAGGATATTTCAGACCCAAATTCAACACTGGACCAAATGGATCTGATAGATCTCCACAGAACTCTCCACCCCAAAACAACAGACTATACATTCTTCTCATCACCACATGGCACATATTGTAAAGTCAACCACACAGTTGGTTATATAACAATTTTCAGCAAATGTAAAAGAACTGAAATCATACCAAATTCACTCTTGGATAGCAGTGAAAATCAAGACTACAAAAAACTCAAAACATGCAGTTACATGGAAATTAAACAACCTGCTCCTGAATGGCTTTTGGGTAAATAATGAAATTAAGGAAGAAATCAAGAAATTCTTTGAAACTAATGAGAACAAAGATACAACATACCAGAATCTCTGGGACACAGCTAAGGCAGTGTTAAGAGGGAAATTTATAGCACTAAATTCCAACTTAATATCAAAAGTTAGAATCATCTCAAATGTATAACCTAACCCTGCAACTAAAAGAACTAGAGAAGCAAGAGCAAACCAACTCCAGAGCTAGCAGAAGACAAGAAATAACCAAAATCAGGGCTGAATTGAAGGAGATCAAGACATTAAAAGCCATGAAAAAATAAGCAAATCCAAGAGTTGGTGTTTTGAAAAACATTAATAAGGTAGTCCACTACCTAGACTAATAAAGAAGAAAAGACAGATCCAAATAAACACAATCAGAAATGACAAATGGGATGTTACCATTGACCCCACAGAAATACAAATAACTATTACAGACTATTATGAACACCTCTATGCACACATGCACACAAATTAGAAAACCTAGAAGAGATAAATAAATTCCTGGACACATATACCTTCTCAAGACTGAACCAGGAAGAAATTGCTTCCCTGACCAGACCAATAATGAGCTTTGAAATTGAATCAGTAATAAATAGTCTATCAACCAAAAAGTCCAGGACCAGATGGATTCACAGCTGCATTCTGCCATTAAAATAAAGAAAGAAGAGCTGGTACCATTCCTACTGAAACTATTCCAACAAAATGAGAAGGGACTCCTCCCCAACTAATTCTGTGAGGCCAGCATCATCCTGAAACCAAAACCTGGCAGAGACACAACAAAGAAAACTTCAGCCCCATATCCTTGATGAACACTGAGGCAAAAATCCTCAACAAAATACTTGGAAACTGAATCCAGCAGCACATCAAGAAGTTAATCCACCATGATCAAGAAGGCTTTATCCCTGGGATGCAAGGTTGGTTCAATATATGCAAATCAACAAATGTGATTCATCACATAAACAGAACTAAAGACAAAAATCACATTATTAGTTCAATAGATGCAGAAAAACTTTTGATAAAATTCAACATTCATTTATGTTAAAAACTCTCAATAAACTTTGTATTGAAGGAACATACCTCAAAATAATAAGAGCCATCTATGACTAAACCACAGCCAACATCATACAGAATGGACAAAACCAGGAAGCATTCCCCCTGAAAACTGGCATAAGACGAGGATGCCCTCTCTCACCACCCCTATTCAACATAGTATTGGATGTCCTGGCCTTAGCACTCAGGCAAGAGAAAGAAATAAATGGCATTCAGGTAGTGTGATGCCACTAGCTTTGTTCTTTTTACTTATGACAAGGCTAGAGTAACCAAAACAGTATGGTACTGGTACCAAAACAGATATATAGACCAACGAAACAGAACAGAGGCCTCAGAAATAATGCCACACATTTACAACCATCTGATCTTTGACAAACCTGACAAAAACAAGCAATGGGGAAAGGATGCCCTATTTAATAAATGGTGTTGGGAAAACTGGCTAGCCATATGCAGAAAACTGAAACTGGACACCTTCCTTACACCTTATACAAAAGTTAACTCAAGATGGATTGAAGACTTAAAAGTAAGACCTAAAACCATAAAAACCCTAGAAGAAAACCTAGGCAATATCATTCTGGACACTGGCATGGGCAAAGACTTCATGACTGAAACACCAAAAGCAATGGCAACAAAAGCCAAAATTGACAATTGGGATCTAATTAAACTGAAGGGCTTCTTCACAGCAAAATAAACTATCATCAGCATGAACAGGCAACCTACAGAATGGGAGAAAATTTTTGCAATGTATCCATCTAACAAAGGTCTAATATCCAGAAGCTACAAGGAACTTAAAACAAATTTATAAAAAAAAACCATCAAAAAGTGGGCAAAGGATATGAACAGACACTTCTCAAAAGAAGACATTTATGTGGCTAACAAACATTTGAAAAAAAGCTCATCATCACTGGTCATTATAGAAATGCAAATCAAAACCACAGTGAGATACCATCTCATGCCAGTGAGAATGGTGAGTATTAAAAAGTCTGGAAACAACAGATGCTGGTGAGGATGTGGAGAAATAGGAATGCTTTTACACTGTTGGTGGGAGTGTAAATTAGTTCAACCATTGTGGAACACAGTGTGGCAATTCCTCAAGGATTTAGAACCAGAAATACCATTAGATCCAGCAATCCCATTACTGGGTATATACCCAAAGGATTATAAATCATTCTACCATAAAGACATATGCACATGTATGTTTATTGCAGCATTATTTATAATAGCAAAGACTTGGAACCAACCCAAATGCCTGGCAATGATAGGCTGGATAAAGAAAATATGGCACATATACACCATGGAATACTATGCAGCCATAAAAAAGAATGAGGTCATGCCCTTTGCAGGGACTTGGATGAAGCTGGAAACCATCATCTGCAGCAAACTAACACAGAAACAGAAAACCAAACACTGCATGTTCTCACTCATAAGTAGGAGTTGAACAATGAGAACACATGGACACAGGGAGGGGAACATCACACACCAGGGCCTGTCAGATGTGCAGGGAAAGAAGAGGAAGAGCATTAGGACAAATATCTAATACATGCAGGGCTTAAAACCTAGATGATGGGTTGATAGGTGGAGCAAACCACCATGGCACATGTATACCTATGTAACAAACCTGCACATTCAGCACATGTATCCCAGAACTTAAAGTAAAACTAAAAAATAAAATAAAATGCATTGAAATAGGAAGACAGGAAGTCAAACTATTTTTTGTTTGCAAATGACATGATTCTTTATCTAGAAAATCCCATCATCTCAGCCCAAAAGCTCTTTAAGCTGATAAACAACTTCAGCAAAATCTCAGGATACAAAATCAATGTATAAAAATCACTAGAATTCCTGTACACCAATAACAGCCAAGCTGAGAGCCAAATCAGGAAAGCAATCCCATTCACAGTTGCCACAAAAAGAATAAAACACCCAGGAATACAGCTAACCAGGGATTGTAAGATCTCTACAATGAAAATTACAAAACACTGCTCAAAGAAGTCAGAGATAACACAAACAAATGGAAAAACATTCCATGCTCATGAATAGGAAGACTCAATATCATTAAAATGGCCATACTGGCCAAAGAAATTTATAGGTTCAAACCTATCTACCAATGACATTTTTCACCTAGGCAATACCACTCAAGACATAGGCATGGGGTCTGTAATCCCAGTACTTTGGGACTGAGTTGGATGGATCACCCGAGGTCATGAGTTTGAGACCAGCCTGGCTAACATGGCGAAACCCTGTCTCTACTAAAAAACTAGAAAAAAACTATTTTACATTAATAATTCATATGGAACCAAAAAAGAACCTGAAAAGCTAAGGCAATCACAAGCAAAAAGGACAAAGCTGGAGGTGTCACGTTACTCAACTTCAAACTATACTATGGGGCTATAATAATGAAAAAAGCATGGTCCTGGTACAAAAACAGACACATAGAGCCAATGGAACAGAACAGAGAGCTCAGAAATAAGGCCACACACCTACAACCATCTGATCTCTGACAAACTTGACAAAAACAAGCAATGGGGAAAGGATGCCCTATTCAATAAATAGTGCTGGAATAACTGGCTAGCCATATGCAGAAAACTGAAACTGGACCCCTTGCTTACACCATATACAAAAATCAACTCAAGGTGGATTAAAGACTTAAATGTAAAACCCAAAACTATAAAAACCCTGGAAGACAACCTAGGCAATACCACTCAAGACATAGGCATGGGGTCTGTAATTGCAGCACTTTGGGACCGAGTTGGATGGATCACCTGAGGTCAGGAGTTCGAGATCAGCCTGGCTAACATGGCAAAACCCTGTCTCTACTAAAAATACAAAAATTAGCTGAGCATGGTAGCAGGCACCTGTAATCCCAGCTGCTTGGGAGGTCGAGGCAGGAGAATTGCTTGAACCTGGGAGGTGGGCATTTCAGTGAGCCGAGATTGCACCACTGTACTCCAGCCTGGGTGACAGAGACTCCATCTCAAAACAAACAAACAAACAAACAACCCCCCCAAAAAAACCCAACATAGGTATGGGCAAAGATTTCATGATGAAATCACCAAAAGCAACCACGATAAATTGACAAATGGGATCTAATTTAATTTAAATTAAATTTGTTTCTGCACAGCAAAACAAACTATCAATAAACAGACAACCTACAGAATTGGAGAAAAATTTTGCAAACTATGCATCAAAGGTCTCATATCCACCATTTATAAGGAACTTAAACAAATTTACAAAACAACCCCATTGAAAAGTGGGCAAAGGACATGAACAGATACTTCTCAAAAGAAGACATAGATACAGTCAACAAGCATATGAAAAAAAACCTCAACATCACTGATCACTAGAGAAATACAAATCAAAACCACAGGGAGATACCATCCCACACCAGTCAGAATGACTATTATTAAAAAGTTCAAAAAAATAGCAGATGCTGGTGAGGTTGCAGAGAAAAGGGAACATTTATACACTGTTGGTGGAAGTGTAAATTAGTTCAACCATTGTGGAAGGCAGTGTAGTTATTCCTCAAAGAGCTAAAAACAACTACCACTTGACCCAGCAATCTCATTACTAGGTATATACCCAAAGGAATATAAATCATTCTACCATAATGAGACATGCACACTGTGTTCACGGCAGCACTATTCACAATTACAAAGACATGGAACCAACCTAAATGCCCATTAATGGCAGATTGGATAAAGAAAATATGGTACATATACATCATCAAATACTATGTAGCCATAAAAATGAACAAGCTCATGTCTTTTGCAGGATCACGAATGGAGCTGGAGGCCATTATTCTTAGCAAACTGATGCAGGAACAGAAAACCAAATACCATATGTTCTTACTTTTAAATTGGAGCTAAATGATGAGAACACATGGACACAAAGAGGGCAAAAAAGACACTGGGGCCTACTTGAGGGTGGGAGGAGGGAGAGGATCAGAAAAAATAACTATTGGGTACTAGGCTTAGTACCTGGCTCATGAAATAATCTGTAAGATAAGCTTAGCTATATAGCAAACCTGCACATGTACCCCCTGAATCTAAAATAAAAGTTAAAAAAACACAGAATTATTAAACAAAGATAGATAAATAAAAACAATCTAATCTGAAGAACTGAAAGAGAAAAAAGCCTAAAGAAAAACGAAAAAAGTACAGAGACTTGTGGTACAATATCAAGGGTATTAATGTAGGTATAATAGGAGTTCCAGAAAGAGAGAGGAGAAAGAAAGAAACAGAAAAAAAATTTAAGACATAATCCTGGAAAATGTCCCAAATTCTATTTAAAAATGGATTAGTCAACAGATATAAGAACACAACAAACCTCACGTAGTTTAAAGAGAGCCTCACCTAGACACACCTTTATCGAACACTTGAAATAAAAGACAGAAATTTGGAAAGGAGGAAGTAAAAATGACTCATTGCATGCAGGAGATTATTAATACTAATACCGACTGATTTCTCATTAGAAACAATGGAGACCAGAAAGAAGTTCCATGACATTCTGCATGCTGAGACAAATGCTGTCAACCAAGAATTTTATATCCAGAAAATTATCTAAAACTGAAGGTGAAATAAAGACATCCCCAGATAAACAAAGATAATTCATTGCTAGCAGACTCACTTTCGAAAAATTCTAAAGAAAATCTTTCAAGTAGAAAGGAAATTTCCCCCAGATAGCTGCTAAAATTCATAGAAACAAAGAATTCCAGAAATAGTAAATATTTTGGTGTATGTAATAGACTGCATAATATGTAGTTTCTGTTTTTTATTTATTTAAGAATGAGACTATTCTATATGTAAAAATATATATAAAGCAATAAATATAAGCAATAAAAATATAAGCAATAAAATAAAACTATATATATAAAGCAATAGTCATATGACTATATTATTGAATTTATAACATATATAGATAGCAATCTATTAAGAAAACAAAAATTATATATATACTCCCCTAATATACATACTCCCAGAATAATAGGTTCCCAAAATAAAAACAAAAATGGACAGAATTAAAGGGAGAAATAGATAATTCAACAATAATAGTTGAAAACTTCAATATCCCTCATTCAACAATGGATAGAACTAAACAGAATATTGTTATAACAAGGAAAGAGGAATTGAACAACATTTTATTTATTTATTTATTTATTTAGAGATGAATCTCGCTCTGTCACCCAGGCTGGAGTGCAGTGGCACAATATCGGCTCACTGCAGTGGTACAATCTCGGCTCACTGCAACCTCCACCTCCCAGTTTCAAGTGATTCTTCCCACTAAGAAAAACTCAGTTCCAGATGGTTTCACTAGTGAATTCTGCCAAATGTTTAAAAAGAATTAACAGCAGTACTTCACAAATTCTTCCACAAAGAAGAGGAGGAGGGGCTGGACGCAGTGGCTCATGCCTGTAATCCTAGTGCTTTGGGAGGCCAAGGCGGGTGGATCACCTGAGGTCGGGAGTTCGAGAACAGCCTGGCCAATGTGGCGAAACCCCGTCTCTACTAAAAATACAAAAAAACAAGCCAGACATGGTGGCTCGTGCCTGTAGCCCCAGCTACTCAGGAGGCTGAGGCAGGAGAATTGTTTGAACCCGGGCAGGGGAGGTTGGCAGTGAGCCAAGATTGTGCCACGGCACTCCAGCCTGGGTGACAGAGCGAGACTCTGTCTCTGTGAAAAAAAAAAAAAAAGGAGGAGGGAAAATATCCCATCTCACTCTGTAAGGTCACTATTTCCCTGATGCTAAAATCAGAAAAAGTCATTATGAAAAAAAAAAAAACTACAGAGCAATATCTCTTATGAATATAGATGCCAAAATATTCAACAAAACTAACAAACTGAAGCCAGCAACATATAAAAAGGATACATCATGATTAGGTGGGATTTGTTCCAGGGTAAAACAATGAATGTAATATATCATATTAATAAAATTAAGGACAAAAACCATACAATTATCTCAATGCAGAAAAAAAATTGAGAAATCCAATGCCCTTTCATGTTAAAAACGACAACAAGAACAACAGTATTAAACACTAAGAACAGTAGAAAACTTCTGTAACTTGATAAAGGGAATCTCCAAAAACACTCATGGCAATTATGATATTTAATGGTGAAAGATTGGAAGATTTTCTCCTAATATCTGGAACAAGACAAAGATTGTCTATTCTCACAACTTCTGTTCAGTACTGTGGAGGGTCTAGCTAGGGCAATGAAACAAGAAAAAGAAATGAAAGCCATTGACATTGAAAATGAAGAAGTAAAACTATCTCTATCTGCACACAAAATGATATTGTATGTAGAAACTTCTAAGGAATCCACACAAAACGATTTAGAGGTAATACATCCAGCAGTTTACAGAATACAAAGTTAATATACAATACTCAACTGTATATCTATACACTAGCAGTGAACAATAAAAAATGAAATTAAGAAAACGATTCCACTTTCAATAGCATAAGAAGGAATAAAATACTTAGGAATAAATTTAACAAAAGATGAGCAAAAGTCATACCCTGACAACTACAAGATACTGTTGAAAGAAATTAGAGAATACCTAATTAAATGAAATGACTTTTTTTGTTCATAGATTGAAAGATTTGACATTGTTAACATGGCAGTATTCCTGAAATAAATCTGTAGATTCAAACAATCCCTGTCAAAATGTCATTTAGTTTATTGTTTGTTTTGTGTTGTTTTCAGAAATTGACAACGGGATCCTAAAATTCATGTAGAGATGCAAGGGACTCAGAATAAACAAAATAATCTTGAAAAAGGACAAAGTTGTAGGCCTCATACTCCTTGGTTTCAAAATTTACTACCATGCTACAATGATCAAGACAGGGTGGTGGTAGTGGCATAAGGCCAGACATATAGATCAATGGAACAGAATCAAGAGTCTAGAATTAAACCATCACATATATGGTCAACTGATTTTTAACAAGGGTGCCAAGACCATTCAGTGGGGGAGAGAATTTTCTGTATTTTCAACAGCAGTGTATTTTCAACAACAGTCCTGGGACGACTGGATATGAACAAGAACAAATTTGGACCTCTGCCTTACACCATACACAAAAATTAACTCAAAATAGATGAAAGACCAAATATAAGACATAAAACTAGAAAATTCTTCAAAGAAAACAAAGGCATAATCTTCAAGACCCACACAAAAACTTGGATACGAACATTCACAGAAGCATTGTTCATGACAGTCACAAATTGAAAACAACTAAAATATCCATCAGTTAATGAATGGACAAAAAAATGGAGTATATCCATACAATGGAATATTTTTCAGCCATAAAAAGGAAGGAAGTATTTTGAATGAATGAACCTTGAAAACATTATGCTAGGAGAAAGAAGCTGGATATACAGGTTGCATGTTGTATGATTCCACTTATATGAAATGTCAAGACAAGGCAAGTTTATAAAGATGGAAAGCAGACTAGGAGCTGGGAGGTGGGGGGAATGAGAAATGACTGCTAATGGTTACAGGGTTTCTTTGGGGGGTAATGAAAATGTTTTGAAATCACATAACTGCATAACTTTGTGAATATGCTAAAAACTACTGAACTTTTAAAAGGGTATGTTTTATGGTATATAAATTGTATGTTAATTAAAAAGAAATATGGAAGAAAAAAATTGGAATAAGATTCCTCCTCCAGGTGGCTGCAGTGCTGCATCTCAACACAAGGCTTGGTGAACAGAGTGAGCCGGAGTCAAGCTTCACTTGCCATCTTGGCCAGGGACTCTTGTCAGGGGCACATATACATACAGGTTAATGGAACAGAATCGACAATCTAGAATTGGCAGCTTTACATGGTCACTTGGATTGCTTCTTAGCCCTCCCTCTAGGCCAGCCTGTCCTCTGTCTCAGCCTCTGATCACAGTACAACTCCTTAGCTCGGGCCATGATTCCTCTCTGGAACTCCCTGGCAACCTGAATTTATTGCTGTCCCTTTCCTGGTCCTCCTGTCCTATACATCTCTCAGAATGTTCCCTGCTGGTCTGCCCAAGTACATAACTTGAAGTGGTTTCTGCAGTCTTCACATTTCCACCAAACACAGGCATGACTGCATTTGCAGACTTTTTAAACTTACTAGGAATTCAGTTCCTCAGACTTCTGCTCCTTGCACATCTCTGCATTCTACAGCAGTTCTAGATTTTCTCTTTCTTGTCTTACCACCTATCAAGTGGATGACTCACAGGAAATTAGCATGATCCCCACTTTTATTTTTTTCAAGCACATATGAAACATTTCATGCTTATAGCAAAATAAAAAACAAAACCAAAAGATATAATACCTAATCCACAAATAGCTGGAAAAAGGAAAGGTTGTGAATATCAAACAGTGCACAAAAAGTCACAAAACAGGCCAGGCACGGTGGCTCACACCTGTAATCCCAGCACTTTGGGAGGCCAAGGCAGGTGAATCACCTGAGGTCAGGAGTTAGAGACCAGCCTGGCCTACATGGTGAAACCCTGTCTCTACTAAAAATACAAAAATTAGCTGGGCATGGTGGCACATGCCTGTAATCACAGCTACTGGGGAAGCCGAGGCAGGAGAATCACTTGAACCCAGGAAGCTGAGGTTGCAGTGAGCCGAGACTGCGCTACTGCACTGCAGCCTGGGTGAAAGAGTGAGACTCTGTCTCAACAAAACAAAACAAAACAAAACAAAAAAGGGTGTATGGCTGGCAAGATGGCCTAATAGGAACAGCTCTGGTCTGCAGCTCCCAGTGAGATCAACACAGAAGGTGGGTGATTTCTGCATTTCCAACTGAGGTACCTGGCTCATCTCACTGGGACTGGTTAGACAGTGGGTGCAGCCCATGGAGAGAGAGCAGAATCAGGGTGGGGCCTTGCCTCACCCAGGAAGTGCAAGGGGTCAGGGAACTCCCTCCCCTAGCCAAGGGAAGCCATGAGGGACTGTGCCATGAGGAATGGTGCATTCTGGCCCAGAAACTACACTTTTCCCATGGTCTTTGCAACCCGCAGACCAGGAGATTCCCTCGGGTACCTACAGCACCAGGGCCATGGGTTTCAAGCACAAAACTGGACAGCCATTTGGGCAGACACCGAGCTAGCTGCAGGAGTTTTTTTTCATACCCCAGTGGCACATGGGAAACCAGCCAGACAGAACCATTCACTGCCCTGGAAAGGGGGATGAGGCCAGGGAGCCAAGTGGCCTAGCTCAGCAGATCTGACCCCCAAGGAGCCCAGCAAGCTAAGATTTCCTGGCTTGAAATTCTCATTGCGAGCACAGCAGTCTGAAGTCGACCTGGGACGCTTCAGGTTGGTGGGGGGAGGGGCATCCGCCATTACTGAGGCTTGAGTATGTGGTTTCCCCCTCACAGTGTAAACAAAGCCGAGCCTCGGGGAAGTTCAAAATGGGCAGAGCCCACTGCAGCTTAGCAAAGCCACTGTAGACGGACTGCCTCTCTAGATTACTCCTCTCTGGGCATGGCATCTCTGAAAGAAAGACAGCAGCCCCAGTCAGGGGCTTATAGATAAAACTCCCAGTTCCCTGCAACAGAGCACCTGGGAGAAGGGGTGGCTGTGGGAGCAGCTTCAGCAGACTTAAATGTTCCTGCCTTCTGGCTCTAAAGAGAGCACAGTGCTCCAGCTCTGCTAAGGGACAGACTGCCTGCTCAAGTGGGTCCCTGACCCCTGTGTCTCCTGAATGGGAGACACCTCCAGCAGGGGTCAACAGACACCTCATACAGGAAAGCTCCAGCTGGCATCTGGTGGGTGCCCCTCTGGGACGAAGCTTCCAGAGGAAGGAACAGGCAGCAATCTTTGCTGCTCTGCAGCCTCCACTGGTGATACCCAGGCAAACAGGGTCTGGAGTGGACCTCCAGAAAATTCCAGCAGACTTGCAGCAGAGGGGCCTGTTAGAAGGGAAGCTAACAAACAGAAAAGTATAGCATCAACATCAACAAAAAGGACGTCCACACAAAAACTCCATCCGATGGTCACCAACATCAAAGACCAAAGGTAGATGAATCCACGAAGATGAGGAAAAACCAGCACAAAATGGCTGAAAATTCCAAAAACCAGAATGCCTCTTCTCCTCCAAAGGATCACAACTCTTGGCCAGCAAAGGAACAAAACTGGACAGACAATGAGTTTGACAAATTGACAGAAGTAGGCTTCAGAAGGTGGGTGATAACAAAATCCTCTGAGCTAAAGAAGCATGTTCTAACCCAATGCAAGGAAGCTAAGAACCGTGAAAAAAGGTTAGACGAATTGTTAACTAGAATAACCAGTTTACAGAAGAACATAAATGACCTGATGGAGCTGAAAAACACAGCAAGAGAACTTCGTGAAGCATACACAAGTATCAATAGCCAAACTGATCAAGTGGAAGAAAGGATATCAGAGATTGAAGATCAACTGAATGAAATAAAGTGTGAAGACAAGATTAGAGAAAAAAAAAAAGAATGAAAAGGAATGAACAAAGCCTCTAAGAAATATGGGACTATGTGAAAACATCAAACCTACATTTGATTGGTGTACCTGAAAGTGACAGGGAGAATGGAACCAAGTTGGAAAACACTCTTCAGGGTATTATCCAGGAGATCTTCCTCAACCTAGCAAGGCAGGCCAACATTCAAATTCAGGAACCACAGAGAACACCACAAAGATAATTCTTGAGAAGAGCAACCCCAAGACACATAATTGTCAGGTTCATCAAGGTTGAAATGAAGGAGAAAATGTTAAGGGCAGCCAGAGAGAAAAGTCGGGTTACCCAGAAAGGGAAGCCCATCAGACTAGCAGTGGATCTCTCAGCAGAAACCCCACAAGCCAGAAGAGAGTGGGGACCAATATGCAACATTCTCAAAGAAAAGAATTTTCAACCCAGAATTTCATATCCAGCCAAACTAAGCTTCATAAGTGAAGAAGAAATAAAATACTTTACAGACAAGCAAATGCTGAGACATTTTGTCACCACCAGGCCTGCCTGACAACAGCTCCTGAAGGAAGCACTAAATGTGGAAAGGAAAAACCAGTACCAGCCACTGCAAAAACATACCAAATTGTAAAGACCATCGACACTATGAAGAAACTGCATCAACTAATGGGCAAAATAACCAGCTAACATCATAATGACAGGATCAAATTCACATATAACAATATTAACCTTAAATGTAAATGGGCTAAATGCCCCAATTAAAAGACACAGACTGGCAAATTGGATAAAGAGTCGAAACCCATCACTGTGCTGTATTCAGGAGACTCATCTCACATGCAAAGACACACATAAGCTTAAAATAAAGGGATGTAGGAATATTTACCAAGCAAATGGAAAGCAAAACAAGCAAGGGTTGCAATCCTAGTCTCTGATAAAACAGACTTTAAACCAACAAAGATCAAAAGAGACAAAGAAGGCCATTACATAATGGTAAATGGATCAATGCAACAAGAAGAGCTGACTATCCTAAATATATATGCACCCAATACAAGAGCACCCAGATTCATAAAACAAGTTCTTAGAGACCTACAAAGAGACTTAGACTCCCACACAATAATTGTGGGAGACTTTAACACCCCACTGTCAATATCAAACAGATCAATGACACAGAAAATTAACAAGGATATTCAGGACTTGAACTTAGTTCTGGACCAAGCAGACCTAATAGATATCTACAGAACTCTCCACCCCAAATCAACAGAATATACATTTTTCTCTGTACCACATTGCACTTATTCTAAAATTGACCATGTAATTGGAAGTAAAACACTCTTCAGCAAATGCAAAAGAACAGAAATCATAACAAACAGTCTCTCAGACCATGGTGCAATCAATTAGAACTCAGGATTAAGGAACTCAAAACCACACAACTACATGGAAACTGAACAACTTGCTCCTGAATGACTACTGGGTAAATAATGAAATTAAGGAAGAAATAAATAAGTTATTTGAAACCAATGAGAACACAGACACAATGTACCAGAATCTCTCGGACACAGCTAAAGCAATGTTTAGAGGGAAATTTATAGCACTAAATTCCCAAAAAAGAAACCAGGAAAGACCTAAAATTTACACCCTAACATCAAAATGAAAAGAAACAGAGAAGCAAGAACAAACAAATTCAAAAGCTAGCAGAAGACAAGAAATAACTAAGATCAGAGCACAACTGAAGGAGACAGGGACATGAAAAACCCTTCAAAAAACCAAAGAATCCAGGAGCTGTTTTTTTTGAAAATATAAACAAAATAGATAAGACTGCTAGCCAGACTAATAAAGAAGAAAAAAGAGAAAAATCAAATAGACACAATAAAAAATGATAAAGGGTAGGTCACCACTGATCCCACAGAAATACAAACTACTGTCAGAGAATACTATAAACACCTCTACACAAATAAATGAGAAAATCTAGAAGAAATGGATAAATTCCTGGACACATACACCCTCCCAAGGCTAAACCAGAAAGAAGTTGAGTCCCTGAACAGACCAATATCAAGTTGTGAAATTCAGGCAGTAATTAATAGCCTACCAACCAAAAAAAAAAAAAAAAAAAAGCCCAGGACCATAAGGATTCACAGCCGAATTCTATTCGAGGTATAAAGAGGAGCTGGTACCATTCCTTCTGAAACTATTCCAAACAACAGAAAAAGAGGGAATCCTCCCTAACTCATTTTATGAGGCTAGCATCATCCTGATAACAAAACCTGGCAGAGACACAACAAAAAAGGAAAATTTGAGGCCAATATCCCTGATGAACATCAATGCAAAAATCCTCAATAAAATACTGGCAAACCAAATCCAGCAGCACATCAAAAAGCTTATCCACCATGATCAAGTCAGCTTCATCACTGGGATGCAAGGCTGGTTCAACATATGCAAATCAATAAATGTAATCCATCACATAAACAGAACCAACAACAAAAACCACATGATTATTTCAATAGATGAAGAAAAGGCTTTCGATAAAATTCAACACCCCATTCATGCTAAAAACTCTCAATAAACTAGGTACTGAAGGAACGTACCTCAAAATAATAAGCTATTTATGACAAACCCACAACCAATATCATACTGAATGGGCAAAATCCCGAAGCATTCCCTTTGAAAACTGGCACAAGACAAGGATGCCCTCTCTCAGCACTCCTATTCAACATAGTGTTGGAAGTTCTGGCCAGGGCAATCAGGCAAGAGAAAGAAATAAAGCGTATTCAATTAGGAAAAGAGGAAGTCAAATTGTCCCTGTTTGCAGATGACATGATTGTATATTTAGAAAACCCCACTGTCTCAGCCCAAAATCTCCTTAAGTTGATAAGCAACTTGATAAGCAACTTCAGTAAAATCTCAGGATACAAAATCAATGTGCAAAAATCACAAGCATTCTTTTTATTTTATTTTTTTATTTTTTACATTTTGGAGTGAAATCCAGCTTTCTTTTTTCTTTTTTTTTTATTATACTTTAAGTTCTAGGGTACATGTGCACAATGTGCAGGTTTGTTACATATGTATACACGTGCCATGTTGGTGTGCTGCACCCATTAACTCGTCATTTACATTACGTATATCTCCTAATGCTATCCTTCCCCCCTCCCCCCACCCCACAACAGGCCCCGGTGTGTGATGTCCCCCTTCCTGTGTCCAAGTGTTCTCATTGTTCAATTCCCACCTATGAGTGAGAACATGCGGTGTTTGTTTTTTTGTCCTTGTGATAGTTTGCTGAGAATGATGGTTTCCAGCTTCATCCATGTCCCTACAAAGGACATGAACTCATCATTTTTTATGGCTGCATAGTATTCCATGGAGTATATGTGCCACATTTTCTTAATCTAGTCTATCATTGTTGGACATTTCGGTTGGTTCCAGGTCTTTAAAAATCACAAGCATTCTTATATGCCAATAATAGACAAACAGAGAACCAAATCATGAGTGAACTCCCATTCACAATTGCTACAAAGAGAATAAAATACCTAGGAATACAACTTAAAAGTGATGTGAAGGACCTCTTCAAGGAGAACTACAAACCACTGCTCAATGAAATAAGAGAGGACACATACAAATGGAAAAACACTCCATGCTCATGGATAGGAAGAATCAATATCATGAATATGGCCATACTGCCCAAAGTAATTTATGGATTCAATGCTATCCTCATCAAGCTACCATTGACTTTCTTCACCGAATTAGAAAAAACTACTTTAAAGTTCACACAGAGCCTAAAAAGAGCCCATATAGCCAAGACAATCCTAAGTAAAAAGAACAAAGCTGGAGGCATCATGCTACCTGACTTCAAACTATACTACAAGGCTACAGTAACCAAAACAGCATGGTACTGCTACCAAAACAGATATATAGACTAATGGAACAGAACAGAGAACTCAGAAATAACACCGCACATCTACAACCATCTGATTTTGACAAACCTGACAAGAACAAGCAGTGGGGAAAGGATTCCCTATTTAATAAATGGTGCTGGGAAAACTGGCTAGCCACATGTAGAAAACTGAAACTGGACTCCTTCCTTATACATTATACAAAAGTTAACTCGAGATGGATTAAAGACTTAAATGTAAGACCTAAAACCATGAAAACACTAGAAGAAAACCTAGGACATAGGCTTGGGCAAAGACTTAAACATAAGACCTAAACCATAAAAACCCTAGAAGAAAACCTAGGCAATACCATTCAGGACATAGGCATGGGCAAAGACTTCATGACTAAAACACCAAAAGCAATGGCAACAAAAGCAAAAATTGACAAATGGGATCTAATTAAACTGACAGACTTCTGTACAGCAAAAGAAACTATCATCAGTGTGAACAGGCAATCTACAGAATAGGAGAAAATTTTTGCAATCTGTCCATCTCATAAAGGGCTAATATCCAGAATCTACAAGGAACTTAAACAAATTTACAAGAAAAAAAAAACCATCAAAAAGTGGGCAAAGGATATGAACAGACACTTCTCAATAGAAGACATTTATGCAGCCAACAAACATATGAAAAAAAGCTCAGCATCACTGGTCATTAGAGACATGCAAATCAAAACCACAATGAGATACCATCTCATGCCAGTTAGAATGGTGATCATTAAAATGCTGGATGCTGGAGAGGATGTGGAGAAATAGGAATGCTATTATACTGTCAGTGGGAGTTTAAATTAGTTCAGCCATTGTGGAAGATAGTGTGGCGATTCCTCAAGGATCTAGAACCAGAAACATCATTTGACCCAGCAATCTCATTACTGAGTATATACCCAAAGGATTATAAATCATTCTACTCTAAACACACATGCACACGTATGTTTATTGCAGCACTATTCACAATAGCAAAGACTTGGAACCAACCGAAATGCCCAGCAATGATACGCTGGATAAAGAAAATGTGGCATATATACACCATGGAATACTATGTAGCCACAGCAAAGGACGAGTTCATATCCTTTGCAGGGACATGGATGAAGCTGGAAACCATCATTCTCGGCAAACTAACACAGGAACAGAAAACCAAACACTGCATGTTCTCACTCATAAGTGGGAGTTGAACGATGAGAACACATGGACACAGGGAGGGGAACATCACATATCGGGGCCTGTCAGGTGGTGGGGGGAAAGGGAAGTGATAGCATTAGGAGAAATACCTAATGTAGATGACGGGTTGATGGGTGCAGCAAACCACCATGGCACGTATATACCTATGTAACAAACTTGCATGTTCTGCATATGTATCCCATTACTTCAAGTATAATAAAAAAAGTCACAAAATAACCACAATATGATAAAATTAAATGCATCTGAGGCAACTAACATTATTTTTTATTTAATAGAGTCTTGAGAAATATAACTCAATTAAGAAATCAGTAACATAGAATATTTAAACCTATGCCCATGTGTATTAACTATATTTTGTATTTTCTGTATCATATGATGTTTTGACATCTTCAGAGGCCTGCATGTATCAACAGTTTGTTCCTTTTTATTTATTTTTTTCTGAGTAACATTCCATGTTATGGATGTACCATGTATTGTTTCATCATTCACCTGCTGAAGAAAGCTTCTGACTATTATAACTGCTGTGAACATCTGTGTATAATTTTTTTTTGTGCAAGCGTAAGTTTTTATTTCCCTGGGATAAATGCCAGAGTGCAATTACTGAGTCACAGGATAATTATATGTTTCATTATAGAAACTATCCAACTTTTTTGCAAAGTGGCTGTACAACTTTATATTCCCACCAGCAATGAATGAGTGATCCAGTATCTCCACATTCTTGCCGCATTTAGTGTTGCCACTGCTTATGACTTTAGCCATTCTGTTAATGTTGTTAGTCTCCTTGTGGTTTTAGTTTACATTGTCTCTGATGTTATTTCTCATGCTTACTTAACATCTATATATCCTCTTTGGTGAAATGTCTGCTTATGTCAGGTTCACCAAGGTTGAAATGAAGGAAAATGTGTTAAGGGCAGCCAGAGAGAAAGGTCAAGTTACCCACAAAGGGAAGCCCAGCAGACTAACAGCGGATCTCTCGGCAGAAACTCTACAAGCCAAAAGACAGTGGGGGCCAATATTCAACATTCTTAAAGAAAAGAATTTTCAACCCAGAATTTCATAACCAGCCAAACTAAGCTTCATAAGTGAAGGAGAAATAAAATCCTTTACAGACAAGCAAATGCTGAGAGATTTTGTCACCACCAGGCCTGCCTTACAAGAGCTCCTGAAGGAAGCATTAAACATGGAAAGAAACAACCGGTACCAGCCACTGCAGAAACATCCCAAATTGTAAAGACCATTGATGCTATGAAGAAACTGCATCAATTAACGGGCAAAATAATCAGCAAACATCGTAGTGAGAGGATCAGATTCACATATAACAATATTAACCTTAAATGTAAATGGGCTAAATGCCCCAATTAAAAGACACAGACTGGCAAATTGGATAAAGAGTCAAGACCCATCAGTGTGCTGTATTCAAGAGACCCATTTCACATGCAAAGACACACATAAGCTTAAAATAAAGGGATGGAGGAAGACCTACCAAGCAAATGGAAAGCAAAAAAAAGCAGGGGTTGCAATCCTAGTCTCTGATAAAACAACTTTAAACCAACAAAGATCAAAAGAGACAAAGAAGGCCATTATATAATGGTAAAGGGATCAACGCAACAAGAAGAGCTAACTATCCTAAATATATATGCACCAAATACAGGAGCACCCAGATTCATAAAGCAAGTCCTTAGAGACCTACAAAGAGACTTAGACGCCCACGCAATAATAATGGGAGACTTTAACACCCCACTGTCAATATTAGACAGATCAACCAGACAGAAGGTTAACAAGGATATCCAGGACCTGAACTCAGCTCTGCAACAAGTAGACCTACTAGACATCTACGGAAAGCTCCACTCCAAATCAACAGAATATACATTATTCTCAGCATCACATCACACTTATTCTAAAATTGACCACATAATTGGAAGTAATGCACTCCTCAGCAAATGTAAAAGAACAGAAATCACAACAAACTGTCTCTCAGACCAGAGTGCAATCAATTACAACTCAGGATTAAGAAACTCACTCAAAACCACACAACTACATGGAAACTGAACAACTTGCTCCTGAATGACTACTGGGTAAATAACAAAATGAAGGCAGAAATAAAGATGTTCTTTGAAACCAATGAGAACAAAGACACAATGTACCAGAATCTCTGGGACACATTTAAAGCAGTGTGTAGAGGGAAATTTATAACCCTAAATGTCCACAAGAAAAAGCAGGAAAGATCTAAAATCGACACTCTAACATCACAATTAAAAGAACTAGAGAAGCAAGAGCAAACAAATTCAAAAGCTAGCAGAAGACAAAAAATAACTAAGATCAGAGCACAGCTGAAAGAGATAGAGACACAGAAAACCCTTCAAAAAAAATCAATGAATCCAGGAGATGGTTTTTTCAAAAGATCAACAAAATTGATAGACCGCTAGCAAGACTAATAAAGAAGAAAAGAGAGAAGATTCAAATAGATGCAATAAAAAATGATAAAGGGGATATCACCACCAATCCCACAGAAATACAGACTATCATCAGAGAATACTAAACACCTCTACACAAATAAACTAGAAAATCTAGAAGAAATGGATAAATTCCTGCACACATACACCCTCCCAAGACTAAACCAGGAAGAACTTGAATCTCTGAATAGACCAATATCAAGTTCTGAAATTGAGGCAGTAATTAATAGCCGACCAACCAAAAAAAAAAAAAAAAAAAAAAAAAGCCCAGGACCATACGGATTCACAGCTGAATTCTACCAGAGGTACAAAGAGGAGCTGGTACCATTCCTTCTGAAACTATTCAAATCAATAGAAAAAGAGGGAATCCTCCCTAACTCATTTTATGAGGCTAGCATCATCCTGATAACAAAACCTGGCAAAGACACAACAAAAAAAGAGAATTTTAGACCAATATCCCTGATGAACATCAATGTGAAAATCCTCAATAAAATACTGGCAAACCAAATCCAGCAGCATATCAAAAAGCTTATCCACCACGATCAAGTCGGCTTCATCACTGGGATGCAAGGCTGGTTCAACATATGCAAATCAATAAATGTAATCCATCACATAAACAGAACCAACAACAAAAACCACATGATTATCTCAATAGGTGCAGAAAAGGCCTTTGACAAAATTCAACAGCCTTTCATGCTAAAAACTCTCAATCAACTAGGTATTGATGGAACATACCTCAAAATAATAAGAGATATTTTTGACAGACCCATAGCCAATATCTTACTGAATGGGCAAAAACGGGAAGCATCCCCTTTGAAAACTGGCACAAGACAAGGATGAGCTCTCTCACCACTCCTATTCAACATAGTGTTGGAAATTCTGGCCAGGGCAATCAGGCAAGAGAAATAAATAAACGGTATTCAATTAGGAAATGAGGAAGTCGAATTGTCCCTGTTTGCAGATGACATGACTGTATATTTAGAAAACCCCACTGTCTCAGCCCAAAATCTCCTTAAGTTGATAAGTAACTTCAGCAAAGTCTCAGGATACAAAATCAATGGGCAAAAATCACAAGCATTCCTCTACACCATTAGCAGACAAACAGAGAGCCAAATCATGAGCCATTCACAATTGCTACAAAGAGAATAAAATACCTAGGAATCCAGCTTACAAGGGATGTGAAGGACCTCTTCAAGGAGAACTACAAACCACTGCTCAACGAAATAAAAGAGGACACGAACAAATGGAAGAATATTCCATGCTCATGGATAGGAAGAATCAATATGATGAAAATGGCCATACTGCCCAAAGTAATTTATAGATTCAATGTCATCCCCATCAAGCTAACATTGATTTTCTTCACAGAATTGGAAAAAACTACTTTAAAGTTCATATGGAACCAAAAAAGGGCCCACATTGCCAAGTGAATCCTACAGAAAAAGAACAAAGCTGGAGGCATCATGCTACCTGACTTCAAACTATACTACAAGGCTACAGTAACCAAGACAGCATGGTACTGGTACCAAAACAGATTTATAGACCAATGGAACAGAACAGAGGCCTCAGAAATAACACCGCACATCTACAACCATCTGATTTTGACAAACCTGACAAAAACAAGAAATGGGGACAGGATTCCCTATTTAATAAATGGTGCTGGGAAAACTGGCTAGCCACATGTAGAAAGCTGAAACTGTATCCCTTCCTTACACCTTATACAAAAATTAATTCAAGATGGATTAAAGACTGAAATGTTAGTCCTAAAACCATAAAAACCCTAGAAGAAATCCTAGGCAATACCATTCAGGACATAGGCATGGGCAAGGACTTCATGCCTAAAACACCAAAAGCAATGGCAACAAAAGCCAAAATTGACAAATGGGATCTAATTAAACTAAAGAGCTTCTGCACGACAAAAGAAACTACCATCACAGTGCACAGGCAACCTACAGAATCGGAGAAAATTTTTGCAATCTACCCATCTGACAAAGGGCTAATATCCAGAATCTACAAAGAATTCAAACAAATTTACAAGAAAAAAACCAAACAATCCCATCAAAAAGTGGGCAAAGGATATGAACAGACACTTCTCAAAAGAAGACATCTATGCAGCCAGTAGACACATGAAAAAATGCTCATCGTCACTGGTGATCAGAGAAATACAAATCAGAACCACAATGAGATGCCATCTCATGCCAGTTAGAATGGCAATCATTAAAAAGTCAGGAAACAACAGATGCTGGAGAGGATGTGGAGTAACAGGCACCCTTTTACACTCTTGGTGGGAGTGTAAATTAGTTCAACCACTGTGGAAGACAGTGTGGCGATTCCTCAAGGATCTAGAACTAGAATTACCATTTGACCCAGCAATCCCATTACTGGGTATATACCCAAAGGATTATAAATCATGCTGCTACAAAGTCATATGCACACATATGTTTATTGCAGCAATATTCCCAATAGCAAAGACTTGGAACCAACCCAAATGTCCATCAATGATAGACTGGATTAAGAAAATGTGGCACATATACACCATGGAATACTATGCAGCCATAAAAAAGGATGGGTTCATGTTCTTTGCAGGGACATGGATGGAGTTGGAAATCATCATTCTCTTCAAATTATCACAAGGACAGAAAATCAAACACTGCATGTTCTCACTCATAGATGGGAATTGAACAATGAGATCACTTGGACACAGGGCAGGGAACATCATACACCGGGGCCTGTCAGGGGGATGGGGGCCTGGGGGAGGGATAGCATTAGGAGAAATATCTAATTTAAATGATGAGTTGATGGATGCAGCAAATGAACATGGGGCATGTATACCTATGTATCAAACCTGCATGTTGTGCATATGTACCCTAGAACTTTAAGTATAATATAAAAAATAAAAAATAAAAAAAAGAACTGTTGCAGCCATCTTATGATCATGAGGAGATGATGATGAGGAATACTCTGTAAGTCTAGTGCCCTGGCACTAGAGCTCTGTCAAGTCACCTATGTCTCTGAGATCTCCTTGCTCTAAAGTTCTTATTAAGTGAGTAGTGAATAACCTTAAGGTTCACACTGCCGATGAGTGGATTTTCTGTCACTTGCAGCCAAAAGCATTTCTACTGTTAAACTCACTAAGGTTCAGTAGCACTGTTGTACCTCTTCCCTGGCCCCTTCATCATGCAGACTCCTTGTTCCAGAGCAACAAAATCTTCTGTCTCCATTTTTTTGCTCATTTCTCTCACCATGAATGAGTTAGACATTTTCCAATATTTTATTTGAAGGTCATCATTGATCACTTTGAAAGTGTGCAACGACAAATAGAATAACTAAATGAATGGGTTGCTATTGCAAAAATTGCCCAGTACATCAACATAACAGAAACATTCTCAATAAATCATCATAGAAGGGAAATACTAAGAATTTTGCAATAGTGCCTAGTGCAATAGTGTAGTGAGATAGTGTAAAGTTCCCCACTCAAAGTTTCCTTTGCAGAATGTGCATTAATAAGCAAGGACCAGAATTAGATTTAAAATAATGATCTCATTAAACATTTATAGCCCAGCAGTAAATTTTTGCAAACAAATGCAATTTTGCAAACCACTCTTAACTTATATAGAAGGAAATTAAAAAAATAATAATCTGAAAGCCCAGGAAGCTGCTGAAGCAGCACTGAAATTTCTTCTCAGCAAGACGCAACCTGAATCCACAAAATCAGAACTCTTGTGGTATAAAATAAAGTTAGAGCTCTGCTCCAAATATATTCTTATTTTTCTTTTAATGTAATCTAACTTTAGGTGAAGATGGTTTTAAAAAGTCTTGAAGATGGCAACGTGGACCTAAATATATTCAGAAAAACTCACATCTGATGTTAAACTTGAAGTGAAAAGAAGTTTGACCAATTCGGCACATGTTTTAACCAATCTCCTTCAACTATATGTGTCAGTACCTCCATAGCATATACTGGTCTCAGTCTCTTCACTTGCTCGAAGATGAAAAATATGCTGGAACAGGCTAAATAAGTGTTAATATAGTAACTCATTATGCCCAAAGAAGGTAAATGACATCCAGGTGTCATGATGGCTAGTATATTTTTGCATGTGTATTTTGAGCCATTTCAGAAGGTATCCTTGGACTCCTTCTATAACAGCAACATGGTTATTAACACATCTTTGAAAGCAATTCCCATTAAAATATGAGTAAATTGGGAAAGGTGTACATGTACAACATTCCTTTCAGGACTTTCTAATCTGAGCTACCACATGTAGTTAATAGCAGTGCCCTCACTGATACCACTATGACCATCCATCACTCCATCCTGTTGGTTTTAAGTAGTGGACTCTACAGATGCATAAACTGGCCCAGTCTTTGTGTGGGTACATATGGAAGTGTACATAGGGAGGAGGGAGGGTTGTTATGTAAGGTTTTTAAAGACAGTTTGTCTTGTAAAGACACATCAAAAAGTCATACTTGTGGAAAAAAAAGAGAAAATGTTGAGTCAACCTATTCTCTCTTTGAGCATTTAAAAAAATTATAGTTTTACCATATTTGTGGAAAAGGATTCTTTCTTCTTATTTTAAACCCCTATTAGCTATAGGCCCACGATCCAGAGTTCTTGAAGAAATTCTCCTCATTACTTCTTTTGCAACTGTCAGATAACATGGAAGGAAGATTACTTGTAACTCATATACAAACCAAAGAGCAGAGAAAAACATTCCACACTAAAAAGAATGAGTGATACCAACAATCGCACATATTAACATATACCAAATGATAGACACTGGACTAAGTGTTTCACATGGATTATTTTATTTAATCCTCACAACAGACTTACAAGGAAGGGCTGCTAATACTCAACCTTAGGTAACTTGACTACCCTCACAAAGCCCCTCAGTGGTAGAATCAAGTTTCAGACCCAGGTTTGCCTGGCTTCAGAGCACCAGGACACTTTACCACCTACTGACACTTTCTAACAACCACCCACTGTCTGTACCAGAGAAGCTGGGGCCAGGGCACACAAAGGATCTAAAGCTTTTGAACCTGAAAAGGCCAATGCTTAGGCGGGGAACAGCTCTAAGCTTCCCCCATATGTCCACTCTACAGAGCTGGACCTGGGCTCAGAAATCAATGCAGAGAGACGATATTGTACGTTTAATCTTTTGTCTTGTTTGGTCTTTGGCTACTTCCCACAAAACAAAAACAAGAAAGCCTGATATTATATTTCTGACATCTAGTTCCTGCTTTTCTCTTTCCTGAAATGGACACTATACAACCTAATGCCACAGTGATTAGGACACAATTAGTAGGAAGCACAAATGTTGAAAGTCTCTAAAATCAGCCTTGCCTTCTCTCTTGGCTTTAGGATGTGAATCTAGTCTGGTTAAGCTACAGGCAGGGAAGAGTGCCCTGGCTTTGCTACTTATCAGCCTTACTACTTTAGATGCCATTTGACCTCTTTGAGCTCAGGTTTGTCACCAGGAAAAATGAGACACTTGCTCACAACACATATGTAAATAGCCAGCAATTATGGTGGTCAGTAAATAGCAGCTGGTGTCCATTCAGCAGAAAGTGAAATTAGACAGTGCACCTCAACATAAAAAGCCATTCCACAATAGCAAGTAAAGCGCTATGATGTTACTCCAGCTTGAACAAAGCCAGTGCAGGATCTCAAAAAATGTTACTTTAAAACACTCAAATTCCAAGGATAATTATTATGCTTTTACTATGGTGCTTCGAGTTTCATAATAATCCACATAAAGGACACATCATATGGCAAATTTCAAAATTAATATCAAGGAAGGTGCTGTCTTTCTCAAGCAGATTGTATGTTTTATTAGATGATGGTTATTTATTGCATTCATTATTTGTTGAATGAGTGATTTGTTGAATGAATGAATACAAGATATTTCTTTTTTTTTTTTTTTTTTTTTTTTTTGAGACGGAGTCTCGCTCTGTCGCCCAGGCCGGACTGCGGACTGCAGTGGCGCAATCTCGGCTCACTGCAAGCTCCGCTTCCCGGGTTCACGCCATTCTCCTGCCTCAGCCTCCCGAGTAGCTGGGACTACAGGCGCCCGCCACCGCGCCTGGCTAATTTTTTGTATTTTTAGTAGAGACGGGGTTTCACCTTGTTAGCCAGGATGGTCTCGATCTCCTGACCTCATGATCCACCCGCCTCGGCCTCCCAAAGTGCTGGGATTACAGGCGTGAGCCACCGCGCCCGGCCAAGATATTTCTTTTTTGCCTTGACTTCTTTGGTTAACTAGGAAGCTCAAAGTGAAATAATTTACCCCTTTTCTTTATGACATTGGTTTCCTGTTTCTCTCTTTTTCAACTTTCATTTTTTAAATGAAAACTTTTATTGAAATACTTGTATAATACTAAGAGAGCCCTTGTATACTTTGTGCACTTTCTTCCAATGGTAATGTTACAGGATCCCTTTGGTACTACTTCCCCAGCTGGAAATCTCTGTAGCCACTGTGTTACAGCTCTTGCTTGGGGAGTCCCAAGGTCTGAGCCCCCAAGAAATGTTGTGGCTTTTGTGTTCCGTGAGTGGGAGGGAGTGGTGCCCAGAAGCTTTTTCTCTCTTGTTGCTCGGCGAGTGGGAGGGAGTGGTACCCAGTGGCTTTGCTTTTTTGTGTCTGGAGCTAGGCAAATGCGGGTGTGTTACAGCTGTCTTGTTCCTGCTGCCCACAGCTTTGTGAGTTCCAGGTCCTTGTCCCACAACCAAGAGGAATAACATCTGCACACACCAGAGAGTGAGTAAGGCAAAGAATTTTATTTAGCAACAGAAGCAAAGCTCTCAACTGCGAGAGGGGACCCTTCGGCAGTGAGTAGGGGCCCAAAGGCAGGTAGCCCCCATAGGACTGAGTCTGGGGTTTTTATGGGCTTAGAATGGAAGCATGCATGCTGATTGGTCCATGGGTGGTCTTTGGAAAAAGCACCATTTGACTGGTTAAAAGGCATCATCCAGAAGGAACCAACAGAGAGAGAGGAGGGTAAGATGGGCACAGAGGTCCTCGCTCCAGTCGTGGACTCTATCGAGAACTGGCAGCTCTGTTTTTAGGCTTTAAACTGTCCTTGGATTGAAGGTCAGGTTTCACTGAGGACTGTCCCTGTCTGTCTATCTGACAGAATTTGTCTGTCTCCTGTTGCTATCAGTAACATTTTGCAAAATTGTAATACAATATTATAACTAGGATATGGATATTGATTCAATCCCCCAATCTTATTCATATATCCCTAGTTTTACTTGTATTCATGGTATTTGTGTGAGTGTCTATTATTTACAATTTTATCACCACAATAAAGATATTGAGCAGTTTCAATGCCACAAAAATTTCTTGTGTTAACCTTTTATAACCACACCCACATCCCTTCAATCTTCCCCCAACTGTTTCAGTTTTCAATGTCCCTGTTTTCTACATGTATTGGAAGTCCACAAGAGAAACAGAAATGAATAAATACTTTAAAGACAAAGTTATACCTCTATGGCAGCCTTATTGGCCATGTCAGCTAACTAGGCCAGATAGCTACCGATATGGGTGGTCTACTAGCAGTGGGAAACATATTTGCACTAGGTAGTTTTCCAAATTCTAATTTAACAAGCAGTGATAGCATGCCTAGTGCTCCAGGCATGGACTAGATGCTGGAAAAATAAAGATGAATAAACTACAGTAACAAGTGGGAGGCAGAAAGGCAAAGAAGCAGCCACAATGCAGGTGATATTAGTTTCTTTCAAATGCTTGGTTTCTAGTACAGATTAAGAAGCACGGAGTTGGAGAGATGAAAAGATATTTTAAAGAGAGCTACAAATTGCCAGGCTCTAAAAATGCTTTGAACTGGCTTTACCTAAAGCCAGAGGGATTACTACCAAAGGAACTATTTAACAAACGGCATTCAAAGAAAGAAACCAAACATAAAGGCTGTACGTGTGTGCCCGTATGTGTGTGTATGTTATTCAACATATTGAAAGATTAATCAGGAGTTCAGAGCTTTATACTGTAGAAAGAAAAAACCTGGACATTGTATAATTCTGAAATGAAAGATGCAAATGGCAAAGGAAGAAGTAGCAAAGAGAAGTTAATAAGTATCTCAAAATTGCAAATGGCACAGATTAAAAGACAAAGTTATCTATACAAACTATAATGAGGCTAGTGTATATGTATCAGGTACACTCCTCACCTAAAATTAGGGGAAATTGATATCTCAATTTATTCAAAAATACTTGTTGAAAATGCATATTGGGGCCAGCACCTATCTCCTCTAGGTGCTGGACTTAAAAGGGCAAGCAAGTCACACATGAAAACAATACAGCCCAGTGGGGTATGCAGATGAATACACACACACACACACACACACACAAACACACACACATTATCAAATGGTGTGAAAGGCACCATGATGGAGGAAGCTCAGTGAGTTATGGTGCACAGAGGAGTGGTGGCTAACCAAGATATGGTAAAGAGGGTCAGGGAAGGTTTCCTGGAATAAATAGTGTCTAAACTAAGTCTTGGCAGATGAATAAACTAAGTCACACAAATCATGTGTGCATATGGGGGTGAAGGCAGGAAAGAGAGAAAGGGGAAAATGGACTGCATGTGGAGAGTCTTTTAGGCCAGGGAATATAAAGACAGAAGTCAGAATGCTCAGTAGGAAGCTGGAATGCTAATTTGGGGATCAGGAGACTAGTTAAAGTAGAAAAATTAATTATTTGAGACCTATAGGACTTGGGGGGGGGGCGCTATAATTTATTGAGCACTTACTATGTTCTAGATACTGAATTATCTAGTTCAATATGTTCTTTCATTTAACACTCACAATTAAATTGTAAAAATAAATAATTTAATAATAATATATTTTATAATTTAATAATACAATTTTATAATAATTTAATAATAAATTATTATTAAATCATTATTTCTACTTCACAGATGAGGAGCCTAAGATTTGGAGAGGTTAAGTAACTTGTCTAAAGTCACATCATGTATAAGTGGTGGAGCTTGGATTGAAACTCAGGGGTATCCAATTCCAACACCCAGGGATCCCAGCCAGATTATTTTTATTATCCATTTTCACTTGAATTTTATATTTAAGATATAAATCACAAGAAAATAAATTCTTACAATGGCTGGAATTCTGTTTTAAATGCAACCAGCTATTAAGGGCATGATCTGGGGTCAACATATTCAGCCTCCATTCAAACCTTTAGTCCTACTCAACTTTCAATCCTCCAAGACAACTCTCTGATAACCCCCACTCCCCATTTAATGCTGTGTTAGGTACCACTCTGTATACTTTCATTATTCTCTTTGTTTTCTTGTTTGCTCTGCAACTATCCTGGATGCTTCATGAGGGGAGGTTCATCATTGTATCATTAATACCTAGCATAGTGACTGACATATGGCAGACAGTCCAGAAACATCCATTAAATAAATAAACCTTATGCATCAAAGTTAATAGGAAAAAAATTAATGCTGGAATGTATACTTATGACTAACTGTCTTCAACTTGAAGTGGAAAGCAATTTTAGCTAGTTTTTGCACAGAAGCTGTAAAAATTAATGAGTCAGTGTCTTATGTGTATAGCTGATCCTCAGAAAGCTCTAAGTATATAGCAAGTGCTACTGTTCTTTTCTGTGATATAAATAAATAACCTTGAAAATATCATCATCATCATTTGTAACTGCAGTGGTGGCAATTAGAGAACAGGTTCAATTAAGTATCAGTAGTTATATGGCCTTAAAGGTAAGTCAAAATTTGAAGCAAAGAAGCATTAACGAAATTATGTGAGAAACCCAAGCTTAGATGATACCTACCTAATCGATGATTGGAAAAGACTTTTGAGGGCAAAGGGCACATGCAAAAACATAGTATGTATTGATCAAAGAGGAGGCAGGACAACATGAAAGGTGGAAGTAAAAAGAAGCAAAGAGTAGCTCTGCTAACCTAACTATCTTCTTTAAAATAATTCAGTATACTCACTAAAAATAAAAATTTCTGGATCCATCCCCAATCAATCAAATCAGAATTGCTGGGGATGAAGCCCTAGCATATGCACTTTAACGGGTTTCTAAGGTCATTCTTAAACACTGAAAAAATAGTAAACCACTACTTCTTAAATCCAGGAAACATCAGAAATAACCGCAGCATTGAAAAGTGATGAGGCTTAGATATATGCTTGTTCTCTAAGAGGTATGATGGTAGCCCAAAGAGGTTTTCTGGGAAGGCATTATAAGTTCAGATGATGGGAACAGATTGATCATTGTCAGTGTACCCTACTTAGGAAAGGAGAGCTCACCCCAAATCTCCATGTGCGCCCTGCTCCATTCCTATCGGGTGTACCAGCCCACACTTTCTGAGTGAGGGGAGCTGGCTCCCACCTCAGGGTTGTCTGCAAGTCTTGCTCTTCCTCCTTCTGATGCTTTCTGACCCTCTTCTTCCAGGACCCCAGCCTTTGAATCCTTCTATACCCATAGGTACCAATATTTGACTTATGTTGATGCAATACATTCACAGTGGTCACATCTCTGAATTTAAAAAGCAACGTGAGTTTTATTTTTCTCAGATTTTCAGCCTTGAACAGGCAGAGGCTCTCTCCATTTGATATTCATTGTAGGATATTCAAGACATCTTTTTCCAGGGATGCTGGTACCCCACTGCTGTGGTCAATGAGGAAATCATGGTTATAATCTGGTAATAAAAATAGTAAGTAGGGACACAAGAAAGTAGGGACACGAGAAAGATTCACTTTTTTAAGGAGCCATGAGGAGAGATTTATGATTTGAAATGTATCTCAAGGAGTCAAATACTGCAGTAAGTGGACAGAGCATGATGGCAAAGGAAACAGAACAAACAAAAAGATTAATATTAATATTGGAGACTTTTCATCACTAAACAAACACAAATTCTGGTCCTGAGGCGGGAGATGCAAAGAACAGGCGTAATTATTTTTTCAAAGATGATATGGACCTGCCTTCTACAGGTAAATGGAAAACCATTGTACGTTGGCTTTCTCTTGAGTAGATTCAAAGCACTTGGCACTTACCCATCCTTCTAGCTTCCAAAGGTGACAATAACTCAGGAATCATGACCTCATTTAAAATAAAGTGAGAAAGTGACTAACTACCCCAGTCATGAAAGGCAGTAATGTGGATTTTAGCTTTGCAAGGAAATTTCCTAGCAAACCACATGGCCCATTTCTGTCTCTTAATGTTAGAACAGTCCCCTAAAATAGTCTTTCTTACAAAAATAACATTCTTTTCTCACTCCCAGGATCTTGGCATCTAAATGCTATTCTAGGCATTTTAGAAAAATAAATAGTCAAAGCTATTTACAACAATGACTACCACGCTGTGGCCTGAGATGGTGAGTTTCACTTGAATTGCCAAGAAGGGAACAAGGGCGTCATATAAACCCTGGAAAACAAGCCCAGGGACAAGTCCTGTTCTGGGGTCTGGAGGATTTGGAAGGCTGCCAAAGCTTAGGCAGTGGTGGTAGGGGTGCGTGGGGAATGTGAAAAGGGGTCTTTTCTCCAAAGTTTTATTTAAGGGTTGAATGCTAATGCGAAAATGGCCTAGCTCAATCATTTTAGCTTCTCTGGCTTGGCCTTCCTAACAGCAAGAAAGAAGCCATCAATGAGCTACAAAACTTCATTTTTCCTACAGGCTGGAAGTGGTCTCTTTTTAATATATGTTCTGGATTCCACTGTCTGAGAGAAGAAAATTGATTTAAACATTTAGGTATCTACAGACAACTCTTACTGACTCAGGGGCCAGCGCACTCAGATTGCAGATTGCAGCATCCCTGTTTCTCTACCTTGTGCCTCATCCTTTGTGAATTCTGAAAGCTGGTTGCTTTTTCCCACATACTGAGGTCCAGCGTGGGCCACAGCACATGTTGGGACCTCAAGAGCTGAAGGTTCCTTGCTGGGCTCCCAGGCACAGAGGTACAGGCCTCCCTTCTCACTACTGCCCCTTCCTCAACCTCCACTGTCCCCATTGTCCTTAGGCTCACTGGTGTGGAAGAGACTTTAACAGACTGACATGCTGATCTTCAGGTTTCTCAAAGCGTGACCACAGACCACCTGCTTCAGAAGCACTGGGGGAGTTGGTTAAAAATGCAGCTTCCTGGGCCTCACCCCAGGCTTACTTAGTCAGAATGGGAAGCTGAGAATGTACATTTTTAACAGGCTATCCAGGTAATTCTTATGCACATATAAGTTTAAGGACCATAGATACAGGTGCAGGGTCTTAGTATCTAACTCTGTTGGGTTCTTGAGTTCAACTGTGATTTCAAAAAGCAAGGGATAGCATCTGAATCCTCTTGGCTCCTGGCAGAGTGACAGATTGGATTGTGAGGGATGACAGTGTCTGGAAAAGACTGGGAACAGGTAGGAATCTACTAGAAAAAGGCCAAGATAATCCCTAACTTGACATTTTGTATTGAGTATTATCATGTGTAATTGTTAGGGTGGCTTGGGTATGAATTAGAGAAGTATTCTCAATTTCCCTCTTAAGCATCAGAAGTTGCACAGGTGCTCTGAAATGAAACAATAGTACAGCCCTCTCTGCTAAATTGAGTTATCTATTAAACAAACAGAGCCACCAATGATAACCCATACACCCTTTGACTTAGGTTTCATCTTTACCATTGTATCAATGTTTGTAAAATAAGGCTAGAGACTGGAGCTCTAACTTTTCTCAATCCAGACTCTACCTCTCTCCAGCTAAGACCATGAGGTCTTTATTTCTTCTCTATGCCTTAATTTCCCCAACTGTGGGATGAATCTGCTTATAGTACTAGTCATAGGTACCTTTTAATGGTTATTAAAAAGGGTTGAACAGTAAAACAGCAGAGTACAAAACAGGTGTTATATTAGTAATCACTCTTAATAATTTCATTGTTAATCATTGTCACTGCAAAAATTAACAGTGACCTGACCTATGAGAAGAAGCTGAACTGTTTAGCTCAAATGAAGTCTGGGGATGACTTCTGGATTTAAGTTATTCACACTCAACCTATCACTTATTGCCACAGACACTTCAAAGTTCACAGTTCTCTGAAATATCATAATTTTCCAGAGCTTCCATACAGACTTGCATATAATTTTCCAGAGCTTCCATACAGAACAATTTGAACCTTGCAAATTGTTCTCATTTTATCTTAGGTCTAACAGGTTGGGGGTTGGGGTTTGTTTTTCTTTTTTAAAAAAATAGAACTTCTTAAAAACCAGGTCAGACTTATCAACAGAATCTAAATAAGGCTTGGTGTGTTGTGCAACCTCTACAACATAGCAACAATGAAATTTCACTGCAACTACTGCCCTCATACCCAATAGCATTTACAATACCTCTGACAAAGTGTGTCTATTTCCATGGTACCTGTTGCCATGGGAGCTGAGCAGTGCTCCTCCTAGAACAATCATGTTAGTAACATAGCTCTTAGCTATTGCCTTCTAAGAGCTTTGCTCTGGGGAAAAAATGGGATACTTTGTTTTTGAAAGAAGTCATAAACCTCCTCCAAAATAGACAATTGTTGCTTAATAGTACTAAAAAGGAAAGAGCAATCCCTCTTTCCCTCCATACCAGTTAGAGAAGCATTTCTTTCCTTCTGGAGAAGTATTTCCAAGTGAAACCATGCAAAATATAGGGAAGTGTGTTTTGAATTCCATTTTAAAGTTATTTTGCATAAAAGTTAAATAAAAAAGGAGATAGTTGTCATTGTTTACAATAAGTCTATCTTTACTAATTTGAGCTAATCAGTGAATTCACTGAATAAAATACAAGGTTAGTGCCAATTACCAATTTCCCAATGAACCCAAATACAAGGCTTTATAGCATGCTGTATTATTTAGTGTGTCCAGGCATTGCCACATAAAGCTGATGGAAGTATACATTTGTATCATCTTTCTAAAACACAATTTGGCAATAGGAGCCTTAAAATGTTCATATGTTTTAGTATGGTAATTCTATTTCCAGAAATCTATCTCAAGAAAATAATTTGAAATGAACACAAAGCCTTATAAACAAAGATACTCAATGGAGTGGTATTTAAAGTTTTTTAAAGCTAAAATCTAAATGTTGAACAATAGAGAATGTGTAACTAAGTAACTGAAAAGTGATAGGCATCTTTATGCTGTCATGAAAAACCATATTTATGAAGAGTTTTTAATAACTTGGGAAAATGTTTATCATATCAAGTTAAAAAAAGAAGTATATGAATTTATACAGCCAACATAACAAGTATACAAAAATATGTACAGACATAATAATAGAATATATGTTGAAATTTTGACAGTGGTGGTTGAATTATGGATTACAGTTATTTTGTCTTTTATAAGTTTCTATATTAATAGTATGTGTGTGTCTATCTCTATTTCCCATTTTCTCTTTTTTCTCTGCTTCTCTTTTCATCTAAGTGCTCATAAAACTACAAATCTATTTTATTATTTCCATATTTATTAAATACATCTTAGATTTCCACATGTACAAATCCAACAAAAACTTACCAAGCATTATTTGCTATGAACAATTCTTAATTTAGACATATGAACATATATTTCCTCTAACAAAAACAAGTCAGTTACTTTGCTTTTAATTTACTTGGTTCTTGATTCATATGTTTTATTCCATGAGTAACTGTCTCTCAATAGAAAATCATTCTGAATCTTAAAAAATGGTAATTTGAAAATGCCAAAATGTTCTCCATACTATTTTTTCAACCCTTTTTTCTAGCTCCAATAATGATTATCAATGATGAGTGTCATATCAATTCCATCCCCAAACCACACACTGCAGTAGGCACTGGGAAATAATGAATCTGGGTCACTAATACTCTGTATTCTCCACTGGGCTCTCTCACTCATGCTCATAGTTACCACCAGACATGGGTACCACCAGCTCTGAATCTCCAGCCTGGACCTAGCTCTTGAGTTCCAGGTTCAGGTCACTAACTGCTTACTAAATAAATCTTCCTGAATGTCTCCTAGGCATCTATGAACTCATTTTCCCTGTATCACCTTCTCAGATCGTGTTCCACTAAGCAGCCTTCTTTTTCATCCAGCTAATCACATCAGAACACAAGGATCATCCCAGATTCCTGTTTCTGTCTCACTGTTCCCTTCCCCTACCCTCAAACCTTGATTTCTACTTTCCAAATCTCTCCCAAATTCATCCTCTCAGCTGCTACAGCTTTAGTTTATAGTTTAGACCCTCGTCACTGCTCACTAGATTTTTTTAGTGATCTTCTAACTATCCTTTTGGTTACCAATCTGTCCTTCTCATGGAGAAATCTTTCTAAACATAAATCTGATCATGGTGCTACCCTTTAAGAAGCTAGAAGATCCAGCATGTGCTTTTTAATGTGGCTCCTTCCCATCTCCCCATCTTCATCTCCCATGGCTTTGCCACTGACATACTTTCCAGAAAAATGGAATTATCCTAATTCCCTGAAATCACATGCTATTTCACCCTTTGAGGACTTTACACACATTCTTTTCTTCAACTGAAATTCTCTCACCTGCTCCATATTTCAAGACTTAGCTCAAGGTTCAACTCCATTTGTCTTCCTTTCCTTATGGCATTACTATTTCTGGTACATCTTCTCATGATTATTTTATTTATTTGAACAAGATTTATTACACATCCAATGTTATACCATGCATTGTGCTGGCTGCTGGGTAGATAGACTACTTCTGCCCCCACAGAAGGATTCCACTTGCCTTTCCTGCTGTTGAAGTTTATACCTATGTCTCCTTTGAATTGCTAGAGGGCAGGAACTGACTCATGGTCATCTTTGTATCTCCCAGCTTCTGGCGAAAGTAGATGCCTAATAAATGTGTATTGAACAAATGGAAACAAACACAAGTGTTTCTGTTTACATTAACACAACAATAAAACTTAACAAGTATAAAAGTTACTCATAATTGCCAATGAGTAATGTTTCACACTTCATAAAACAGAAACAATTGTCTCTAGGGAACAAAATCAAATGTATACTTACAGAGCACATGGTTAAGCATTGCTAAAAAAGGCTTTGAGAATATGATTTGATAATTTATGAGTTTCCTCATAATTCTATGATTAAAGTGACTAATCATAGGGAATATAGTTAGTCCCACTGAACTCCACTCCAGAAACTGTGGTTCCTAATACGCATGCACTAATTTGCCTAATAGAAATCTTACTTATGAGGTTATTCAGCATTTAAGAGTGCAGGCAAAAGAAAGGAGAAGCAATTTGATTTGTACCTAGGGGAGTGACATTTTGGTTCTCGGTTAATATTTAAAAGTCAACTGACACAAGATATTTGGTGACATTCACTATGGTTGATGTATGAATCTGCCAATCCCATTTCTCCTTACTAACGCATTATTTTGGTCCTATACTGAAGCTTATTCCAGACTCAACCTCATGTTCTCTTTCTATTGGAAATCACTAGTTGGCATCAACTCTTTGCTTTTATATAGCTGAAAAATACGTTAATTAATCCATTTAAAGTTGTATGAAGGTAGTATTAATTTTGTGTATTAACACAATGACTTATTTTCTGATCTAAATATTTCCAAATCATCCTGGGATAGGGGAAGTGAAATATGCATTTCTAATATAACTGACATGGAAAATACATTTTGCAGATTTGAAATGACGTGGATTCAATACACATCTTTATCTGTCAATTCAGTAGGCATTTAATACTAGGGTTTCTTTTGGTTTTCATTTAACTTTCTTTTAGAAAATTGAAAAAAAAAAAGCTTAGTTAGAATTTGTCTCTGGCCAGTCTCAAAACACTTTGTAATATACTTGCCTAAGATCCATTCACTGTAGAATTAAATGTCACAAATGATGGCTTTTTACCACAACTTCTGAAAACTTTCTTTGTTTTTCAAACCAGGTGAGCCAAGTTACAAATCTGTTTATTCATTTCTATTTCCTGAAAGGTTAGATCATAGAGTATTTAGTATTCTATCTCCATAGTAGGTCCCTTGAAGGGCTTCTTTCTCTTGCTTTAGAATTACTCTCTTATTTCCTTAGTATCTTTGGTTTCAGGTAGTTGACCTTATTAGTCAGATAAGAGTTTTGGGCTTTTGTCTGCCATGAAAGAAAACTGGTGATCCATCTAATTTGCTTTTCTTTGTTTTTTAGCTCTTGCCAACGCCAGCTCTCTTCACTATGAAGAGTACTCTGGTGTTTTGAGAGTCTTTGTCTGATTCTTATTACCAAGGATTGCCCTTTGAGTTAGTGCCTTAAAAGTAGTAATTTTAGTGATTGACTTTCACAGGCTCAGAAGGCTTCTGCATTTAAAGTTTTCTAATGACCAAGCAAAGTACATACAGTGCACTTTCTGTTTGCAATGTTATAATCACAAAAAGAGAAAGACTTTAATTTTAATTAGAATAAGGCTTTTTAAAAGTTAAATTCTCCCTCCCTTCACCTCACTCTTCTAACTTTTTTTATTTTTTTACTTCTGGTGGTTACTATGATTTAATTAAATGATCTGTTTTGTAAGTATTTCTAGATTTAGTAATTTGAGGTAGTTCCTGTTATATAAAATTTAAAAACTTCAGTGCATTTTCACTATCATTTATATCCTTTCCAGTTACTGATTTTTCACATTACTTTTACTGCCAAGATTTATACAATTTACATATTTTTCAAAAGTTATAATTAGGACTTCTCTACTTTATCCACAGGATGGTTCTAAAATTTATGGCAATAAACAGAATTATTGTATTATCATGACTTAGATATTATTTTCTATAAAAATAAGAAGCATGTTTAGACTCAAAGAAAGGAAACTGTGATCTCGTATCACTAAATCCCCTACCACTCAACAGAAAAAAGCTGTAGGCATTAAGATTCAATAAATTCTCTAATTTCACTTTTCTTCATGCTTTATAGGTCATATTCAGCTACTACAATTTCTTATGTTTTATACTGTATTCCATCCTCTTCCCTGAATTTAGTTTTGTTAGGATTACCTCCTTGAGATTTTTTTTATATGGGGTACTTGAGCAATAAAGTTGCAAAGTTTAAATGTCAGAAAATATCTTGATTTTGCTTATACGAATAATAGTTTGGGTGGGTATAGAAGTCTAAGTTCAAAATAGTTTTCTCCATAGAAATCTGAAATCATTCTGTACTGTCTTCTCATGTACAGTGCTGCTGATGAGAAATATAATACGTGCCTGATTCTCATCTCTTCAGTCCTTGTTCTCCATTCTTTATTCTCTCCACTCTGAAAATTTTAAAAAGTAACTTTATCCCATGATCAAGTGGGATTCATCCCAGGGATGCAAGAACGGTTCAACATATGCAAATCAATAAATGTAATACATCACATTAACAGAATGCAGGATAAGACCCATATGATAATTTTAGTAGATGCAGAAAAAGCATTTAATAAAACTTAATATGCTTTCATGATGAAAACTCTCAACAATTAGGAATGTACCTCAACACAATAAAGGCCATATATGACAAACTCACAGCTAACATCATACCGAACGGGAAAAGTTGAGAGCTTTTCTTCTGAGACCTGGAACAAGACAAAGATGACCACTCTTGTCACTTCTGTTCAACACAGTACTAGAAGTTTGAGCCAGACCAATTAGGAAAAGAGGAAGAAATAAAAGGCATCCAAATCTGAAAGGAAGAAGCTAAATTGTCTCTCTTTGAAGACAACATGAACTTGTATATAGAAAAGTCTGAAGACTCCACCAAAAAAACTGTTAGATCTAATAAATGAATTTAGTAAAGTTGCAGGAAACAAAATCACATACAAAAATGAGTAGCATTTCTATACATTAACAGTGAATTATCTGAAAAATAAATCAAGAAAATATTCCCCTTTACAATAACTACAAAAACATATTAGGAATAAATTTAACCAAGGAGGTTAAATGTATATCTCTACACTAAAGACTGTAAAACATTGATGAAAGAAATTGAAAAAGACACAAATAAATGGAAAAAGATCTCATATTCATGAATTAGAAGAATTAATATTGTTAACATGTCCATCCTACCCAAAAGCAGTCTACAGATTCAACACAATCCCTGTCAAAATACCAATGACCTTCTTCAAAGAAATAGAAAAAACAAACCAGAAATCTGTGTGTGACCACAACAGATCCCAAATACCTAAAGCAATCCTGAGCAAAAAATAACAAAGCTGGAGGCATCACACTACCTGACTTCAAAATGTACTACTATAAAGCTATAGGAACCAAAACTGCATGGTACTGGCATAAAAACAGACAGATAAACCAATGGAACAGAATAGAAAGCCCAGAGATAAATCCATGCATTTATGGCCAACCAATTTTTGACAAAGGTGCCAGAAACACACAGCGGGGAATGAACAGTCTCTTCAATAAATGGTGTTGGGCAAACTGGATTTCCACAGGCAGAAAAGTGGAAAATTGTTATCTCTCACCATATACAAACATCCAGTCAAAATACATTAAAGACTTAAACATAACACTTGAAACTATGAAACTACTAGAAGAAAATTTAGGGAGAAAGCTCTGTGACACTGGCCTGGGCGATTATTTTTTTGGATATGACCTCAAAAGCACAGGC
The DNA here is from genome assembly GCF_000001405.40 of Homo sapiens. Classification (NCBI taxonomy): domain Eukaryota; kingdom Metazoa; phylum Chordata; class Mammalia; order Primates; family Hominidae; genus Homo; species Homo sapiens. The sequence continues at coordinate 59,686,296 of NC_000014.9, forward strand.
AACACAAACAAAAACAAAAAAATGAAATGATATCGAATTTAAAAAACTTCTGCAAAGCAAAGGAAACAGTCAACAGAATGAAGAGACTACCTACAGAGTAGGAGAAAATATCTGCAAACTATACCTCTGATAAGGAGTTACTATTCAAAATGTATAAGGATTGTTTTCCAAGATGGTGAATGTTAAAGCATGTCTCAGCCAGTTGGAAATAGCAAGATACTGCATTAAGACAGTGCATAAAGATAAGCTTTAATTCACAAAGTAAATGAGAATCCACTAGATTTATGAAGGACACCCCAGATCTCTAGGAGGAAAACGTGGGCAAACAGCCCTCGTGACAGTGTCTGTCTGATAAACATAAGTGAAGCCCCAGCACATGAGAGGAGCAGAGAGCCTCCTCTGTGACTCACCTTTCCACTGGGGATCTGAGCAGCCCAGGTTAAGGAACAGCATTATGTTTCTCCAAGCCCTGGAGGTAACTTGGGGAAAGGCTTGGAAATGCTATGAGGGAAAGACGCTGGGAAAAGCTGCAGACATTTTCTGAGGCCTGGAACCAAGAACAGGACACCATTTTTAATCCAGGCACATTCAAAGGCAGCCATTCTTTAGTGACCTGGCAGCATGGCCACTTAGGCATTTTATAATAGTCTTAGGTCAGAGACTGAAGTGCCTGCTCTGGAGTTGGGTAGTGGCCTCTGCAACCAGAGCTATGGAAAGTGCCTCAGCAGGAGGTGCTGGAATTGTGCTTTCTCCTGTTGCAGGCCCGGGGTGGGAGGAGAGCCGCTACAGCTGCATCTCATCTGGGTGATGAGACTTGTAAGCCAGGGCTAGCTTGGCAACCTGGAACCAGTCTGCACGTGTCATTGCTGGGTGTCCCAGCCTGCTCCCCTGAGATCATGGTGGCAGGGTCCTCTCTGCTCCATCCCCAGGCAGAAATCCAGGCATTTGGAGCATCTGCTTGCCTGCGCCAGCAGTCTGAGCCACCCCACCCTTCATGGATATAGATCATGGTGCAGAAGGACCCTCTCCACTCCATGCCTAGGCAGATCTCCAGGAATTCAGAGCACCCCCTTGCCTGGATCAGTAGTCGGAGCCAGCCTATCCTTCCTGTGCATAGATCATGGTATGAGGGGCCCTCTCTGCTCTACATGTAGGCAGATCTCCAGGCATTCAGAGCACCTGCTCCCAAAGACTAGTAGCTTGAGTCAGCCCATCCTTCCTGTGCAGAGATCCTGGTACAGCAGGCGTCTCTCCATTTTATGCCCAGGTGGATCTCCAGGCATTTGGAGCTTCTGCTCACCTAGTTCAGCAGCCTAAGCTGCCCTACCTTTCCTGTGCAAAGGTGCAGACACAAGTTCAAAGAGGTTCCTTCCACTTCACATCCAAGCAGATCTCCAGGCATTCAGAGCACTCACTTACCTGGATTAGCATCCTGACCCATTGTACCATTCCTATACAGAGATCCTGGTACAGGGGGGTCCTCTTCACTTCATGCCCAGGCAAATCTCCAAGCATTTGGAGCACCTGCTTGCCTGGTCAGCAGCCTGAGTCATCCTATCACTCATGTGCAGAGATCTTGGTGAAGGGGGGCCTTCTCTGTTTCATGCCCAGGCAGACCTCCAGGCATACAGAGAGCCTGTTTGCCTAGGATTGGCAGCCTGAACCACCCCACCATTCCTGTGAAGAGATATTGCTAAAGGGGCACCCTCTGTGCTCTCTATGCCCAAGCAGATATCCAAGAATCTTGAGCACCTGCTCATGTAGAACAGAAGCCTGAGCTGCCCCACTATTCTAGGCAGAGATCCTGGTGCACAGGGGCCCTCTCTACTCGATGCTCAGGCAGATCTCCAGGCATTCAAAGCACCTGTTCTCCTGGATTAGCAGCTAGAGCCACCCCACCTTCTTTGTGCAGAGATTCTGGTGCAGTAGGGTCCTCTACGGTCCATTCCCAGGCAGATCTCCAGCCATCTGGAACACTCACTCTCCTGGATTAGGAGTTTCAGCCACTCCCCACCACCATGCAGAGACCTTGAGGCCTAGGAGGTTTCCCAGCTCCAAAACTAGGCACACCTCTGGGTACGTGGTGGCTGCCCACTGGGTTCTCCTTTGGCGCTGGTGCTCGTGCATGCCATCAGAGGGCCTGTAAAGCCTGCCTAGTCCAACCCCACCCATTTGCCACCTGTCCCACCCCTTCCAGGGCTGAGCAGGGAGCTCAGACCAATGTGCACACCATAAACCAGCCCATTGCTTGAGGCAACAGAGAACTTCTCCCGGTAAGCAAGGCTATACCCAGCCACATTGGCCACAGACAGCTCCTACCCATAGGCACCATCTACTGGCTTGAGGTTGAACTGCACAGCCCAAGATAAGACCTGTCAGCAGAAGTGCATAGGGCTATAGAAGCAAAGCCAAAATATACTACCCAGCCTTCTCTGTAATCACATCCTCCAGGGAGGGGGTGAAAGGGAAAGGGAAAGAAAGAAAACAACAATAATATTATAGGGAAAGACAGAAAAAGAAAAAACCCCAACCACACAAAAATAATGACAAAAATTAGAAACGCCAGCATTTCCAGATGGGAAGGAACAAATGCAAGAATTCCAGCACTATGACAAATCTGAATGCAGTTACACCACCAAAAGATTACACTAGCTCTCCAGCTATGGTCCCCAACCAAAATGGAAACTCAGAAATGACACGTAAAGAATTAAAAGCATGGTTGCAAGGAAGCTCAACAAGATCCACGACAAGGTTGAAAATCAACACAATGAAACTTCTTAAGCAATCCAGGAAATGTAGGAAGAGATAAATATCTTAAAAAAAACCAGAACTTCTATAATTGAAAAACTCATTTAAGAAATTTCAATATAAAATTGAAAGCTTCATCAATAGACCAGACCAAGCAGAAGAAAGAATTTCAGTGCGTGAAGACCAGTCTTTTTAACTAACACAGTCAGACAAAAATAAAAAAGGTAATTTTAAAAAGTGAACAAAGTCTTTTAGAAATATGGGATTAGGTAAAGTTACTAAACCTATGAATTAGTGGCATTTCTGCAGAGACGGAAAGTCAACAATCTAGAAAACATATTTAAGGGAATAATTCAGAAAAATTTCCTCAATCTTGCTAGAGAGGTAGATATCTGGATACGAGAAATCCAGACAACACCTGTGAGATACTATACAAGATAAACATCATGAAGGCATATAGTCACCAGACTGTCAAAGGTCAACACTAAAGAAAAAATCTTAAAGCCAGCTGGAAAAAAGGGTCAGAACATGTATAAAGAGAACCCCATCAGCTAACAGCGGACTTCTCAGCAGAAACCTTACAAACCAGGAAAGATGGGGAGCCTATTTTTAGCATTCTTAGAGAAAAGAAATTCCAACCAAGAACTTCATATCCCACCAAACTAAGCTTCATAAGTGAAGGAGAGATAGATTTTTTCCAGACAAACAAGCACTAAGGGAATTCACTACTATTAGACCAACCTTACAAGCGATCTTTGAGAGAGTTCTAAACATAAAAGCAAAAGAATGAATGATACCTGTTACCACAAAAATAAACTTAAGTACACAGCCCACAGACCCTATAAAGCAGCTACACAATAGAAACTACAAAGCAACCAGCTAACAACTTCACAACAGGATCAAAACCTCACATATCAATATTAATCTTGAATGTAATTTCCTTTTTTTTTTTTTGGTAGAGATGGGATCTTGTTATGTTGAACAGGATGGTCTTGAACTCTTGACCTCAAGTTATACTCCTGCCTTGGCCTCCCAAAGTGCTGGGATTACAGGCATGATCCACCACACACAGCCTTAACCTAGAATGCAAATGCCCTAAACACCTCACTTAAAAGGCACAGAGTGGCAAGTTGAATTTTTAAAAAAGTACATCAGTCTGCTGTCTTCAAGAGACCCATCTCACACATAATGACACAGATAGGATCAAAGGAAAGGGTCAAAGAAAGATCTATCATGCAAAAGGAAAACAAAGAGCGGAGGTGGGGGGGGGTCATTATCCTTATATCATATAAGAATAAAAAAGGGCAAAAATGGCATCACATAATTATAAAGCATTCAATTCAACTAGAAGCTTAACTATCCTAAATATATATGCACCCAACATTGGAGCACCCAGATTCATAAAATAAGTACTTCTAGACCTACAAAAGACTTAGCCACATAAATAATAGTAAGGGACTTCAAAACCCTACTGACAGTATTAGATAATAGAGGCAGAAAACTAATGAAGAAATTCTGGGCTTAAATTCAACATTTGACCCACTAGGCCTAATAGACATCTACAGAATACTCCAACCACCAACCACAGGATATATATCGTTCTCAGCTGGACAAGAAACATACTCCAAGACTGACCACATGTTTGGCCATAAAGCAAGTCTCAATAAATTCAAAAAAATCTAAATCATACCACCCATACTCTGGACCACAGTACAGGAAAAATAAAAATAAACACCAAGAAGATCTCTCAAAACCATATAACTGCATGGAAATTAAACAACTTACTCCGAATGACTTTTGGGTAAAGAACAAAATTAAGGTATAAAGAAAAAAAATTTTTGAAATAAATGAAAACAGAGACACAGCATACCAAAATTTGTGGAATGGAGCAAAACCAGCACTAAGAAGAAAGTTTAAGGTGCTAAATGCCTACCTCAGAAAGGCAGATATCAACTTAACAATCTAATATCCCACCTACAGGAACCAAAAAAGTGAGAACAAAGTAACCCAAAAGCTAGAAGAGGAAAAGAAATAACTAAAATCAGAGCAGAACTGAACAAAGTTGAGACCCAAAAATCCATGCAAACCTAACAAACCCAAAAGTTGGATTCTTGAAAACATAAACAAAATTGATAGCCCACTAGCTAGATTACCACAGAAAAAGAGAGAGAAGATCCAAATAAGCACAATCAGTAGCAAAAAAAGTTACATTACAACTGATCCCACAGAAATATAACAAATCCTCAGAGACTATTATGAACACTTCTATGCACACAAACAAGAACATCTAGAGGAAATGGATACATTTCTGGAAACACACAACCTCCCAAGACTGCATCAGGAAGAAACTGAAACCCTGAATACACCAATATCAAGTTCTGAAGTTGAAGTTAGTAATTAAAACATGTACCAACCAAAGCCCCAGACCAGACTGATTCACACCCAAATCCTACCAGACATACAAAGAACAGCTGGTACCAATTCTACTGAAACTATTCCAAAACATCGAGGAGGGGGGACTCCTCCCTAACTCATTCTATAAAGACACCATCACCCTGATATCAAAACCTGGCAAAGACACAACGAAAAAAGAAAACTACAGACCAAATATTACTGATAAACATAGATGCAAAAATCCTCAGCAAAATAATAGCAAATCAAACCCAGCAGGTCATCAAAAAATTAATTCACCAAAATCAAGTGGGCTTTATTCCTGGGACACTGGGTTGATTTAACATATGTGCATTAATAAATATGATTCACTACATAAACAGAATTAAAAACAAAAACCATCTAATCATCTCAATAGACACAGAAAAAGCTTTGGATAAAATCCAACATTGCTTTATGATAAAAACTCTCAAAAAACTAGAAGCATCAAAGGAACATACCTCAAAATAAAAAGGGCCATCTCTGACAAACACACAGCCAACATCATATTGAACAGGCAAAAGCTGGAAGCATTACCCCTGAGAACTGGAACAAGAAAAGGATGCCCATTCTCACCACTCCAATATAGTACTGGAAGTACTAGCCAGAGCAAACAGACAAAAGAAAGAAATAAAAGACATTCAAACAGGAAAAAGGAAGTCGAACTATCTCTCTTTGTAGACAATATGATTCCATACCTAGAAAACCCTAAAGACTCTGCCAAAAGACTTCTGGAACTGATAAATGACTTCAGTAAAGTTTCAGGATACAAATTCCATGTACAAAAATCAGTAGCATTTCTATACATCAATAACATTCAAGCTGAGAGCCAAATCAAGAATTGCTTCAAAAAATTAAAATACCTAGGAACACATCTAACCAAAAAGGTGAAAGATCTCCACAAGGAGAACTGCAAAACACTGCTGAAAGAAATTATAGATGACATTAAAAAATGGAAAAGTATTTCATGCTCATGGATTGGAAGAATCAATATCATCAAAATGGCCATACTGCCCAAAGCAGTCTATAGATTCAATGGTATTCCTAGGAGCTACCAATGACATCTTTCATAGATCCAGAAAAAATGATTCTAAAATTCATATGGAACCAAAAAGAGCCTGAAGAGCCAATGCAATCCTAAGCAAAAAGAATAAAGCTGGAAGCATTATATTGCCCAACTTCAAACTATACTGTAAGGCTATAGTAACCAAAACAGCATGGTACTGGCACAAAAATAGACATATATAACAATGGAACAGAATAAAGAACCCAGAAATAAAACTGCACACCTACAGCCATCTGATATTCAACAAGGTTGATATATCTTAAATAGAAAATAAATTATTCTACTAAAAAGGCAAAAATAAGCAATGGAAAAAGGACTCCCTATTCATTAAGAGGTGCTGGGATAGCTGGCTAGCCATATGAAGAAGTAATGAGCCACCACCTTTAATAATTAGGTATTTGCTACCAGCTGAATATTTGCCACCACTCCCCTCTCCTAATTTTTAGGTGGAAATCTTAACCCCATCGTGACGATATTAGGAGGTGGGGCCTTTGGGATATATTAGGTCATGAAAATGGAGGTCACATGAATGGGCTTAGTCCCCTTATAAAAGACACATGAGAGCTGGCTTTCTCCGTCTGCTCTTGATCTTGGACTTACAGCTTCCAGAGCTGTGAGAAATAAATTTCAGTTGTTTGTAAGCCACCCAGTCTATGGTATTTTATTATAGCCACCCAAATTGAGAAGACAGTATTGGTTAAAAACAAAGATAACTTTTTGCACAATTTATCTTTTGCAGCATTTGCTATAATATAAGCAGACATTTCTATGTTCATTTAATCTAATAAGCCTCCTGGTTTTTACTTTTTTATTTGTGTTTTTTTATTTCCATAGGTTTTGGGGGAACAGGTGGTGTTTGGTTACATGAATAAGATATTTAGTGGTAACTTCTGAGATTTTGGTGCACCCATCACCCAAGCAGTACACACTGTACCCTCAATTTGTAGTCTTTTATCCCTCACCCCTTCCCACCCTCACCGTCCTATCAGACCCCAAAGTCCACTGTATCATTCTTATGCCTTTGCATCCTCATAGCTTAGCTCCCACTTATAAGTGAGAATATACAATGTTTGGTTTTCCATTCCCAAGTTACTTCACTTAGAATAATGGTCTCCACTTCCATCCAGGTCACTGTGAATGCCATTATTTTGTTCCTTCCTGGTTTTTACTTTTTTGTACAAGGTATGCTATTAATCTGGACTCCAAGTCCAATTCAATATGAATGCTGCTGTCCAAAGTTTTCTCCTTGTGGCTGAGTTTTGTCTTATCATGTTTGAGACAATGTTGCTACAGAAAAAATGTGCCCAGTACAAGAATCCCTGAGAATCCAAAGGCTGGTCTATGCCACAATGGATGAATGTGTTTAGCTAAAATAGGAAGTGAGCCTGCTGCTCCACGGCAGCACATCTGAAGATGAGTTTTCTGCTGGACTCAGAACCTGCTCAGAACCAGGCTGAGTTTTTTAGTTCCCTTCACCTCAACCTCAATTTGGTTTAAAGGAGATGTATCTGAAAAAATGTTCCATTTGGGTTCTGAAATCTTACTTTAATGCTAAATACCACCTTTCAGCAAAGGGTCTTCATCGCCTTTTCCTTCTTTAGCCAGGCATTTCATCACTCAGCTCTTATTCCCCAGTTGGTCATTCATGACTTTGTTTTCTAAATCAGGATTTTTTTAACTTCAATAAAATATTGATTCATGATAAACTCTTAGTGAAAGTAATGCTAGTGTAATAATTAAAAGCATCAGATTACCCATCTGGAAGTAAGGAGAGTCATAGTTCTAGGCATGTGGGAAGAGGGGGAGAACTGTTCCCAATGGGCATAAATAATTGACAAACACTCTAAGAATGGAGGGAAGAAATCACATACGTAAGTGTGTGTATGCACTTACACACACATGGCACTTTTTCTGAGAATCAGAGATTTATCACAATATATTTTATATAACAAAGCATAATTAAATATCGTTTTCAAGAAACATGAATTGCAGGCTTCTGGAAATAATTCTGAAAATTTGCACGGTGCAAAAACATTAAAGCACATCAATTACAAAACTGAGAAAAATGCTATATGGTGTCTTAGAGCCTCACAGCTCAGGTTGAAAAGAAAATTTCTGTTATATTCTTATACCTTCTGTGCCATTCAAAATTTGTTGCTAAGTTTCCAATATTATGGATCAATTTATCCTTAGGATGTGGAAATAACTGGTTATACAACTCAAAGTAGCTTCACAAAGTAGTTTGACAAGGAGTTTACACTAGCTACTTGTTTCCTCCCCAAACCCAACCCTAGAGAAGCCACAGAAAGAAAAAGGAGGCTGACAGATCTCAGAAACTCACATATAAACTGGGAAACCCTTCAAGAGAGAGTGGTTGGGTTCCAGTGTGGACAGCAAACTGCTGCCCTGTGTAGGAAAAGTGGGCAGCCACAGACAAAGGACAGACGGCATGGGGCTTCTTAGTATTCTTTTCCCTGTATTTCCTTGAAGTAGGTCACTGGAGACAGAAAAACAGCAATACCAGCTTCTCAGAGTATTCTATCCTCCTTCAGGGTGGAGAAAGGTTCCCAGAGAGGCAAGGGCACTTGGTGCCACGGTTGAGTGATGGGGTGAGGGTGGTAGGTAGTGAGGTGGTGGGCAGGAGGGAAAGTCAAGCTCAGACCATAATCCCAGAGCTTTCCATTCAGAAGAACGTTCTCTTTACCACTCCCTAGGCTTATGATAAGAAAGTGATAGAAAGGAGGGTGAGGATGTGAACAAACAACTATACAACCTTCATCCTGCTTACTCATCCACTGGCTTTGGGCTTGGCTATGGCACAGGCTTTGGCTAATGGGATGTGAGGGAACACGATGTTCACTTACCACATTTGAGCAGAAGCCTAAACGTGACTGTGTGGCTTAGCTAGGGCCGTTTTGTGCCATCCTTGTATCAGGACAGCATGTCCTAGACAGGGGCTGCTCCTTTAGCCTGGGTTCCAAAACGAAAACATGCATGGAGCTAAGCCAAGCTGAGCAGAGCCCAAAAGACTTCAGCAGAACCAAACCCTGATGTATTGTACAGAAGAAAGACTACTTCTCATTGTAGCCCCTCAGATCTGGGATTTATTTGTTACAAACTAGAAAAAGCTGAAGAATTCCCTGACTTAATAGGTGACAAAACATTACCATCTCTTTTATCTATATAAAATAAGGATAAATCTTTATTTTTCCAATAAATATTATCTGACTTTATTAATCCCTAAATCTACCTTTGATTATATCAGCACGATTTTGCTATATATTGATATTATATTTATATATACATATACATACATATATGATACACACACATATCAGAAAGATTATAACACTTTATATACTGTAGTCTGTAAACACTATAGAAAAATATTCAAATGATATGTTGATTTGGCCCCAAATATTTTTATATGCATGTAGTTTTTTTATATATATAAAATACGTAGTTTTGAAAATTTTATGTTTTTAGGGCCCTCATTTTATTCGTGACTTCCCTGGAGATTTAGACAGATTTAGCAGGTGACTTTGTTGAAGTCAGAGCAACTATTCGGCTAAGTTTCCAACAGCCGGCTAAGTCTTAAACCTCTCTATTGTAAAGGCAATTTAATACTTGCATTTACCTGCCTGGCAGCAGACAAGGTCATGTACCTTTATGCTGAGGCAGCAGGTCAAATGACCTTGCTTTTAAAAGCTGCAGGCTCATTGCTAAATGGCAGGAACACTCTCAACTAAATGAATGACTTGGCCCACAGCATAATTACCTTGGTGTCTTCAGATTGTTTAATGCCCAAGTCACTCATCATCCTCAGAGCTAAGACACCGCTTAAAAGGTCAGTAGCATAACCCAATAAATGAAGAAGTACTTTTATATTCTCAGGTCTTTGTTGTGAGAAGATAGAGGATTTTAATTACTTTTTTTTTTTTTTCATTTTTTAAAGGAGAAAGTCTGTTGCTGAATTGATTGTCCTTGCAGAGATACTACATGGAAAATGCTATTTACTACAGCTGCATGAATGGATCCCAAGGGCAGGGCTGGCAGGCTGGGGGACAAATCCATTGTTGTCAGCAACATACTTCTAAATTTCTACCAAGGTGTGGAGTCCACTGTGACTCCCAGGTCCCAAATACTGATTGAAGAAGCTGGAAGCTGCTGTAACCTAGCTGTTGATGGATCTAACCTGGACAGAAGTTATGCTTCCAAGATAGAGGAGTCTCTTACAAAGCAGATTCAGGTAAATAGGATAGGAAACAATTTTTCAGAATTTCCTATTCTTGGTCCCTAAACTCCAAATTTAAGAAACATTAGTAAGAGCTTCCTAACTGCTCTCATAGGGGGGAAAAAAAACAAGAATCACAAGATCTAGAAAATATTTTAAATGTAGTCAGCCATTCTGAAATAATGTGATTGCAGTGGCATTGTCAACTAGCCACTACATACTCCTGAGTTATTTTTGATTGGCTTATGTTATTCACCCTTCTAGAGTCTCATTTTTTTTTGTCCACTTGTCTCTTCAGGGAAGAACTATCAGGAAGATAACATTTCATTTTCCTATGAATAAATGCTGATTAATGAATGGCAATCAGACTCTTTTCTTGTACTTCTCACAAACATCTCCTTCTCTTTCAAAACTTGGCTCAAATATCCCTCATTTTGGTATGCATCATTCACTTCTCCCAGATAATTACTGGCCTCTCCTTTGTGTTCCTTGTTCACAACTTTGTTATTATACTTAATATTTTATACCATGGTTATTTCTGGATGTCTTTCTCCCACTGTAGAGTGATGATGTGCTTGAGACTACCACCATATCCTGTTCATCACTGAACTAAGTACAGTCCATTATAAAGTAAATACTGAATATATGTTTACAGAATTGAATTTAAATCTAGAGAGAAGTTTCAGTGGCCCATTAAAGGATTTGAGCTCTCAAATCTGTCATCACTGATATGTAGGAAGTGAGTAATCATACTAAAGATAATGCAACAGGGATAGTAAAAGCATTGAATGATAGAATCCTCCCAAATATTTCAAGAAAAATAGGGTTAGCCTAACAATATAAAATTTAATGGAGACAAAATGCAAGGCCTAGTACTTCCACCCAAAGTGCCAACCATAATAATGTGAAATAGAAAAATATATAGCTTATTCCTAGCACATTAATAAATAAAGACTTATGGGTATTAGATGATGTAAGCTTAACACAAGTCAACAGCGTGATGTGGCTGACAAACAGGTGATGTGTCTTCAGGTTGAATCAGTAGAAATTGGGTGTGCACAGTGAGGGAAGTCATGCTCTTGCTGTAAACCACACTATCCAACTCACATACTTCTCAAAAAGATGTACTGTTTAGGAGCAAAACATTTAGAAAAGCGGGTTGGAGGAGGTAGATGGCCCAAAAAAGGGGATAAATGGACTTAAAAGCACTCTGTGATGATAAACAACAATGGTAATGTAGTGTCTGGAAAAGTGAAGACTCAAGGTTAATATGAAAGTGATCTTTTTATTTTATGGCCCTGCATGATACAACATGATTAGTGGATAAGTAACATCAATATGAGATAAATTTCTTACTGTCAGAACTTTCTAAGGATGGAAAGTCAGTTTGGAAGGTGGTGAGTTCTCTGTACTGAGAATGTTCATAAGATTTTTAAAATACTGGTTCCCTCCAACCCAGAAATTCTTTGACTCTGAACCTTTTGTACAGTTAGTTTAAAAATAAATGGTGATTCCTTGGTTTCTACAAATAGGTAACATCATAATCAACACTTGATCTTTTCTAATATTATGTTCAATTGGAAGGAACAAATAGTCATAGCTGCCTGCCATTTTTCAATAGATTACAATAGCTAATTTTAAAAATAAGGTGATATAGTTTGGCTGTGTCCTCACCCAAATCTCATCTTGAACTCCCACGTGTTGTGGGAGGGACATGGTGGGAGGTAATTGAATTGTGGGGGCAAGTCTTTCCTGTGCTCTTGCTAGTGAATAAGTCTCATGAGATCTGTTGGTTTTAAAAAGAGGAGTTCCCCTTCACAAGCTCTCTCTCTTTGCCTGCTGCCATCCATGTAAGACGTGACTTGCTCTTCCTTGCATTCTGCCATGATTGTGAGGTTTCCCCAGCCACGTGGAACTGTAAGTCCAAGTAAACATTTGTCTTTTGTAAACTGCCCAGTCTCAGGTATGTCTTTATCAGCAGCGCAAAAATGGACTAATACCTAAGGCATTAAGAATCAAGCTAAAAATGTGCCTGAAAAACAATTCTATCTTCCTGTAAGCACTAGACTTAATGTTTATGTGCCAGATAAATTCACTACAAGGTTACACTTCTAAAGCATTTCTGAACTTTTAGTTGTAATTGGCAGTCTGCATTTTACCTATACAACTGGAGTTGCTGAGTCATATTTTGATTCCTTTTAGTCTAGCCATCATTTTCTGGAGTAGATTCAAATATTGAGCAAGAGGAAACCCATTTGAATCTGTTCCAGCTGGAAGCTTGTTGTCATCTATATCAACAAAATAGATGTTGCTGGAAACATAATTTTGGTGGCTGAAACTGCTGCACTTTTCTATATCATCATGGTTAATATGAATGTGTCTTTTATCCTTTGAGCGCAGGGTATACTGCTCGAGTGATGGGTGCACCATAATCTCACAAATCACTGCTAAAGTGCTTACATAATCAAATACCACCTGTTCCCCAACAACCTATGGAAATAAAAAAATAAAAAATAAAATAAAATAAAAACAAAAGTTAATAAAGAAAAGAATGTGTCCTGCAAATTTATGAGTCAAACTAGAATACCTTTACTAGGAAATGAAATCACTTATCTTTTTCATAAGAGGAAAAGAAACAAAACAAAACTTGTTCCATCTAATATTGAGTAACATATTTTTCTGCACTTACATTTTTATGAAAAAAATTGTATAAACAAATGGCATAATAAAGACACAGCTTGTAACAAGTTGATGTTAAGAATTTAGTGTGGAGGATGGGGAAGTAGCAATATTTAGAATGTAGCTCTTGGCCAGAGATTTAACTGTCAAGCAATGGAGATGACAATGGACAAAAAGGAGAAGTTTGAGGCCAGTTCTGCCATTGGCTGTTACATATGACAATAACAAGTCACTTTCTTCCCTCATAAGAAAAGGAAACTAAAATTTCAAGGAGGCGAAACAGAATTTCAGAGAGATCAAATAGAAAGCGATGATCCAGAGTTTGAACCTAGGTCTCACTTACTCCAAAACTCAAGCCATCCAATCTTATTTATATCTCTCAACATCAAGTATACTAACACTGATTCTTCTTCCATCTTACCACACAGCATCTCTAAGGAAGAAAAAGAAAAGAATCAGCTTTTCCTGCCAACAAATTATGTTCTAGACCAGAGATCAGCAAACTCTTTCTGTCAAGGGCCAAACAGTAAACATTTTTCAGCTTTGTTGGCCATATGGTCTCAATAGCACCTACTCAACTCTACCCTTGTAGCACAAAATAAGCCAAAGAAAATATGTGAGAAAATGAATATGGCTTCATTCTGATAAAATTTTATTTTAAAAAAACAGGTGGTGGCATGACAGCATCAAAAATAATAAAATAATCAGGAATAAATTTATTTTAAAAGTGCAAGACTTGTACAATGACAACTACAACATGTTGTTGAAATAAATTAAATAGGGCCTAAATAAATGAAAAGATTTCTTATGTTCATGAATTGGAAGGCAATATTGTTAAGATGGCAGTACTCCTCAAACTACAGATTCAATGCAGTTCCTATCAAGGTACAAGCTAAGTGTCTTTCAGAAACTGACAAGCTATTTCTAAAATTCATATGGAAATAAAAGTGACCCAGAATAGTCAAAACAATATTGAGAAAGAAGAACAAAATTGGAGGACTTGCACTTCCAGATTTCACTTACTACAAAGCTACAATAGTCAAGATAATATGATACTAGCATAAGTCTAGACAATAAATCAATACAACAAAATTAATTGTCTAGAAACAGACACTTACATTTACGGTCAATTTATTTTTGGCCAGGGTGACAAGACAATATATTGGGAAAAGAACAGCCTTTTTAACAAACAGTACTGAGACAACTGGATATCTATATGCAAAAGTTGAGCTTCTATCTCATACCACATACAAAAATTAACTCAAAATGAATCAAAGACCTAAATGAAAGAACTAAAACTTTAAAACTCTTAGATGAAAACAAACAAATGAATCTTGGTTAACTTGTATTAGGTGGTACTGGTTTCTTTGATGTGACACCAAAAGAGAAGCAGCAAAATAAAAATAGATAAATGTAACTTCATAAAAATTAAAAACTTTTATTTATCAAAGGACACCATCAAGAAAGTGAAAACACAATCCACAGAACAAGATAAAATATTTGCAAATCATGTATCTGATAAGGAGAATGTACCTAGAACATACAAATAACTCTTTAGTTCAACAGTAAAAAGAAAATCCGCCTAATGTAAAAATGGACAAATCATTTGAATAAACATTTCTGCAAAGAAGACCAATGGCTGATAAGCACATAAAAAGATGCTCAACACTATTAGTCATCATTAAAATGCAAATCAAAACCACCAGAATGGCTAAAATTAAAAAGTGTGAGGATGTGGAGAAATTGGAATTCTCACACATTGCTACTGAGATTGTAAAATGGTGCAGCCACCTTGGAAAACAATTTGGTAGCTTCTCAAAATGTTAAACATAGAGTTATCTTATTATCCAGCAAGTTCACTCTTAGCTATATACCCAAGATAACTGAGAGCATGTGTCCTCACAAAAACCTGTACATGAATGGTCATAGCAGCATTATTCCTAATAGCTGGCAACGGAAACAACTCAAATGTCCACCAAATGATGAGTGGATAAATCAAATGTGGTATATCCATACAATGGAATACTATTTTGCCATAAAAAGGAAGGAAGTACTGATACATGCTATAACATGGATGAACCCTGAAAATATTATATTATGCTAAGTGAAAGAAGCCAAACACAAAAGGCCACACATCATATAATTCCATTAACAGGAAATTTAAACTGTGTCTATAATAGGCAAATCTATAGAAATAGAAAATAGATTCGTGGTTGCCAGGGACTGTGGGAAAGAGGGAAGGGGGAATGAACATTGAGGGGCATGGGGTTTCTTTTTGGGGTGATGAAATTTTTTGAAGCTAGATAGTAGTGATGGTTGCACAACTCTGTGAAGGTACTGAATTGTACACTTTAAAAGGGTGAATTTTATGGTATGTGACTATATCTCAATAAAGCTGTATAAAAACAAATGAACGAACACAAATTGGATATAGTTTGCTGACTCCTGTTTCAGATTCTTACGTAGTTATCTGTGCCTCACTTACCCTAACTGTAAAATTACTGAATTGGAGTAAATGTTCTCTAAGACTGCTTTCAGGTAAAACAAAATTCGCCTTTTACAAAAAAAATTATATCCAGAATTGAGATCCTGAGGCTCCTGTAAATCTTGTCACCAACAACACAATTTTTTAAGTTTTGCTTAGATAAGAATATTAACATATTTTAGAAAATAATTAACAATGGAGTTTATATTAATAAAAATGCTTTTAGATGAAGCATTGATTAATCAATAATTAAATAAGGGCCTTTAATTGCCTTCCCAGAGTGCTGCCGTGCACTGGAAAGTCTGTGCAAGCAGGACTCCCTGTGAATACACTGTACAATATGTCAAGGTTGCTTCCTCTTCAAAACTTACTTATGATCTACATCTGTTCTAAATAACTGAAGATAAATGTTTTCATAAGCTACTCATCTTATGATTGCTTATTTGGCTACAACTTTTAAAGTCCATTTTAATACATTTTGATATATAAAGTTTAATTGCCAGCCCTTGGTTGTCTTTACTACTGCACCCATTCCCTTGTGATTTCATTCAGTTGCAAGGCTTTTACCCATCCATTCTCTAGGGCTGCTGAAACCCAAAACTGTGGAGTCATCGCTGTTTCTTCTCCTGCCCCACAGCCAGTTGATCAGGAAATCTTGTGAGTTCTACCTTCCAAATATTTCCAAAACCTGATCATTTTTTCACTACTGCCACTACTACAACCCTGTTCCACCACCATCTCCCACTCGGGTTCCTGAAGAGCCTCTGATGGGTCTTCTTACTTCTGCCCTGGTCTCTCCTGTCTACTCACTATATGGCAAGCAGAGTGAGTGCTCACATCAGAGCAGCTCACTCCTCTGCTTTCACCCCATGGGGGTCCCATTGCACTCCAGTGAGAGTCATGAGGCCTGTGGTCTGCCTCCCCTTGCTTTGCTGACCTCCTTTCCAATGACTCTCCCTTCCAGCCACCCTGGCTTCCTTGCGGTTCTGTGAACACATCAGACAACTCCTGCTTTAGGGCCTTTACTGCAGTTGTTTCTTCCTCCTAGGCTGCTCTTCCACCCCATAGCTGCTTACCTAAGTTCTTTGCCTTCCTTAAATCTTTGCTCCACTCTCACCTTCTTCAATGAGTTCTCTCTCCCTTGACCACCTGATATAGTATAGTGACCTGCCCCTCCCTCCATCACATTCTCAATCCCTCTAACTCTTTCTACTTTTTCTTTTCCTCCCCAGAGTCTTACCACTTTCTAGCATACTATATAATTTGCATATATATTATATGATATCGTTTGGGTATTTGTCACCTCCAAATCTCATGTTGAAATGTGATTCCCAATGTTGGAGGTGGAGCCCAGGGTGGGAGGTGATTGGATCATGGGGACAACCTTCATGAATGGTTTAGCACTATCCCCTTAGTGATCAATGAGTTCTCACTCTGAGTTCACATGAGATCTGATTGTTTAAAAGAGTGTGGCACCTCCCATCTCACTCTCTTGCTCTCACTCTTGCCATTTGACATGGCTGCCGTCCTTCATCTTCTGATTGGAAGCTTCCTGAGGCCTCACCAGAATGACATGCCAGCACTATGCTTCCTGCAAAGCCTGCAGAACCATGAGTCAATAAAACCTCTTTTCTTTATAAATTACCCAGCTTCAGGTATTTCTTTGTAGCAATGCAAAAACGGACTAACACATTATGTTTATTGTTCTTGTCTTTCTCCCCCTACAAGAACGTAAGTTCCGTGAGAGCACAAATCTTCATTTTGTTCACTGAAGTATCTCAAGTGCCTCAAACAGTGCCTGATGTATAAGATGTAACAACAAATATTTGTTATATAAGTAAACCAGCTATCTATCTATCTATATGGAATGATGTAACTGAAATTTTGGTTGTTAGCCAACACTCATATGACCATTATTTAAAATGGCACACTGCTCAGTCAGATATTATACAGTGAACAGGAGTGTTCCAGGCTGAGGCCTACTCATCAGCAATGTGATTCCACAGTTTGAAGCTCCTGGAAAAACAAAGGTGATTATATTGTATTTTTCTTCCTTCTGAGGGGAAGGATGATAATATTGCAGGAAATCACAGATTCAGGTTTTTCAGCAGCATGGAGCTCTTGAAATTATCAAGTTGAGTGTTTTCTCTTCCCCTTTTAAACTTAAACCTATTTTTAGAGTCACAGATCCCACTGAGAGTCTGATGAAAGTTACGATCTTGGTCTAGCAAAATGCTCCTGCAAATATTTGCACAATTTCAGGCCCTCCAGGGACTTGCAGTCCCAGCATAAGAATTTTAATTCTAGTCCCTTCAAGAACAACCCCGCCCCCTCACCGCCACGAATAGTCAAATCTCTGCTAGGTTCAAAAATTGACTAAGAAGATTATGCAACATTGCTCAGAAATCCCATTCAATATTGAACGATGTTCCCCCTTGGCAAACTTCTCCTTATGTCTTTGTGAGGATGGAGTGAAAGAGCAGTAGATGCAATATGGTCTGCCATCAGGGGAAGGGGAAACAGAAATTCTCAGAGCTCTGAAAACCTGCTGGCACCAAAAATAGCAAGCTTTTGGAGCTTCAAAGGCCCAGAGTCACTAGAACCTACACACTAGTCCACATTTCCATTGACAGGGTGTCCCTACATCAGAATAAAGTGATGGCTGAGTTCTCATTTTCTGAATTCAGCATTGTGCTGTGCAGACAGAAGTAAAAGGAAATTGGAGAAACAATCAAATTGCCAGTCACTGAGAGAGCAGAGAGGAGAGAAGGGTACGAAAATGGCAGTGAAAGCATCTTGGGGGAGCCAGTGCTGGTACTGGAATTGGACTTGTGCTGCAGCTGATTCCCGGACACTGTGATCAGGAAGAAAACCCACCTCTCCCAAAGGTGGTGCCACAGACCATAGACGTATCATTTTGATGCCAACTGAACATACTGGGTTGGGGGAAGGGAGAAATGGGTAATCAGAGAGCTGGATCATCATTATAAACACTAAGCAAAAAGCAGCTTTTACAGCTTTTAGTTAGCCCAAAAATATTTTCCTAGCTCTGAAAAGTGGTGCTCAACTGGATAAAAAGTTTATATATAATAAGGGAAATATGGCGGATTTAAATCTTTCCTTTGTGCCTAGAAGCACCTTATCGAAAGCACTTTTGAGGGTAGAGGTGAAATAAGACATTCAACAACCTCCCCCTATTCCCAAACTCAATTTTACTTTTGCTTCCATGCAGGCTGCCACAGGCTCCCAGGAACAAGCACACGGAAGTCTATGCGTACTTAGGAGTTCATATAGTTATCTGTCCCTCTACCCCCTACCCCAACTTTGCAGCTACATTATGATCAGCCTCTACTAAGATGGGCATTTACGTTTAATTGTACAGAGGGCTAATGAGTCTCTAAAGTTATCCAGTAACTCCAAGTACACTGTGTAAACAGGAAAACAAGGAGGAAATGCACTTACTACTTGCTTCTCTCCCACTGGTGTACTAGCTATCACTACAGCATCTGATAATGATACTCAAGCTATTAAAGCAATGATTCTTTTTATGTGCCTCACGTCCCAGTAAGCCAAAACAAATACTGTGATTACTTTAGGACAACTCAACCTTTCTCCCTAAAGTAAGAAGGCTAAGAGTCATTATTTTGCTAATGTTTCTCCCTGTCCCAGATTTTTTGAAGATATGAGAAAACAGGCATAGAAAAATTAGAAGAGTCATACATCTCAAACATCTCAACATCAATCATTAACACAGACAAGGCTGGGTTAAGCATTGCTTGCTTTCATTGCCCTTATAACACTTTATTACACCTATTTGTTTGTATATATGTCCCTACAAATACCTTGCAGGCAAGCACTGTGTCTTACTCATATTAGCTTCTGTTGGGGCTCAGAAAATGATACCCCAAAATATGGCCGTTTGGCATGCTGAGTGCTTTGAACAAAGGAGGCTGAAAGGCCTCAGAGCCAAAGTCTCTCTCTGACCTTCTCCTGCCTCCCCGTTCACCCCCAGCTTTTCCTTCCAAGGCACAGAAAGCGGCTCTCTCTGAAATTCTCTTACCTGACTAAGGGAAGTTCATCCAGAAGGAATGCAATTGTTGTGGACTTCCTCCATTGAATCTACACTGGGCAGAGAAGATTAACTCATAAAGCAGGAGAGGAAGTCTCCATGCTCATGACACCACACCCGACAGACATTTCACCTATTCTCTCAACTATTCTTCTTTACCTGCATAAGACAAACTTTGTTTGCAGTATCATTCTGCCCCTCACATTCCCATAACTTGTCATCACCTCTCCCAGAGGCCAGAAGAACCGTGTCCCAGGCTATTGTCTCTTCTCTGGGGCCACTAAAATCCCCTAAAAACCATTTAGTCTTCCTCTGAAATTGCCTACATCCCTCACTTTACATCTCCCCTAGGAAAAGAATATTTAAGCATCAGCCATCTGACCCTTTTTTGAGTTTCATATTTTGTGTGGCTCCCATGAACACCTGTAATGCCTTTTCTCCTGTTAATCTGTCTGTTGTCAGTTTATTTCAACAGACTTAATGACTTGAACCTTCAGAGGGGAAAGTTCTCCCTACACTTCTCCAGTCACAGACCAGTAACTCACATGCAGTAGTTGCCTAATATTTGATTCCTGAATGAATGTATGGAACATGTGCACATGTGAGTGTGTGCACACGTGTGAGCAAACACAGACACATAAACACAGAAGAATTCACATGGGTTGTTCATGATTCTAATTACCTGACCTCAGAATCTCTTTGTTTCTAATGAAAGGAATATTAGTAATCTCCGTGATGCTCAATGTTCTGCTCAAACTGACCTTTAAAGAGCTTAGGTAAAGAGAAGGGCGCTGGACATCTTAACACTTCTCCCTCCTCTGAAATCCAATAGCACTTAGGATTGACAGGATTTGTAGCTGAAGTCAAACATAATAGTATCTGGTGTTATTCTTTAAATATTCTATATGTATTATTCAATCCCCTTGATGGGTTGAGGGTTGGTAAAGCATACAGTTAAAAGCAACTCCTGGAGAAAAGTTTCTTTGTTACTCTCCAAGGAACTTAACTAAGAATCAGACACATACAGGTGTTCTAACCATGTGCTGAACTGAAGAACTGCTGAATTCTGAAGAACTGAGAACTGAAGAACAAGCTGACTTAAGCCCAAGGTCCATCTAGCTCCAAAGCAACAACAAAAACTCTGATGGCTTTTAAAGAGCAGATTTGTTTTTCATCCATATAATGTTCATGGTTAATGTTGAAACATAATTAATTAGCTAATGACAAGGGTCTATCTTTAACAAGAGCCTCAAGGCACAGGGTTAGAGGGCACATTTGTTGCCCTTGTAGCAACCTTAACATGTCCATTCCAATATTCTAATTCTATCATCTATCAGGCCTTCTTTGACCATCGTATTTAAAATAGCTTTCTTTAGCCTGCTTTATTTTTGAATTCACAGCACTTGCCAATGCCTGATACTATATGATGTGTGTTTATTTGTATACTATTAGTCTCTTCCACTAATGAAACTCCATGAGAGCAGGAAGTCTGCTTTGTTCTCCACTCTCTCCCCTAGTGCCTAGAAAAGAGCCTGGCATGCAATGGGTTCTCAATAGTTGTTGATATAGCAATGGTGCTGAATTTACAAATGTTCACTCACCAAGAGTCAGCATCATTTGAAATAAGGAAGAGAGGTCTAGGAAGGAGTTAACTGCTTGATAATTCTCTCTCTCTCTCTCTTTCCCTCTGTCTCTCTCTTTTACACACACACACACACACACACACACACACACACAAATACATACACACAAACACACACATGCACTGAAACAGAAGTCTTCAGGAAATGAACACCTACAATCAAGGAGACATTCTGACAACAGCCTCATCCAGTATTCAGTAGGAAGAAACAGGACCCAATCAGTATGAAAGATTTGAAAAGAGATTGCTGTGTTCTACTGAAACTAAAAAAAGATAGGGAATTGCTGCAAGTAAGCCAGATGGGGTAGAATGCCATGAAACTTACAGCAGATGGCACTAAAATATTAAACTAACATTTCCTTATGCTCCAAGCTGAGCTGTATGTTAACGCTGTTTATAGGAGCCAGTCTATTTAAAAACATACAGATGAAAAATGAATCCGGTATTGTTAAATCATTCGTTAAAAACAACTCCAAGCATTAGCACCTAATGTGCTTTCCCACAGGAATATGTTAATATTATTCAAGCAAGGTTATATCTAACAAAACCACTCAGAATAGGAGGTGGGGGGAAGCCCACAGTCTCAGGAATCTGTTCAAAAACAAGCTCGGTGTGGTAAAGCGTGAAAGTCTGCTTCTCTGATTTCCATAGCAACAGCAGCAACCCTCAGACAGACATTTTTAAAAACCAGATTTGTTTTTCTCCTTTCCAAATACCTTTGCATGATATTTTCAGATAATGTTGAAATACAGCTGACATTGCATAAGGTGTAAACACACAGCTTGTTCCAATTGCTTCAGTGTTAGACAGCGTGGCTCATCATTTTCTCTCTTAACTCACACGGTGATTCCACTGGCAACAGGTCAGCACCTGGCTCTCTGGGGATGCCCCAGTAAAGTATTGTCAACTGAAAGTCAGGCTCAATAATATTTATAGACTGGCATGAGCTACCCAGTTGAGAAGACACTCCCAAGGTTTGTAAGCCATGCAAAGAAATGACATCCATCTGCTTTGCAAATATTATTTAAGGCTTCCCCCTAAAAAGGAGCCACGGAATGCTTATTTACTTTCTCACTGAATCTGAGGGGTAGAGACTATCAAGTCCCAGTTACTAAGAAGTCAGGAAGAGAATTAAAAATAGAACCATGGAAACAGGGATGCACTGAAGAATTCTATCAACTATTCTATATGTTTGAGGAATTTCATAAGAAAATATTGGGAAAAAAGAAAATCCATCTGATCATCGCATACTATACAGACTGAGAGAACTTTCTACTGCTCCATATTCTTATTATAGTTAATGTAGTGGAAAATAGAAGTTGAGAGATTTTTGCTCATTGGCTAATTAAAACTAACCAACTGAAGGGGGAAAAACATTTGGAGGATTCTTGGGAGAATCTGCATATGAACTAGGCATTAGATGATGTTAAGTATTTGTTTTGTTAGATGTAATAATGAGCCTAACTAGTTATATAAGAAAATGTCCTATTTTTAGAGATGTACACTGAAGCTTGTAGGGGTGAAATGTCTTGGTGGCTGTGACTTAATTTTAAAATGCTTTTCCCAAAAGTAGACAAAACAAATATGACAAAATGATAATAATTGTTAAATTTTGTTTATCTATATATGAAAGTTCATAATACTATTTTGTTTGCTCAAGGTATGCATCTTTGCATAATAATCTATTTAAAATGTCTCAAAAAATGGAGCTATGAATACTCATTTCAAATCACAGATGAGAGTTAGGTATTTGAAGGGACAACCTTACCTTGTCTTCTTTAAAGGATAATTAAAATATATTCTATTTTATGGATGACAGTTCTTAGTACTTGTGAAATACATTGTATGGATTTCTAGAGTGAGCGGATGCACAACTACTTTAGAAAGCACGTCAATGGTGGATAAAATAGATGAAGCACAATGCACCAAACAAACAAGTTGTTACAAGAAACCTCCTTATAAGGAGAATCTTGCCCCCTGCCTTGTGGTGCCAGTCCGCCTGCCTATGGGGGTCCAGGCAGACAAAAAATTGCCCTGAATTAGAAGTACACCAAAGCTTACTTCCCAGTTCAGATAATTGAAAGCATATAACAAAAATGGGAGAGCTTTTTAAGAGAAATGGCAGTCATCTGAAGCATTTTATGTAAGAGGGATTTGTCTATCTACTCTAAAGAGGCAATTCCATGTTTATCACGGGAAGAACATAACTGAACCTCACCCCCAAATACTACTTCAAATATTCCTAAATTTTCTCATTGTTCAAAGTTAGCTTCCCATAAAAAATAACCATAGGGCTGAACACCTTCCTTTTTAATTTTATTTCCCTCCCTCCCTCCCTTCCTTCCTTCCTTCGTTCCTTTTTCTTTCCTCCTCTCCTCTCCTCTCCCTCTTTCTTTCTTTTTTTTTTTTTTTTTGACAGACTGTCACTCTGTTGCCCAGGCTGGAGTGCAGTGGCACGATCTCAGCTCACTGAAGCCTTACCCTCCCAGGCTCAAGTGATCCTCTCACCTTAGCCTTCTGAGAATTTGGGAGTACAGGCGTGCACCACCATACCTGGCCAATTTTTGTATCTTTTTTTTGTAAAGATGGGGTTTTGTCATGTTGCTAAGGCTGGTCTCAAACACCTGGCTGGGTCTCCCAAAGTGTTGGGATTACAGGCATGAGCCACTGTTCCCAGCCAGGGCTGAAACTTCTTTGCATGTAAAGTTTCACTTTAAAAAATAGAGGAGAGGAGTCTGCAGCATTCCAAGCTTGACATAAATTCAGTCCCTTTTAAAGAGAAGTTCCCCAAATGGTTCTTTCTGTGAATCGATCCTGCTAACCTGGCCACAGCTGAAAGGACCAGAATTGGAGGCTTGAGCTAAATGTTGAGCATGGGGGGAATAATGTCCTTGAGGTGGGCTGTGACAGGTGAGCTTCACACTGGATGGTGAAAAAGCAGCCCATGCTGGGGAACAAAGATGCTGAGTGCACCAAAGGAGGTGGGCTGCCAACTGAGCTCAGGGGCAAAGCAGGCCTGCCATGGCCATGCACTACAGGCCCACCAGAAAGGCAGCTTTGGAAGCCTCAGGTCGGGGGCTGATCCACAAAGGACAGCCCATCTGAGTGGCCTCACATTCTCTCATCTCCCTGAGTAAGCCCCACCACTGACTGTAACCTGGGTATACTGCCATATCTAGTACAGAAAAACAATCCAATTATAGAATGTGATAATTGCTGTCATTTCCAAAGTGCCATTTCTTCTACCAACCTAACCACCTTAAAAGCATTATTCAATTTAAATTTCATTACAATTCTAGCAAGTAGGAAATATTCATTACATTTTATAGATGAGGCTTGGGAGGTTTCAGGGAGGTAAGTGTTGGACTCAGGTTCAAACCCAAATCTTTCTTATTCTAGAGTTCATGCCTTAATCATAACATAATACTGCCTGTCTCTAGACCAGCCTTAATAACAAACCTTGTTTTTAATTGGGTTCTGCAGTATTCAAAATGAGAAGAAGCATTCATTGCAGAAGGTTTTCCATTTTATGGGGGTTATAAAGTTTCAACAGACTGGTCTTGTGCAAATTCGATAGGCTCAGCTCAGCAAAGAAAAGGCTGAACACAGGCCCACAGTGATATCACCTTCTGCTTTGCCAACTCAAGTCTTTTATTGCCTATGTCAGCTGAACCTCAGAAAGCATCCTTCTCTGCTGACTACATTTGCCCTTTCCTGGGGTGATCACTCCAGGAATGAACAACTGAGAGATAAATGCTCTTCGTGAGTAATAGTAGGAGATCCACATATAATGTTCTCTTCTTAATTAGCCTATTATTCTTTAACTTCTCTTTGGACTCAATAACATTTAAATGTGCTTTTGAAAAAGAACACAAGCTATAAAGCACATTGACATAAAATAAAATCCCACAACAGATTTCAGTGGCTTCACCTTTGTGTATGGAGTTGCCATTCACTTATTTATTAAATGTTTATTAAGACCCCACTACTCACTAGGCATCACTGTAAGCACTAGAGATACAGCAGTGAACAAAAGCCTGTGATCTCAAAAAGCTTAACGTCTACTTGGGAGAGATAGGCAATAAACAAATAAAGGAAGGCATACATCAAGTACTGGGTGATGATAAGTGCTTTGAAGATCTAAGACAAGAGATCATTGTGAAACAGGTCCATGATAGGGACCTCATCAAATTTCCAGTGCGCTCCATGCATCAAGATGCATAGAGTCATGTGACAAATTCTGGCCTACGAGCCATAGGCAAAAGTGACATGTATCATTTCCAGGGGAGGCTTTTAAGAGCTGGTGTCAGCTCTTTCTTCCTCTGGCATGGCAACCTGAGAAGCCATATGTTGATATTCAACTGGCACAGAAGAAAGGGAGCTTGGATCCCTTTGTAGCTGAATAAAGGAAAGCCTCCACCAAATAGCAATAGTTGAAAGCCAGAAATACATGTTTGTTGAGCTAAGCCATTGAAATTTTGAGGTTTGTTACTGTAGTATGGCCTAACAGAGTCAAAAGAGTAAGGCACACACCTGAGGCTAAGGGAGGATTGTGGAGGGAGCCCCAAAATACATAGGCCTAAAGATAACAAAAATCTATATACAGCAGATAGAGCTAAGTGGTATCCAACCCTGGCTGGACATTTTAAATCAGCTGGGGCATACTAGAAAATACTGATCTACAGATGTTATATCCACATATTATATTCTGAGATATTATGGGTGAGGAACTAAGCATATATTTATTGAAAACTACAGTCAACAGAAAATGACAAATTGGGTCAGCTGGCTTTAGGAAACCTCCCGAGAGGCAACCTGTCCCACAATATACTTTGGAAAGAGCTTATTAGTGAGATCAATTCAACTTCCGATAAATTGTTGGAAAGCAGTCAATCAAACTGTGACATAAGAAGAAAACTTGCAAACTTACTAACTGAAATGTTATGAAACAGTATGTTGCAGAAAGTATTCCTGCATTAAATAAGTAATTAGGCCGGGCGTGGTGGCTCACACCTATAATCCCAGCACTCAGGTAGGCTGATCACCTGAGGTCAGGAGTTTGAGACCAGCCTGGGCAACATGGTGAAACCCTGTCTCTACTAAAAATACAAAATTAGCTGGGTGTGGTGGGGCATGCCTGTAATCCCAGCTACTTGGGAGGCTAAGGCAGGAGAACTGCTTGAACCTGGGAGGTGGAGGTTACAGTGAGCTGAAATCACTCCCATTGCACTCCAGCCTGGGTGACAAGAGTGAAACTCCATCTCAAAAAAAAAAAAAAAAATGAGTAACTGTATTAGATTCTCCCAAAGCCCCATCTCATTGTATAATTATTATTAAAATAAATATTTAAATAGCAACAACATTAGAGGATAAGCACTTTACCTAAATTATCTCAAATAATCATCCCAAGAATCCAGTGATGTAGGTACTATTATCTCCTTTGAACAGACAAAAAAATCGAAATGCAGACAGGTTAACTTGTCCAGAGTCACATAGCTAGTAGTAAGTGGAGAAGGTAAGACCCAGATCCAATTGGCGCACGATTCTTTAACGCAGTGAAAAGGGGATGTGCAATCAAAACGATACGGTGTCTTGAGGGAGGGAATCTAGACAAGGGGCCACTGGTGGGGGAAAGGACCTCAGGCATGGGGTTGGGAGCAGCTGCTGTGATTCTAGTTGCGGATTCCCAGTCCTTTGAAAACAGAACAGTTTCACAGGATGCCAAAGCATGATGGAAATTTCCGATGAGAACAATCTACTCTTTTTGCTCCAGGCAATAATGAGCTGAGCTCCCCACTAGGATGAAGTTCCCCTCATACATTTCCAGTGTAACTCATAACTTGGCATTCTGGTTTCGACCAGACTCAGACAAGCTTCAGAACACTTACTGCTGAGAATGGGTCCTTGGACTAAGGAAAATACTGCAAAAAGTCACAAGCATGTCTTACCCTCAGGCAGCTCACTGCTTCGCCCAATTCAGAGAGAATCAGTGATTTCCCAAGTTTGCTAGTCTAGCCCTAGACAGGGACTTCAGTTTTCCTAGGTGTCTCCTAGCTTTTAGAGAGTGCCAGCTACTCACCTTGTGGTTATACAAGATTTGTATAGTTTTTAATGACAACATTTCAGGAAGAAGCAATAAAACATCTTGAAGACAGAACTGTCTTTTTAAAATTTGCTCAGAATTACCATACCAGTAATTCCAGCAGTTGAGCAAAGGACAGTACCAGCAAAGGACAGTATAAAGGGGAAAGGAACAGAGAAGAAGCAAGACCTATAAAATTATGCTTATAAAAATTAGACTAATAGGCCGGGTGCGGTGGGTCACGCCTGTAATCCCAGCACCTTGGGAGGCCGAGGCAGGCAGATCACGAGGTCAGGAGTTCCAGGCCAGCCTGGCCAACATAGTGAAACTCTGTCTCTACTAAAAATAAAAAAAATTGGCCAGGCATGGTGGCAGGCGCCTGTAATCCCTGATACTTGGGATGCTGAGGCAGGAGAATTGCTTGAACCCAGGAGGCAGAAGTTGCAGTTAGCCGAGATTGTGCCATTGCCTCCAGCCTAAGTGACAGAGTGAGACTCCGTCTAAAAAAAAAAAAAAAAAAAAAATAGACTAATTTTATTATGGGACATGTGCCACAACATACATTCTAACTATAGATCTTCTTTCTCAATTTTATATTACATCATGGGTTATCCCATTAGAATAATGCTGGCTACAGTAATAAATAACCCCAACATTTCAGTGGCTTAACATGGAAGGAATTTTTTGTTGTTGTTGCTAATTTAATAGATGAGTGTGAGTGTTCATTAGCAGGTAGCTTTCCACCAGGTAGTCATATAGGAGCCCAGGTTCCTTCTCCTTTGCCATCCCCTTGGTCTAGAGCCTTGAAGGAGGAAAAGGCACAACTGCATCTCACCCATCTTCCCAGATGTAACCCATATCATCTCCACTCACATTCTATTGGTAAGAATTAGACTCAGAGCTTCACCTGGCTGCAAGGAGGTTGGGAAATACAGTCCGTGACTGAGAGCCACTTCCCAAGAAGGACTACGCTACAGAAGAGCAAGTATCAATTTGATGGAAAGTTACCCACCTCTACCCATTACAACATGGGCATCATATAAACTAGCAGGTCCCCAAACCCCTGGCCGCAGACTGGTACTGGTCCGTGGTCTGTTAGGAACTGGGCCACACAGCAGGAGGGGAGCGGCAGGTGAGTGAGCATTTCTTCCTGAGCTCTACCTCCTGTCCAATCAGCAGTGACACTAGGAGATTAGATTCTCATAGGAGCGTGAACCTTATTGTAAACTGCACAAGCAAGGGATCTAGGCTGTATGCTCCTTATGAGACTCTAATGCCTGATGCTTTGAGGTGGAACAGTTTCATCCTGAAACCATCCCACCCTCCCACCTTCCCATGGAAAAACTGTCTTCCATGAAACTTGTCCCTGGTACCAAAAGGGTTGGGGACTACTGATATAAACTACAGGGGCAAATATATACAGTGGGAGAGACAAAACTTAATAGTTCAGGTGAATGACCTTATGTCTCATCCCAGAGGCAAATCAGTTCCAATTTGACAGAGGAACAGTAAGGCTGGAACCTCAAAAGTGTCTCTTTCTCAGAGAACTTTGCCCTCAGGCTCTAGGTTTGGCTCTGAGACTTTCCTCATCAACAAGTCCCTTTATGTTTTTAGCCAGAGTAGTGGGCCCTGAGGAAAAGATGTCTCCATAAGAACTAAAATGTAAATCATAACAGGACTTATAAATCATTCAAAGCCAAGATTTTTGGCTTTAGAACTATAGCATGTCTTGGTGAAATATATAAAAACTTCTCCAAATTTCAGGATTCTGTTTTCAGAGGACTAAGAAAGGGCATTACAAATCTGGACCTTAGGCTGGGTGCTGTGGCTCACGCCTGTAATCCCAGCACTTTGGGAGGCAGAGGCAGGTGGATCACTTGAGGTCAGGAGTTCGAGACCAGCCTGGCCAAAATGGTGAAACCCCATCTCTACTAATAATACAAAAATTAGCCAGGCATGGTGGTGGGCACCTGTAATCCTAGCTACTTGGGAGGCTGAGGCAAGAGAATTGCTTGAACCTGGGTGGTGGAGGTTGCAGTGAGCCGACATCGCACCACTGCACTCCAGCCTGGGCAACAGAGTGAGACTCCATCTCAAAAAAAAAAAAAAATGTGGACCTAACAAAGAGAGAAGGAAGAAAATAAAAGGAACAAATTGACAATTAGACTATTTTACTTATATCCAAACTTTCTAGAATCATTTATTTATGATTTTCTTTATTTTCAACATTTAAGAAAACCATGATTCTATGTAAAAAAGATTCAAGTATAAATTGGCTAAGCTAAAGAAAATAATTACATGCTTTCCAAGTGATTGGACTGAATTTCCGGCTTACAGACCATGCTAACACTTGAACTAGCTGCCTATATTATATAGCATTATAAAACTATTTACATCTATATACATTTTTGATATTAAATCTTAAATCTCCAAATTCTAAAGCAACTTGCCATAGAGAACATTTAGCTTTGCTTGTAAGCAGGCCAATTACCTGGAAATCAATTTAGTTGGAAAAAGACACTGGCTGAAAATGAGTAGATCTTATTTTAAATCCTGGTTCTTCTACCCATGAGAAATAATCTAGAACAACAAACTGTACCTCAACCCTTGACTTCAATTTGAAATGAAGATGTTGACCCAAAACTCCAATTAGTAGGAAAGCACAGTTCATAAATTCTACATGGTATTATATTTTATGTTTTGGTAGAGGCCAAATGGTCTAGCCTTACAACTAATTCTGCTGAAAACTAAGTTACCCATTTGGAAATATTTTTTGGAACTCTGTCTTTGTGCTTGTTTCAAGGAAAATTCGGAGGGTAATTTAAATAATCAATCACCACAGAAACAGTACAGCGATGTGAACATTGTAAATTCATTTAAAGACATATCTTCTTATATCATAATCCAAGAAATCTTATTGTAAAGTTCAAATTGTGGTGGTGTGAGTGAGAAGAAGTAGAGGTTGACCTGTAATCCCAGCACTTTGGGAGGCCAAAGCGGGTGGATCACGAGGTCAGGAGATCAAGACTATCCTGGCTAACACGGTGAAATCCCATCCCTACTAAAAAAATACAAAAAAAAAAAAAAATTAGCCAGGCGTGGTGGTGGACGCCTGTAGTCCCAGCTACTCGGGAGGCTGAGGCAGGAGAATGGCGTGAACCCAGGAGGCGGAGCTTGAAGTGAGCTGAGATCATGCCACTACACTCCAGCCTGGGCAACAGAGCGAGACTCCATCTCAACAAACAAACAAACAAACAAAAAAAAAAAAAAAAAGAAGTAGAGGTTGAATATTTTCATGGCAACCACTGGATGGCAATAGACATTAACAGTGAGTGGGGATAATCAATACAAAAGCATCTTTCTGCTTTACTTGATTTTCTTTGCGTTTTCAGAAGTAGAATCAAACTGAGCTCCTAGAGATGTTAGGGAGAGGTAAACAAGAGTGAATTTGGAAGTGAAAGAATTAGGTTTTGGGGCACATACTCTGCTTTTGCAAGTGCTTTGTAGGCAGATAAATCTCCCAAGATTTCAGTGCTCAGCCAAGAGTTGTAAGAAAATGAAGTGCCTGCCAGAAGGGAAGAGTTAAGCCAGAATGTTATATTTACCAGAATATGCAACTTTGAACTGGATTACTATTAGTGGTAGTGAAATGTTTGATCTTGTGTAATAAAGTCATGCCGGTTACTCTTGATTGTGAGTGGAAGACTACAACTCAACCCCACTCCTCTCCCTCTCCTGCTACAAATTTTCCAGGCTATGAACAGAGATCACCCAGAGGACTCCTCTCACCCAGGAGGCCCCAAACTACTGAAACAATGAATGGTTAGCTCCTCTGTGTCGCCACCATATACTGTTGGGGCCTTTGTTCTAGTGGCATTGTGGGGTGGAGAGATGTTAGGTAGCATCCCCTGGATGAGCTGGCAAGACCAGGCTGTGTTTACATGATCTCCCCTTCACTCTCCCATACGGAGGTGGAAGTCTCGAAGTAAACAGTATACATTTCACTTTAAATTCTACTTACCCACAAGAACCATTTAAACTAACATCTAAGCCCAAACAGAAAATCCAACTGGCCTTGGAAAAAGTTGGGTTACTGGAGGAAAAACCTGCCAAAGATTACTCTGAGGACGTTGAGAGATCAGCCCCGACATAGTCCCTAGAGTAATGATTCTCAAGTTCTCTGCCTACAATTAACTGCGGAGCTACTTAATGAAGCAGATGCATTAGCCCCTTCCTAGGAAATCCTGGGGTGAGCCCGGGAATTCTGTATTTCAACAAACTGCTTCCGATATAAATGGTCTACCAACTACCCTTTGAGAAACACTATCTAGAAAAACTGATCAGTTCCACTGAGCCCCTAATCTGCTCTTCCTGCCATTCACACCCACTTCCACAAGGAAAGAGAAAAGTCCTGGATCAATGCTTTGCCTGGCCAAGAGGACCACCATTTCAACCTAGGTCACTTAAAATCCAGGAGTGCCATTACAGAGACGGGGCGGACTCAGGAATCTCTGAGTAAATCACCAATAGAGACCATGGCCGACTGCAGTCTTGAGCTGAAGTAACCAGACTGAGTGATGTGCTTGCCTCAACTTGAAGCCCCAGTTTGAGTATCTACTTTAAAGCTGCCTTCGCTCTAACTTTAGCCTCTGACTTTTCCTTGCCTGTTAGTAAAATTTTGATTCACATTTGGGATGTTCTTTAGACTTTCTGAAGCTTTTGTGATTTCTTGGCCCTAGGCAAGCATGTATCTAACTCTAAATAACCAACTTGCTTGACCATAATCCCTACCTATCTCACTAAGGGTCTTATTTAACCTCCACAAGTGCCATATTGGACCATTCCAGCTCCAGTGTCAGCCACCCAAACATCACCATCACCTAAATATATTAAACCCGTTGCTTGGCCAGGAAAATATGCTAGATACAGTGCTCAAATAGGGAGATCATTTCAGTGCTATCATAATCCAAATGGATGAGTTTTTCCAAAAGCAGACACACAAAAAAACGAGTTCAATGACTAATGAAGCAGCATCAAAGTTTGGGGTATTTTTCCCCATTGTAAATATTTTTGCATCTCTTTGTAATCATTGTGTTGACAAAAACTGAAATATAATTTGAGGGGTATTGGGGATAAAGTCACCCCTACCACAAATCCAAAGCATCGGTAGGTCCTATTAAGTCCATCTCCAAAGCATATCTCAAATCCATCCATTCCTCTCATCTCCAATGCTACCACCTCTCCA
Source organism: Homo sapiens (assembly GCF_000001405.40). Classification (NCBI taxonomy): domain Eukaryota; kingdom Metazoa; phylum Chordata; class Mammalia; order Primates; family Hominidae; genus Homo; species Homo sapiens. The sequence goes on from NC_000014.9 coordinate 59,718,976, forward strand.
AGCCATTGCCATCTCATGCCTGCAAGAGCTTCCTAATTTGTCTTCCTGCTTCCATGCTTGCTTGTCCTCCTTCAACTCTTTCTCCCTACAGCAGCCAATGTGACCTCTAAAGAATGCAAAGGAGGTCATGTCACTTTCTAGTTTAAAAATCTTTCTGAGGCTTCTTAGAATGCTTAGGAAAGACCAAGCTCAGCACCATGATGTGTGCATGGAAGGGCACTGCCAATCTTCCACCTCTATTTCTTGCCATTCTTCCCCTTGCCTACCACATTCTAGCAACATCAACTTGTTTCCCATGTATAGAATATCCCTAGAACTTTCCTGTCTCTGGCCTTTGCATTTTATATTGTCTGGAACTTGCTTTAACCAGCTCTTGCCACAGTTGACTTCTCAGTTTCCTCCTTCTCAGAGGCCTTCTCTGACCTTCCTAAGTGCCACCCACCACCAGGTAGTCTCTTACACATCACTCTGTTGATTTTCTTCTTAATGTCTACTCCCTCTTCCACCAGAATGTAAGCCCCATGAGGGGTGGATTCAAGTCTGCTTTGGTAACCACTACATTGCTAGTGTCAGGCACATCCTATGCCATATTGGTTGAATCAAAGGAAAGATGGATGTATGAATAGGTGGGACTGGCATAACCTTGAGTGAAATTTATGTATTGTATTTTTGTATTGCAGGAGTGTTTTGTGGGGTCACAAAGATAGAATCTAGAAGTGCAGAAACTATGTCTATGAGGATCCCACCCAGACTTCAGAGGGAAGTAGGGTTAGTATTTGAGACTAGAGAATCTCCTTGACCTCATGTTGCCTCTGAGAATTAGAAGTATCTGAATTATGTCTTCCAAACTCCATTATTATAAGTTAGGTTGATCTATGTGAGGAACAGAGGAGAAAAAAGCCTGGATAGGGAATTAGGATTGCCATTTATTAATAAATAGGATCATTATTTCTTGGAGGCATAAAAATGTTTGCTGCCTGGGAGCTCTCCCTCTACAGGCAAGTTTAAGGTTGACTCGATTCCATTTCAGGAGCTGATCAATGCCCTACTGCATGCCCAAACCAAATTTACTAGGAGGGTTTATTGTGTCCCAAAGATTTGGTATTAAAAGTATTACCAAGGTACAATAACCATTTTAGATCTTTACACACATCTTGGAATTGAAGTGGCAAGAATAACTGTCCCTAGAAATAATAAGTGCTGGAGCCACCAAGATTTGCAGCAATTCTATCCAAGGCTGAGAAGGAAACCCCACCACTCAGTGAAGCCACCATTTTAAAAAAAAAACATAGATCGATATGCAATTGGAACACTGCTAACTCTGTGACAGCTTCAGAAAGAAAAGCCATGAATTCAGCTGGCTGCTGGCAGCCTCATCCAGGGTTGCCTAGACCAGAAGAGCTCCTTCTATCACTGGGCAAAGTCTCATAAAAGTAGCTTAGTTGCTTTCAATAGTCTAAGGTGGGCTGGTTGCAGTGGCTCACGCTAGTAATTCCAGCATTTTGAGAGGCCAAGGCAGGCAGATCACTTGAGGCCAGGAGTTCAAGACCAGCCTGGCCAACACAGCAAAACCCTGTCTCTACCAAAAAATACAAAAATTAGCCAGGCATGGTGGTGCATGCCTGTAGTCCCAACTACTCAGTAGGCTGAAGCAGGAGAATTGCTTGAACCTGGGAGTGGAGGTTTCGGTGAGCTGAGATCGCGCCACTGCACTCCAGCCTGAGTGACAGAGTAAGACCCTATCTCAAAAAAAAAAAAAAAAATACTCTAAGGTGGAAAATCGATGTCTCCATCTAAGTATTTCCATGGCATAGCACATACCAACACAGGAGTCACACTTTATCCAGCAGTTACTGGTCCATCTTGTTGAAAGCTGACAAAGAACAGCAGCTTCAGTGGAGGGGCATAGAGCTCAAGTGGAATCTAACACCTGTATTGTGAAAGAAAGAGACTTTCCAAGAATCTTTATAGCCCGGTATATTAATACAGTCTCATGAAAGTGAACACATACAGGACTAGGGTATAATGACTTTTTTTTTTTAGAATTATGAGAAGAAAGTAAATGGGTCATACTTATTTTGGTTCCCTCCCAAATATTTTAGGACAGAAGTAATATCTAGTATAATAATGAAAAGTGATAACAAACATCATAAATGCTAGACAGATGAAAATCTATTCTATTTGAGAAGACCTCCACCTGGTAGCCATCCCACAAATCACCCCTCCAAGGAAAAGACAGGTTTTCCCCTGCCACAAGGGGCTGAGCCCTCCAGCCTCAAGCTGCTGTAGCTGCTATACACAGAGGAGGCCATGGGTGAGCAGGCTGCAGAGGCCTGCCTCCCAGGGCACAGACAGGTACCTCTCTAACAGAAAGAGATAGAAACAGCTGAGTCCCCCTCAGCATCTTTAATTTAAAAGCATGATATGTCTAAGTCATGCTCACCAACAAGTTTTCTTAGAAGGTCTGGGCTGCTTAGCTCATCTGTTTACAATAGAAATTCTCAAGCTTCAGTGTGATTATTAAAAGTGCAGATGTATGCCCCAGCCAGTTCTCATTCTGTAGTTTCGAGGTGGGGGTAGATTGAGAATCTGAATTCTGAACAAGCACTCCAAAAGGTGCTGAGGTACCTGGTCCCCAAGCAACACTTAAGTCCTTGCTAGCTTAAAGAAATATTTCTCAATCTGGGTCACTGGTTGTGTACTTTAGGGTTCCAAAAAGAGAATTTCATTTTTGTATTTTTATTTTGATATTAATTTTTCAAATAGTAAGAACACTCTGGATCACCTGGGTGATAATTTTATAACCAAACACTACTGCAAGACTTCTACTGAAGTATTTACAGTCAGGTCGGCACCGAGTACCTTTAACTTTGTCTCAGGCTAATGAGTCTTTACTTGGATCCAGACTTAGTTCTTCTAAATGATTTTGTTGCTCTCCAATGGATGGATGGATGAAAATTCATTTTACTCAACTCCCTGTTGGTGTTTTTTCCAACTTTTTCATTACTATGAAAAACGAGATAAGAAAGATATTCATATGTATCTTTCTAACTCTATTTACACATGTGTATAATTTATATATTTTTGCCCACCTGCTATAGCATTTCTATGGGATAAATTCCTAACAGTATTCAAAAAGTATGAGAACTTAGAACTGTAAGAGGGTTAGAGTCCTGGAGGTTGAGTGTTCACACTCAATGACATCACTTCATTTGCTCAGGAAGGGAACAGAGGAAGGAAAAGAGCAAATTTTGATAAATTAACATGGACATACGGAATTTGGGAGGTCTATGGGATGTCCAATACACAGTGAGGGAAATCGGCTTGGAGTTTAGAAAAGAGGATTTCTTCAAAGCAAGAGATTTGAGAAGTGTCACACATAAAGCAGTGCCTGAAAACCTGCATGGGTGACAGCAGCTTTGACAGCAAGGATAGGCAGGAGGAAGAAAGACAAGGATAGAACTCAGGGACAACACAGAGGAACTGGAAGGGTGGTAGCAAAAGAGACTGGAAAAGAGGTCAGAGAGTAAGAGGAGAACCAAGAAAGAGAAACATCAGTACGATAAGGGAGGAAAAAGTTCTGAGAAGGAGTGAACGATTTCCATGAGAGCTGATATTGTCCCTAATTTTATTGTTAAATGACATAAGTTACAAAACAGTATGTTCAATATAATGTTACTTTTTCAGTGAAAAACTATATATTCCTGAATACTTAAAGAAATTCTTGAAGAACAAGAACAACAATAAAAAAAAAACAATACAAAGGCCTGTAGTGACGTGTGAGAATTAGGGATGGGAGGGTTGAGTAGGGAACTTTTAACTTTTTTTTTTTTTTTTTGAGACAAGGTGTCTTTCTTTGTTGCACAGGCTGGAGTGCAGTGGTGTGATCAAAGCTCACTGCAGGCCCGACCTCCTGGGCTCAAGTGATCCTCCCACATCAGCCACCTGAGTAGCTGGGACTACAGGCATGCACCACCACACCCAACTAATTTTTGTATTTTTTGTAGAGATGGAGTTTCATCATGTTGCGTAGTCTGGTCTTGAACTCCTGGGCTCAAGTGATTCACCAGCCTTGGCCTCCCAAAGTGCTGGGGCTACAGGTGTGGGCCACCATGCCCAGACTCTTTAACTTTGAATTCTGTGCCATTTTGTACAGTTTGAATTTATTACAACAAATATACATTACTTTATTATTAACGTTTTAAGGACTGATCAGCAGTATGATATTAGATTACCAGAGAGGACAAGAAAGATGAGATTGAAAAGAGGCCATTTGTTTGGCAAGAAGACAGTCAGTTTCAAGTAGGAATATGAAAGCATACTGCCATCGTCTAAAACCCTGCTACCCTGGCCGAGTGCGGTGGCTCACGCCTGTAATCCCAGCACTTTGGGAGGCCAAGGTGGGTGGATCACAAGGTCAGGAGATCAAGACCATCCTGGCTAACATGGTGAAACCCCATCTCCACTAAAAAAAAAAAAATACAAAAAATTAGCCGGGCGTGGTGGTGGTGGGCGCCTGTAGTCCCAGCTACTCGGGAGGCTGAGACAGTAGAATGGCGTGAACCTGGGAGGCGGAGCTTGCAGTGAGCAGAGATGCTCCACTGCACTCCAGCCTGGGCAACAGAGCGAGACTCCGTCTCAAAATAAATAAATAAATAAAAATAAATTAAAAAAAATAAAACTCTGCTTCCCAAGCTTTAAAGTGTATAAGAATCACATATGCACTTATGCACAGGGGATCTTGATTCAGTACGTCTTGGAAGCAGCCTGAGATTCCCCATTTCTAACAACCTCCCACATAATATCAACATGGCTGGTCCAAGCCACACACTTTTGAGTTGCATGATAAGTAATCAGAATGCAGGAAACAAGCTCAAGGGCAAAGATACCATGATTTCCCAACAGGTGTCCCCCTGGAATATGAACCCAACGGCACACTCTAATAAAAAGTATTCTACAATCACATAGGTTTGGTAAATATCACATAACTATCCTGATTAATCACACTGGGTATTAGTGCTTTTATGAAAATTTTTAAATTGGCTTTTTACTTGGACATTCCTAACAGTTACGGCTAATCTTGTAGAAAGGAAAACATATCTACCTGCTTTAGAATCTAATGTTTATAACAGGTCATCCTAGAAGGTGTAGGGGAGCAGAAATACAGGGCGGCAAGAGCTCAGGGGCATACAAGGAGGAAAACTGAAGCATGAAGAAAGAACTGCGTTTTGTCTCCAGTGCAATAACTGCAGAGGTCTCTGAAAGGTGAGAAAGCTCCAAAACTAGGCCTTGTTAGAGCACGTGCACCAGTTACCCTGGTGCTCCTCCATGGTACATGCAATGATGCCATCAAATATCTGTCAAACCTTATCCTAAATATTATTCTAAATATTTCTAGGCACTTCTGAAACTCTGTCCAGCATCAGCAGGATGGCTCATCCCCTGGATACTTGTGAATGCATAAAATTAATGCATGCATACTGCCAGAAGCTTCAGTGGACAAGAGCAGGAAACCACAGAAGCTGACCGGACCTCACTGTTGCCAGGAGTCAAGCTTGGCATGAGCACAAACCTGCTGTCCACAAACAGTGATTAAGAACAGCCTGGGGCTGGGCGTGGTGGCTCACGCCTGTAATCCCAGCACTTTGGGAGGCCAAGGCAGGCGGATCGCCTAAGGTCAGGTTCAGTGAGCCAAGATCACGCCATTGCACTCCAGCCTGGGCAACAAAAGTGAAACTCTGTGTCAGACGAAAAAAAAAAAAAACAGCCTGGGGAAGGCTGGGCAGCGCTGATCCTTTCTCACCTGCTGAGACAGAGCAAGTGAGACCAAAAAGAACCTCAGAGCTCAAATTGCCTGCTGGCATTGCTGAATCACCTGCTCAGGACCTCCAGTTCTTGGCTGCCTCAGAATGGCCTTTTAGACTCTTCATAGATAGTGCAGTGGAGCAGTGAGTTTCAGTGGGAGACTAGATTTCAAAGGACCCCTCCGTGCAGAAGAGAGTGGAGATTATTCACCTTGGCACGCCCTCATCTTTTGAAAAGACTGCCACACCCTCCTCTCTACCTTCTAAACTTGGCAGCACAGGGTCCAAGCCATATGGGGCAACTTGTACAGAGATTCAAATGACACAAAATTGGCCATAAAAGATACTCTGAAGCCTTTGCATTCACAGCTGCAGTTTTCCATCTCCTCAGCTCTTCATCAGGTGTCTGGTCAGTCAGTCCCAGCTGTTGTCCTTGTCTCTCAATAGGCCTGCAAAGTTCCCTTTTCTCTTTAGCCCTCAGATTTATCTACTTTTGAGAATAAACATATTTGAACAGCACCGTGCACACGGTGACTATCTCAGGAACATTAGTTAGGGGATAAAATGGAGACACATGCCTGTTACAGTACAGTGACATGAACACATGCTCAGCATGACTCAAGCTTGACTGTTTTGGGGCCCCAAGGGGCTGAAGGTTGTTCATGTTAATACTTTTTCCTGTGGTTCCCTGCAAGCTGCAGCGTCTTTTCTTACTATGTCAGGATAGTAGCAAAAAAACCCAAAATGGTTTTAAGATTGACCCAACAAACACATTCCCACCGTTAAATTTGTCTTCAAGTATCTTCCCTATCACACACACTAAATATGCTTTCAGCTCTTTAAGAAGAGCTATTTGGGAAGTCAAGAGTCAATTATATCAGCCCCCACACCATGCCACATGTCTGAGCCACAGCAACTATGTATCTTTTTATTTCAGTCCTCTAGATTCCTCTATTCTATTCCAATGTGTTAATTTTAAAGAATTTAGCAGCTAGCTTCCAATTTAAAATAACGAGAAAGATTTTGTCCTCTATTTTTATATGAAGCACTTTAACTGCCGCTAACATCATTGAAGTTAGCATAGACACAGGAAAGAGGGCGCACCCTTGAAATCACTTATCTCCAAAAGGAAAAGGCAAAGAAAGCACTTCTAAAGGAAAGAAAAGTAGAAGAGATGGGTGGGAGGGGACCTTGAATACAGTTGTTAGGGTTTGTTTTAAAGTCCTACCTGAGTGTTCTCTCCCCAGGAACAGGGTAGAAGTTCTCTAACTTCACCCATTAACAAAAATAGAATGAGCAGGACCTCACTTAGTCATGTGACTCTAATTCCTTTCTTGAATTCCATAAGACAACTGCAATCAGGTGCGGTGAACGATTTTTGGGGAAGAATCTCTTGTACACGTATAATGTCTGGAAAACAAATGACTTCCATTTTTCTTGCATTTGAAGACTCACCTCAAAATTTTTCATAGGGAGAACATAATGACCACATTAAATTCATTCTAAGTAATAAGAGACTTTAAAAGTGAATGAATCACCTTCAGTCTTGCTTAGGGACAAGAGAAAACTCTGGACCCAACTGTGGTCTCTGTCTTGCCTGACTCACTGGGACATAAAAACCTTACCAAGGCCCAAATCCCTTGCCCTTGGGTAAGAGAAAGGATGGAGCTGAGCTCCATTTTGCATACTTAAGAAACAGGCCTGGCTGGCAAAATAGAACATGCTAGTGGTGGGTTCCAGCACCTACAGAGACTGAGCAGGGGAACTGGACCAGAGCCTGGACAATAACAAGAAAAGCATCGCTTTCCTGGGGGAGGAAACCCAGCCCTGGAATGGAAAGACAGGCGCATGCACTCCATTTAGGAGATCCTGGAGTGAACACAAAACCGCTCATTATTAGGGAGGCTGGGTTCAGCCAGTCCTGAGTTGCCCTGAGCACGCGGTTCTGCCACCGACTTCTGTCCCAGCTGCAGATCTGAATTCTCTCATCTCCTCCCATCCCCCCTGGAACCGTTCTCTGGTCAACTGTTTGATCAGCATGGGGATGACTCCAGGGCTGAGCCAGAACCGCCCCTGCTGAATGCTCAGAGCACCCAGAGGGAGGACACTAACCAAGCATCCCTGCTTGGGATCCTTTACCTTTTTGCTTATTGAGAAACAGCAGTGGGGGCGGGGCGCCAGGACCTAGAGGCCCAGGGCCCTTTGTGGCCGCAGGACTTTGGTTGGAACTCGAGTCTTCTTCAGGCTTCCGTGGCAACATGGGCGTCTCAGGCTCCAGGGCTCCGTCTCCAGGGGGCAGCTCGGGGCCAGGCTGGGGCTCAGTTGAGGGGTAGTCGAGGAAGGAACCCGGCTCGGCCAGGCCCCGCCGGCTTGGCGCACGCTCCTCGGCCCGGACGCCAGTCTCCTCCCGGATGGCATCCAGGGCGCTGGGCTTCATCGGGGGTGAGTCCTGCTCCCGCTTGGGGCTCTCCTCCGAGGCCGAGGAGGCGTCGCACGACTCGATGATGAGCTCGCTGTCCAGCTCGGCCTCGCGCTCCTCCCTCAGGATGCTGTACTGGATGGATGGCGAGGCGGGCGAGGGCGGCGGGCCGCCCACGTGGCCAAAGCTCACATAGCCTGAGGGCAGCGCGTCCTCCGCGGCCATGGGGTCCTCGGACACCAGCTCGATCTCTGAGTCCCCCGACTCCGCGCTGCTGGCCTCGTGGTCCAGGGGGCTGGGGATGGTTGGCGGTCCGGACCTGGCCTTGACCTCGGGCCTGTCGGCCAGCTGGCCCACCGGCCGTGGGTTCTCGGCGGTTTCATACGATAATCCCTTTGCTTCTTTGATGGCGGTGATCAGCTCATCCTCGGAGATGCTGCCTTTCCCCTGGGATTCTGCAGCAGATGGTTCTGTCGTCCCACAGAGCGAAGGAGAGCCACGGAGGCACACACACGGACAGACAGATGGACAGAGAGAGGAGGGATAAAACAAAATTCCATTAGGCGAGATGTTTTGTCGTTGCTTGAGAAACACATATCTCATTAGCACAAAAATAATCTGTTTCCAGGGCTATGCTGGAAAGACAGGCCACCTGAACTAAAAGGCTAATTACTGTTATGGCCCAATTAATTAGTGTTTTACAGACCTCTCTATCTTCAGCTAGCTATTTTAAAAAATGACCCAGCAATATCTTAGCAACAGAATCTCAGTTGGTGTTCCTGTTTCAATGCAGAGAAGATTCTACAAGTCATCGTTTTAATTTCTGATTCATTCTCTCAGGGAACTTTTTCAATTTCACAGATTTTATCAGATAATCTGATGTATACAGCACTCTAATTGGGCCCACGAATATCAACAAATCTGAAAATCACCCATTATTCCTCGTCCATTGCTGTTTATATCCTCTCCTTTAGCAAGACAAAGCAGGTAGTTTTGAGCCTTGGACACAACTTGACTTCTGAGCTTTATATTTCCAATAAGAATCAGTATCTTTTTTTTTTTTTTTTTTTTTTTTTGCAACTAAGTGGAGCAATGTAAGAGATCACTTCTGCCAATTCCACCAAGCAGGCTGTGCAGATTACCATAATGGACTATCCTGCAAGGCTTTCCATAGTGGCAGCCCACTGTATTCTTTCCCTTTCTTCTCCTCTCTTCACTTCCTCTCGAGAAGAACAAAACCTGAGAGTCACTCCTGGTCCCTGGATGAATGCCTGCCTTCTGCCTGATGTTTATCCAGATGGCCTAAAGGCTACACTGGCAATCTTGCTGAGCTTTCCCTCCCATAGATGAGACGACCTGGGATCACCATGACAACAGTGTTCAAGAGTCTCGTTTTCCCTTGCCATACAGAAGGGCTTTATTTTAGAATATCTTAGTGGGATCTGGTCCTTTTGTTAGCAATAACTAGTTGCATTTATCCAAAGCTTTGAGGGATCTGTGGCTTTAGGACTGTGGGAGAACCCCAAATGGATAAAACATTTTAGATTTTCCTAATTATTTATGAATCAGAATTGATTTTATTCTTTATCCATATTCATTCATCTGTTATTTATTGAGAACCTAATATGTGTTAGGCCCTTTTCTACACACTTGGGATATATTAGCGAATGAAACAGATAACAAAGTCTCTGCTTATACTCTAGTGGAGGGAACACAATATACAAACAATATATATAGTAAATAAGTAAAGTATATAGTATGTTAGAAGATGTTAAGTGTTATGGAAAAAAGTAGAGTAGGGTAAGGAAACACAAGTTCTGGGTCAGGGTGGAGATGAGTTTGCAATTTTAAATAGGGGAGTCCGTGTAGGCCTCATTGAGAAAGTAACCTATATTTAACACTTGAAGCAGGTGAGAGAGTGACTCATGAAGATATCCAGAGGAAAAGCACGTCATGCAGAGGAAAACAGATAATGCAAAGGCTCAGAGGTGGGAGCTGCACTGATTCCCAGGTATCATAGGCAGGCCATTATGTCTGGGCAAAGTGAATAAGTTGGGAAATAAGAGATCAGTGACCCAAGGAGTTGGGGCAGATCATGTAGGATCTCATGGGGCTTTTATTCTGAGTGAGATTAGAAGACATTGGAGGGCTTTAAGCAGAGGAAGGATATGATCTATGGGTTCCCCCCCTTTTTTAGTAACTTAAAACAACAACTACTTCATTATCTCTCATATGAATCATGTTTTTAAAAATTTATTCTATGATCCTCAACTCTATTTTTACAGGAGTTAGTTCCTTAATAAGTTGTACACATAGTTGTTTGATATGATTTCAGACAGCGGAAAAGTGTGAAAGTTTCACCAGCTTACTTCTGAGTGGTTGACTAGAGCACGGAGAAATAAGATAAGGAGTGGTGTAAATTAAGAAATATTCTGTACCTCCAGAGCACTGCTAGTAGCAGCAGCATCCTCTGCTGGGTGTCACGCACTTTACATATGGAACTTAGGGTCTAGGGACAATAGATTAAGCTACTTGTCCAAGGTCACTGTAGTGGTTTTCTCTCTGCCCGCTTGGATCCATTCCTTTCTTTCTCTGCCCTCTCCTGTGCTCTGAGAGGCTGACCTACATAGAAAGCATACCCAGGATTCCTTTCCCTTTGGTTTCTGGTTGTTTTTAGCCAATAGGAAGCCCAAGGGCTGGGATGAAGGAGATGTTGAGATATTTATACCCTCTGCTGCTTCTGAAGTTCCAGCTCTTAGCAGGCTTCAAGAACGCTGTTCCTTCCTCTTGGTCTTTAGGTCTAGGGGTAGTAACAGCTCCCTAATGTTAAGGCTTTGGCATCATTTGTCGGTTTTCTTGGCCATCTTTACACTTCTGTAAATAGCCCCTTCTTTAAACTCTCTTCAGTCACAACCTTTGAGTGTGTCACTTTTTTCTTGCTAGGACCCTAGATGATATAACTACATGGTTAGAAATTATTTGACCTGAATTTGAATGCATGTCTATTTCATGTGTTTTACACTATATCATGCTACATCTTTTTAAAAGGGGGATGCAGTCTGAGATGTGGCAAGTTATATTTTGGGGCATGAGAAGGAGAGGAAAAGTGAACTGGATAACCACAAGAAAAAGAATGAAATTAAACCCCTACCTCATGTTGTATTTTAAAATTTCCTTCAAATGGGTCAATAGCCTAAATATAAGAGCTAAAATCATAAAACTCTAGAAGAAAACATAGAAGTAAATCTTCATGACCTTGGATTAGAAATCGTTTCAGAGATATGACACCAAAAACAGAAGCAACAAAAGAAAAACTAATAAACTGGGCTTTTGTGCTTCAGAGAATACCATAGAGAAAGTGAAAGCACAATCAACAGAACAGGAGAAAATATTTGCAAATCATATATCTGATAAGGGACTCATATCTAGAATATATGACAAACTATTACGACTCAATAATAAAAGGCAAGCCAATTAAAAATGGGCAAAGAACTTCAATAGACAGTTCTCCAAAGGCAATTTACAAATGGCCAAAATGCACATGAAAATATGCCCAACATCATTATTCACCAGAGAAATGCGAATCAAAACTACTGTGAGATACTACTTCATAACCATACTAGGATGGCTATAATCAAAAAGCCAGATAAAAACAAGTTCTGGAAAAGATTTAGAGAAATTGGAACCTTTATGCACTGCTGGTGGGAATGAAAAATGTTGTAACTGCTTTGGACAAAAGTCTGACAGCTCCTTAAATATTTAAACATAGAGTCATCATATGATCCAGTAATTCCACTCCTAGGTATCTACCCAAGAGAAATGAAAGTATATGTCCACACAAAAAACTTGTACATGAATGTTCATAACAGCATTATTCATAATAGCCAGAAAAGGTAGAAACAATCTAATATCCATCAACTGATAAATGGATAAATAAAAATGTAATATATCCATACAATGGAATATTATTTAGACATAAAAAGGAGTGAAGTACTGATATGTGTTACAACATGGCTAAATATTAAAAACAGTGAAATAAGTCAGTCACAAAGGACCACATATTATGTGAGCCCATTCATATGAAATGTCCAGAATAAGTAAATTTATAGAGAAAGAAAGAAGAGTAGTAGTTATGGGGAGTGGGGAGATTTGGAGGGTGAGAAAAGGGGGTGCAGGGTTTCTTTTTGGGGTAATAAGATGCTCTAAAATTTATTGCAGTGATGGATCACAACTCTGTGAATATACTAAAAACCATGGAAATGTACATTTAAATGAATTGTATAGTATATGGATTATATCTCAATAAAGCTGTTTAAAAAAAAATGGAAGTTTGGCCTTGAATCTAAACTTGGATTGTACTACAAGTGAAAAGTAATGCTTTTATTATGTTAAGCCACCAAGATTTTGGGATTTATCTGAATTCTACTGAATACATCATTTCACTCTGGATTGTACCCTTACTGCTTGCCTCAGTTCACTGGCAACTTCCCAATCGTTTTTGAGTTCTCATCTTATTTGTCTTCTCAACAGTATTTGACACACTGTCCACTCCTCCTTTGGTGTCTGCAACCCTACTTTCTTCAGATTTTCCTCCTAGCTCTCCTGATCTCATCTCTTCTCAGATATGAAATGTTGGTCTCCCCCAGAGTTCTTCCCTAGGCTCTCTTCTTACTCCACTCCATCTCAAGGTGATTTTACCCATTTCCACCATCACTAGGTCCCAATTACCATTACTGTGCTTATGACTCACAGTATTCCCTGCCGCTCCTAGAGAATAAAAAGAAAACAAAACAGAATGGGCTAGGTGCAATTGTGTTGTACAATGTTCTAGAGAAACTTAGAGGAGGTCATTGAGGAAGCTGCACTTGAATTGATCTTGGAACAGAAACAGAACCTTGAAAGGCAGGCATTGTTCAAGAGTGAACTCCAAAAGCAAAGATATGGAAGTGAAAAAGGAAGGGGTCTGCTCAAAGAAGGACAAAGTCAAACGTTTAACTGGAGTATTATTGGGAATGATGCAGGGTTGATGTAACTGAAAATGGAAGCAGGCCCCTGGTCATGGAAGGCCCTGAAAACTAGTTTAAAAGTTAATCCTGAAGAAGTAGGTATATGGAGCGGCCAAGATGGCCGAATAGAATCAGCTTCGGTCCCTGGCACTCATGGAGAGGAACGAAAGGGGCAAATGAATACAGTACCTTCAATTAAAATATCCAGGTTCTCCCACTGGGATTGATTGGGGAAACAACACACGGAGAATGAAGAAAAGCAGGGCAGGGTGACAGTCCACCCAGAAGCAACACAAAGCCAAGGGAACCCCCCTGCCTCCCAGCCAAGGGAAGCAGTGAGTGACTGTGTGATCCTGGAAAACCACGCTTCTTCCATGGATCTTTGCAACTCTCGGATCAGGAGATCCCCTCATGAGGGCCACCAGGGCCTTGGATCTGACACACAGAGCTATGTGGAGTCTTAGCAGAGCAGCTGCTCAGGCATGCACAGAGACCCAGAAGCTTTACATACTCCAGCCCTAGGATCCCCCAACAAATATGCCTGCAACTTAGGCAAGGTGGGAGGTCTGCACATACCCCTAGGAAAAGGGCAGAATCCAGGGAGCTGAGCAGTGTCGTTTTGTGGGCCCCACTTCTATGGCACCTTACAAGATAAGGCCCACTGGCTCGGAATTTCAGCCAGCCACCAGCAACAGGGTAGAGCCTGCCTGAGACTGCATTGGAGCCCCCCGGTGGGAGTGGGGGTCACCATCTCTGCTGTTTGGTCAACTCAGCCACTCCAGCCTGCGGGCTTTGAAGAGTCCAAATGGTCCAGTGAAGGAAGGGTCCCCCCAGTAGCACAACACAGGGGCTTTGCCAGATTGTGGTCAGACTGCTTTTTTTTTTTTTCTTTCTTTCTTTCTTTTGAGGCAGAGTCTCGCTTTGCCGCCCAGGCTGGAGTGTAGTGGTGCGATCCCTGCTCACTGTAACCTCCGCCTCCCGGGTTCAAGCAATTCTCCTGCTTCAGACTCCAGAGTAGCTGGGATTACAGGGGTGCCCTTACCACACCTGGCTAATTTTTGTATTTTTAGTACATACAGTGTTTCACCATGTTGGCCATGCTGGTCTTGGAAGTCCTGACCTCAAGTGATCCACCCACTTTGGCCTCCCAAATGCTGGGATTACAGGCATGAGCCACCGTGCCCGGCCAGACTGCTTCTTTAAGCAGGGCTCCCATCCATTCTTCCGCACTAGGCGAGGCCTCCCAGCTGGCCCCTCCAGCCACATCTGCTGGCACATATTAGGGACAGAGCTCTGATCACTCCCTGGGATGGAGTGCTCAGAGGAGGGGAGGGCTCCCTCCTGGGCTGGCATTCTAGCCTGGGGACTTTGGAGAGTCCAAGCTGACAGGAGCAGAGGTGGTTCCTCACCACAACACAGCTATTTTGTTGAGGCATGGCCAGACTGCTTCTTTAAGTGGGACCCCAATCCACTCCTCCTTGCAGGGGGGTCCTCCCAGCTGGGGCCTCTGGCCACCCCTGCTCATGTTCTCCCTGGGTGAAATGCCTGAGGGACAGGACAGGCTGCCACTTTGGCCATTCAGGCTTCTCAGCTGGTCTAGCCTGTGGGGCTTGGAAAGCCCAAACCAATTGGGGGCTGAAGGGATCTCCAACACAGCACAGCTGCCCTACCAAAAAGCAGCCAGACTGCTTCTTTAAGTGTGTCCTTGATCCCCTTCCTCCTGACTGGGTGAGACCTCCCAACCAGGGTCTCCAGCCACCACCTACAGGCACATTTGGGCTGGCAAAAGGTCAGCACTCCCCTGGGATGGAGCTTCCAGAGGAAGAGGCAGGCTGCCATCTTTACTGTTTCCCAACTTTCACTGCTGATGCCTCCAGGTATGGGAAAAACCAAGGCAACTAAGGTCTGGAGTGGACCCCCAAAAAACTGCAGCAGCCCTACAGCAGAGTGGACAAATTGTTAAAAGAAGAACAAACAAAAAACAACAACAAAAACAATAACAAACCCATAAAAACCCCATCCAAAAGTCAGCAACCTCAAAGATCAAAGGTAGATAAGCCCACAAAAATGAGAAAGAACCAATGCAAAAACTCTGAAAACTCAAAAAGCTAGAGTGTCCCTTTTCCTTCAAATGACTGCGAACCTTCCCAGCAAGGGCTCAGAACTGGGCTGAGGCTGGGACCGCTGAAATGACAGAAGTAGGCTTCAGAAGGTGGGTAATAAACAATTTTACTGAACTAAAGGAGCATGTGGTAACCATTGACAAAGAGGCAAATAATCATGATAAAACAATACAGGAGGTGACAGACAAAATAGCCAGTTTAGACTGGAACATAACCAACCAGCTAGAGCTGAAAAACACACTACAAAAACTTCACAATGCAATCATGAGTATTAATAGCAAAATAGACCAAGCAGAGAAAAGAATCTCAGACCTTGAAGAGTATCTTTCTGAAATAAGACAGGCAGACAAGAATAGAGACAAAAGAATGAAAAAGAATGAACAAAACCTCTGAGAAATATAGAATTATGTAAAGAGACTGAATCTACAGCTAATTAGGGTACCTGAAAGAGATGGGGAGAATAGAACCAAGTTGGAAAACATACTTCAGAATATTACCCAGGAAAACTTCCCCAACCTAGTAAGACAGGCCAACACTCAAATTCAAGAAATGCAGAGAACCCCAGCAAGATAATCAATGAAAAGATCATCCCCAAGACACATAATCATCAAATTCTTCAGGGTCAAAATGAAAGAAAAAATGTTAAGGGCAGCCACAGAGAAAGACCAGGACATCTATAAAGGGAAGCCCATCAGACTAACAGTGGACCTCTCAGCAGAAACCCTATAAGCTAGAAGAGACTGGGGGCCAATATTCAACACTTCTAAAGAAAAGAATTTCCAACCCAGAATTTCATATCCAGCCAAACTAAGCTTAATAAGTGAAGGAGAAATAAGATCCATTTCAGACAAGCGAATGCTGAGGGAATTAGTTATCACCAGGCCTGCCTTGCCAGAGTTCCTGAAGGAAACACTGAATATGGAAAGGAAAAACCATTACCAGCCACTACAAAAACACATTGAAGTATACAGACCAGTGACACTATGAAGCAACCACATAAACAAGTCAGAAAAATGACCAGCTAGCGTCGTGATGACAGAATCAAACCCACACATAACAATACTAACCTTAAGTGTAAATGGGCTAAATGCCCCAATTAAAAGACACAAAGTGGCAGGCTGAATAAAGAACCAAGACCCATTAGTATGCTGTCTTCAAGAGACCCATCTCACATGCAAAGACATATATAGGCTCAAAATAAAGGGATGCAGGAAAATTTACCAAGCAAATGGAAAACAGAATAAAGCAGAGGTTGCACTCCTGGTTTCTGACAAAGCAGATTTTAAACCAACAAATATCAAAAAAGATAAAGAAGGACATTACATAATGGTAAAGGATTCAATTCAACAAGAAGAGCTAACTATCCTAAATACATATGCACACAACACGTGGGCACCCAGATTCATAAAGCAAGTTCTTAGAGACCTTCAATGAGATTTAGACTCCCACACAATAACAGTGGGAGACTTTAACACTCCACTGACAATATTAGACATGAAATAATAACAAACAGTCTCTCAGACCACAGCACAATCAAATTAGAACTCAAGATTAAGAAATTCACTCAAAACCACACAACTACAGGGAAACTAAACAGCATGCTCCTGAATCTCTTGGGTAAATAATAAAATTAAGGCAGAAATCAAGCAGTTCTTTGAAACTAATGAGAGCAAAGAGACAACATACCAAAATCTCTAGGATGTAGCTAAAGCAGTGTTAAGAGGGAAATTTATAGCATTAAATGCCCACATTAAAAAGCTAGAAAGATCTTAAGTTAACAACCTAACATCACAACTAAAAGAACTAGAGAACCAAGAGCAAACAAACCCCAAAGCTAGCAGAAGACAAGAACAAAGATGAACTGAAGGAGACAGAGACATGAAAAACCCTTTAAAAATAAACAAATCTAGGAGCTGTTTTTTTAAAAAATAATTTTAAAAATCAACCATTAGCTAGACTAATACAGAAGAAAAGAGAAGAATCAAATAAACACAATCAGAAATGATAAGGGAGATATCACCACTGACCCCACAGAAATACAAACAATGATCAGAGAATACTATAAACACCTCTATGCATATAAACTAGAAAATCTAGAAGAAATGGATAAATTCCTGGAGACATACACCCTGCAAAGACTCAACCAGGAAGAAACTGAATCCCTAAATAGACCAATAACAAGTTCTGAAATTGAGACAACAATAAATAGCCTACCAACCAAACAAAAGCCCAGGACCAGGGACATTTACAGCTGAATTCTACCAGAGGTATAAAGAAGAGCTGGTACCATTTCTATTGAAACTATTCCAGAAAAATTGAAAAGGAGGGACTCCTCCCTAACTCATTCTATGAGGCCAGCATCATCCTGATACCAAAACCTGGAAAAGATACAACAAAAAAATAAAACTTCAGGCCAATATTGTTGATGAACACTGATGCAATAATCCTCAATAAAATACTGGCAAACTGAATCCAGCAGCACATCAAAAAGTTTATCCACCACAATCAAGTAGGTTTACAACTTTGGTTCAACATATGCAAATCAAAACATGTGATTAATCACATAAGCAGATCTAAAGACAAAACCACATGATTATCTCAATAGATGCAGAAAAGGTCTTCAATAAAATTCAACATTCCTTCATATTAAAAACTGTCAATAAACTGGGTTTTGAAGGAACATACCTCAAAATAATATGAGCCATATATGACAAACCCACTGCCAATATCATACTAAATAGGCAAAAGCTGGAAGCATTCCTATTAAAAAGCAGCACAAGACAAGGATGCCCTCTCTCACCACTCCTATTCAACACAGTATTGGAAGTTCTGGCCAGGGCAATCAGGCAAGAGAAAGAAATAAATTGTTTTCAGATAGGAAGCGAGGAAATCTAACTATCTTTGTTTGCAGATGACATGATCCTATATCTAGAAAATCCCATTTTCTCAGTCCAATAGCTTCTTAAGCTGATAAGCAACTTCAGCAAAGTCTCAGGATATAAAATCAATGTGTGAAAATTGCTAGCATTCCTATACAGCAACAACAGGCAAGCAGAGAGCCAAATCATGAATGAATTCCCACTCACAATTGCCACAAAAATAAAATACCTAGGAATACAGCTAACAAGGGATGTGAAGGACCTCTTCAAGGGGAACTACAAACAACTGCCCAAAGAAATCAGAGATGACACAAAGAAATGGAAAAACATTCCATGCTCATGGATATGAAGAATCAATATCATGAAAATGGCCATACTCCCCAAAACAACTTATAGATTCAACATTATTCCCATTAAACTACCATTGACATTCCTCACAGAATTAGAAAAAACTATTTTAAAATTCATTTGGAACCAAAAGAGAGCCAGAATAGCCAAGACAATCCTAAGACAAAGAACAAAGCTGGAGGCATTATGCTACTTGACTTCAAACTACACTACAAGGCTACAGTAACCAGAACAGTATGGTACTGGTACAAGAACAGACACATAGACCAATGGACCAGCATAAAGAAACCAGTAATAAGACCACATACCTACAACCATCTGATCTTTGACTAACCTTACAAAAACAAGCAATGGGGAAAGAATTCCCTATGTAATAAATGGTGCTGGGATAACTGGCTAGCAATATACAGAAAATGGAAACTGGACCCCTTCCTTACACATGTACAAAAATCAACTAAAGATGGATTAAAGACTTAAATGTAAAACCCAAAACTATAAAAACCCTAGAAGAAAATCTAGGCAATACCATTCAGGACATAGGCATGGGCAAAGATTTCATTACAAAGACACCAACAGCAATTGCAACAAAAGCTCAAACTGACAAATGGGATCTAATTAACTAAAAGCTTCTGCACAGCAAAAGAAACTATCATCAGAGTGAACAGAACAGAATGGGAGAAAATATTTGCAATCTATGCATCTGACAAAGGTCTAATATCCAGCATCTACAAAGAACTTAAACAATTTACAAGAAAAAAAATAAACAACCTCATTAAAAATTGGGCAAAGGACATGAAAAGACACTTCTCAAAAGAAGATATACATGCAGACAACAAACATGAATAAAAGCTCAACAGCACTTATAATTAGATAAATATAAATCAAAACTATAATGAGGTACAATCTTACAAAATCAGAATGGCTATTACCAAAAAGTCAAAAAACAACAAATGCTGGCAAGGTTGTGGAGAAAAAGGAATGCTTTTACATTGTTAGTGGAAGTGTAAATTAGTTCAACCATTGTGGAAAACAGTGTGGCAATTCCTCAAAGACCTAGAGGCAGAAATACAATTTGACCCAGCAATCCCATTACTGGGTATATACCCAAAGGAATAGGAATCATCCTATCATAAAGATACAGGCACATGTATGTTTATTGCAGCACTATTTACAATAGCGAAGACATGGAGCCAACCCAAATGCTCATCAATGATAGACTGGATAAAGAAAATGTGGTACATACACCATGGAATACTATGCATCCATAAAAAGGAACAGGATCATATTCTTCACAGGGACATGGATGGAGCTGGAGGCCATTATCCTTAGCAAACTAATGCAGGAACAGAAAACCAAATACCACACGTTCTCACTTATAAGTGGGAACTGAATGATAAGAACACATGGACATATTGAGGGGGAGCAACACACACTGGGGCCTGTCAGACGGTGAAGGGGGAGGAAGGAGAGCATCAGAAAGAAGAGCTAATGGGTGCTGGGCTTAACTCCTATGTGATGGAATGATCCATGCAGCAAAACACCATGGCACATGTTTACCTATATAAAAACCTGCACATCCTGCACATGTACCCCTGAGCTTAAAAGAAAAAAAAAAAGTCAGTCTTTTATTAGGCAGGCATTAGTGGATCCTGGAAGGGTTAGGATGAGCTTAAAAGGGAGGGAAGGCCAGGTGCAGTGGCTCATGCCTGTAATACCAGCACTTTGGGATGCCGAGGCGGGCAGATCACCTGAGGCCAGGAGTTCGGGGAGGCCAGGAGTTCGGGGAGACCAGCCTGGCCAGCATGGCGAAACCCCGTCTCTACTAAAAATACAAAAATCAGCCAGGCATGGTGGCGGGCACATGTAATCCCAGCTACTCAGGAGGCTGAGGCATGGGAATCGCTTGAACCCGGGAGGCTGAGGTTGCAGTGAGCCGAGATCATGCCACTGCACTCCAGCCTGGGCAACAGAGCGAGACTCTGTCTCAAAAAAAAAAAAAAAATGGGAGGGAGGGAAGTAGAAGGAGTATAACCCATTAACAGGACAGGGCAATTGTTGAATTATGACAACTGGAGGTAGGGTGTGAGTTGTGGTGGCCATAGGATAGAAAGAGGAGAAAAATAGAAAAGAGAGAAATCATTGACTTGGGGTCTGATTCATGTGGTGAGTGAGAAAAAGAGGGGTTTCAAAAGCTACTCAGAAATGGTGAGCCTGAGTGAATAAAATGAACAGGGGAACAATGAGCTTGTTTGATGGGACAGGGAAGAAAATTCTTACCTTGGATGGTTCTTCCCTTCTGAGGCACACATCCTTCCGGTTTCACATGCAGAAGCCTCTGTCTAACCACCCAAACTGCTAGGACTGAGGAAACTCCTGCTTGCACAATATTCCTGGGAGGCCACATGGCAGAGCAGCTCACCCTTGTGCCAGCTGGCCTGATGCTGCGTTGTTCTGGAGACAGGCTGGTGCCCACTCATTCTGCACAACTGGGAGCCCCTAGGCAGCCTTGTATTTGCTGTGTGATGATTTAATTAATCTTTGCCCTTTCACCCTTTCCCACTCTCCCTGACCCCAGACTGAAAGTGCCTTGGGAGCAAAGTACAGCCAAGTCGTGTTTGTTCATTATCATATCCTTGCACCCAGCACAGTGCCTGGCACACCGGAGGTACGCAATAAATAGCACTCATATGAGAGCCAGCTCAAATTTTTACAACAGTGGCTCTTATTCAAGTGTGTAGCTCAAAACTGCCCTCAGAAATTCTGCCTTAGTAGAAGTAGGTCTGGATGTAACTCCATGTGTGATTCTAACAGTCACCTCCAGTTAGGGTTGGCAGATTTAGGAAATAAAAATACAGGACACTCAGTTACATTTGACTCTCAGCTAAACAATGAATTTTTTTTTAGTATAGGTATGCCCTAAGAAATATTTGTGTTTTATCTGGCAATTCTACCTCCAGTTGAAAACTACTATGCTAGTGCATTCAGAAAAAGAAGGCCCAGGGTCTTGCTTTATTTACTCAAGAGTAAGGATGATTCCAGACAGCTGCAGGGTCGGGGAGAAAAGGGTCTGAGGAGTTCCATCTTGAGCAAGTGAAGGTGCTACCTTAAAAATAATTCACCCTTACCATGAGTCAAAAGGGACTCGTAGCTCCTATAGATACTGCCCTATGTTCTTAAGGGAAACTAAAACTTTAACAAAATGCTAGGAGTAATCAGGGAAAATTTTAGAACAAAACAGAAGTTTCCATATCTTTGCTTAAAATTTCAACAATTTCAAAGGCCCTCTAAGATATTGGTTATTACGTATCAAGACTGACACTGCAAAGCTAGAAAGAGTCACCTAAAATCATCAGATAAAATAGGAAAATTGAGAGATAAGAAAGGCACCCCAGGGTGATGTGTTTGCTGCTGATGATAATTATGATGATATAATTGAGAGGAATAAAAGGAAAGGTGAACATGGGCTATTTTAGTAAGTTGCAGACACCAGTGTCCAACTGTGAATGACGCTGCTATTAGGACTCCCTTTGTTCCTGGCTCATTCTCCATGCAGCATCCGGAAGGATCAATTGAAAACCCAAGTCTGATCCTGCCACACTTCCCTTCCTTCCCCCTCCTCCAGCCAAGCCGGCCTTCCAGCTGCTCCTGGAACAGACAAGGCATTCCCAGCTCAGGGCCTTTGCACTGGGAGGCCCCTCAGCCTGGCCTCACTTCCTCAGATAGCTACATGACTTGCTCCCTCACTCCATTCAGTCTCTGCTCAAGCTGTTACCTCGAAGAAGCCTCTCCTCACCCCCACCGCCACCACTCTCTTACACTTTGCCTTGCTGTATTTTTCTTCATAACCATTATAACTACCTGATATTATATTATATATTTGGTTATTTGTGTGTATGTCTTCTCAACTAGATTGTAAGCTCCATGAAGCCAGGATTTTCTTGTGAGGCATCACTCACTCGTGAGTCCTGGCAGTAATGGAACAATGCCTGATGTGGAGTAAATGGTCAACACATATTTGTTAAATAAATAGATGAAAGAATAAATGATGTTACTTTTCAGCTTAAAACCCTCCAATGGCTTCCAATTACATTTGGAACAAAATCCAAACTCCTTCCCCACGATCTCGGCCCTGCCTATCTGTCCAATGGTGTTCTCTGCCCCACTTCCCTCTTCCTCCCCTGTGTCACCAACCCCCTTTCAGTTCTCATATAATACAGACTCAGGCCCTGTGCATTTGCTATTCCCCCACACCTGAGGTCCCTCCTAGCTTCTCTCTGAACTGTGGGCTCCTTCTGCTCATTCAGATTTCAGTTCATGTGTCATCTCCTCAGAGGGGCAGTCCTTGGACCCCTCACACCCAACCCTCTATCACTCTTTCTAGTGCTCACACTATAAAATTACACTGTTTATTTATGGGTTTGTTTTTTATTGCCTGTTTCCTCTGACTAGCAGGTAAGCTGTGCAAGGGCAGGGACCTTGTACATCTTATTTACTACAAGGTCTCAGTGGCCAGTGCATGTCTGATGTATAGAAGTCACTCTAAATATTTTTTGAACAAAAGAATGAATTTTAAAAATGGGTAGGAGAATCATAGATCCCATCAATGCAAGGAAATAGCAATGGTAGTTTTCAAATTTAAGTTGATTTACTTTTAATTGCTCATTTCTTCTTGAGGGAAACTGGGGTGTTTTAAGGATGACTTCCTGATTATTGTCCTTTTTGAGGCTAATAGCTCACATAACACCCAGGACCATCATAATATCCCTCTTGGTGTTTGTGTCAGAAACAACATGGTGCTCCTGGTCAATGTCTGGGGCATCAGGGCATTTATTATGTTTTCCTAAATTGCTTCACTTTTTTCATGACTGATCTTGGCTTAAAAGAGACTTCCAGTATTTCAGCTATAACAATTCTCACCTCTCCACCTCAGTGTATATTATGTAGTAAAAATAGGTAAGTATGTTGGAGAACGTTACAAAATGGAATAATCTATTGGAATTGGGAGAAATATAAATATATTAGACACCTTGCTTAAACATCAGCATCTGTGGCTAAAGCTAACCCAAATTAGAATTTCTCTTCAGTTATTCTCCAGATTTGATGATTTCCTTATTTATTAAACAATGATAAACTGGACCCTTTTTTGCTTAACATGCTTTCTTTTTCCTCAGTTTCTATGTAGAATTATGTGCAGTTCTCAATTTTTGTTTTCAATCTGTTGTCACTGGAAATGGCAGAGTGACCCAAGACTCAACAGATGTAATAAAGTCCATATCCTCTACTGTCTATGGGCACAGTGTCACATGGTGCCAGGGGTCATAAGAAGATGGGAAGGGGGTCAGAAACCTCGCAGGATAAAAAGGGCAGGGAGAAAGGCTTCAATGAGAAGCTGATTCTTCCTGTTAATTTCATTCTTATCTGTTGTCATATGACTCTGGTATTTTGATGTGGGATGTATATGGAGAGAGGAGCTGAACATAGGAGAGAATGTGTAATGGGCCATTTTCTCTTTCCTGAATATGCCTTGCTTAGAATGTTTATTTGATTGCAGCTGCAGAGACAATCATTGTCCTAACCCCATACTGTCAAGTGGGCAACCCAACATCGTAAAACTCCAATATCATGTGAGCCAGATCTGCCTTTGTTTTCTCTTGAACCTTCTCCAGAACCCAATTGGGCCATGGCTACTTAAAAATGGAAATTCCCTAAAAATTAATGGACCCTTTGTCAAGTCTTTGCAAACTGTAATTTTTACATGAAGCATGTGCCGTGTAAGTAGACCTATACTTGCTAGGGCATTTCACTATTCCTGAGGACTGGCTGAAGTTCTTGTGGACTGACTACTGGACAACCCGGGAGCTCTGTAAAACACAGCTTGACTATATTAACTTACATCTTCAGAACACCAAGTATCTTTACGGCAGGAAATAATAAAAGAGTTTTACTATGCATTGCCAGAAAGAGTACAAGGAAGCTTGGAAACTCGGATATGTTCTGACCTCATGTTTTAGGCAGGGGCAAGACGTATCTAATCCACCTGGAGCCTTGGTTTTCTGATTTGTCATTACTACCCAAATCTCAATTTACATCTTAAGTGAAGTTCACTGGGCCCTCACAACTCCATGTCCATGCAGCTCCTCAGACTGGAAGGGCACCCTTCCCTTCACCTCTTTGTTTCCCCTGTTCCTCTGAGAGTCACCTGTGGTCCCAGTTCACCTGGGGAGCTGCTGGACTCCAGGGCTCGTCAGCACCGTACAATTCCCTTTCTCAGGACACCAAGCACACTGGATTGGGACTGCTTCCTTGGTCGTCTGGTCCCCTGGAGGCAGGGACTGGTTTTTGTTTGTTTTTTATTTTTCGTTAATTCCCCATCAGTCGTGCCTCATAGAGTACCCAACCAAAAGAAAGTATGTAGAAAGTGTTTGTTGCGTGAATGAGTAAATTTGAAAATCAGGGACCTGGCGCAGTGAATCTTTAAGACCCTTGGAGTTCTATGGTTGAATGAGTCTGAAGGAACTTTGGGGAGAAGGAATTAATGCTAAAATCTATAGGGAAAGAAGATAGGAGGAACTTTCATTAATTCTGTTCTATTCCAACACTTGGATTTGTACTATACCATCAGGGTTTAGAGCAATCGCTCCTCCTCTACAGGCTTTGCTTCCATTTTCAGAGTTTACTAGAAGCTCTTTCACCTGAGGTGCATACCAAAGCTCTTTGGGATATGGTAGAATGCCAGTCACCAGGGGCAGGGGAAGGTTTGAGGACCTCTCACTGTCCTCTTCATCTCGATGCCTCATGGACATTTGAGAGAGGTGGAGATGCAAAGGCTGGAGAGAAGAGAGTGGCACAGGGTGGGGTGAGGAGTTTCCTGCTGCCTCTCTGGCCTTTAGCCAGGGATATAAGAGGCTCCCTTTGTGTTTGACAGAATACGCATGAGTGCTGTTTAGTATCCTGCCTTCAGTCACAGAAAGAGAATGTTCAAGTTAAAAAAGACCATAGCCTAATGAAGTCTAAACTTTAAAAATTTTAATGAAGTACATCTTTTGGTTTCAAAAATAAAATTATATGCAGAACTTCAATAAACTAGAGATATAAAATGACAGTGTTGAGATTGAAAGGGGAAGGGAGGAGTTTGCTTTGCTTAGGTTTCCTCTTCCTGTCTGTGCCATCCCTAAAAGATCCAGAAGTCCACCTTTTCCTTCCCTTTAAGTGTACAGACTTAGAGCTAGGGACAGGAATGTTAAATGCCCCGGCCAAGGTGCTTCAGGCAGTCTACAGAGAACAGCCAGTGTGCTCTCCTCATAATGTCTCCAAGAGACCTGTGCTATAGTTTGAATGTCCCTTCCAAAACTCATGTTTAATCTTAATACCCAATGTGGCAGTATTGAGAGGTGGAGCCTTTGAGAGGCTATGGACTACGAAATATTGAACGATGAAGGCTCTGCCTTCATGAGTGGATTATCCCACTCATGGATTAATGGATTAAAGAGTTAACGGATTAATGGATTATCATGGAAATGTGACTTGTGGCTTTATATGAAGAATAAGAGAGACTTGAGCATAGCATGTTAGCATGTTCAGCCCCCTCACCATATTATACCCTGTACCCACTTGGGACCCTTCAGAGAGTCCCCACTAGCAAGCCAGAAAGCTTTTACCAGATGCGCCCCTTTGACCTGGGACTTCCCAGCTTTCAGAACTGTTAAGAAATAAATTTTGTTTCTTATACATTACCCTGTGTCAGGTATTCTGTTATAAGCAACACAAAACAGACTAAGACAACCCAGATCCTAGCCGAAAGCTAACTGAGAAGCAGGCAGTACTGAATTCTCTGCTCTGGACAGTAGGGCTGCATGAGGATTTTAATGTTTCCAGTATGTCATTCTAACATCTCCCCTCAAATAAAGAAAAAAAAAATTTTACAAAGAAAACCTGATAGGACTTTAAGAGAAATCCCAGATTGCAACCTTTGTACAATCAGCAACAAATTGAAAACTTTGAATATTAATTAAATTAGTTAAACTAAATGAAATTTAAGGGGTCCAGATAGTAAAGTATGTTGAATGAAAATTGTCATTCCTTAATATTTGTTTTAGGGATTGAGATTTCCATATGCTGGGTTTTCCTAAGTCAAGCAATAACAGGGCCTTTACCTGTTCCAGAAGATGGAGGGGTGATAGATCCTGGGCTGTCGTCTTCAGGCTCCGAGACAGTGACAGTGGGGACTGTGTCAGGACTTGGCTTTAGACATATATCTTGCTTCTCAGGGGTCTTCTCTTGGGTAGTGGTTTCAACAGAAGGTTCTATTTCCGTCAGTGTGATTTTGACAGGGGTGGTGATCTGAGGAGCCCTGCGCTGTTCTTCAGAGAGATCATCTATGTATGGAGCAAATGTGGATTCTTCCAATAAATGGTCCTTGATGATTTTTCCCTCCACAGGAGCTGGTTTGTCAGGTTCACGGACTCCTTCAGGTTTAATTGAGATGTCAGTGTCTTTATTCTTAAAGTCCAAGTCTTTATCTTCCAGCTCGGGGTGATGTTGTTCTTGGTGCTTCACCTCCTCGGGTCTGGTTATGTCAATGTATTTATAGGCCTCTGCTTTCATCTGGTCCAGAGGGTCTGCTAAGATCTTGTTCACTTCCGTGGACTCTGCAGGAGTCATCTCTATTCCAGAATCAGAACTAAATAAGCCACGAGACTCTATCCCAGGCACATCTGGTAAGGAGGGGCCGGGTGTACCCAGCTCCTCAGGGCTCTCTGAAATGGTGACGTGGCCATTTTCCTTCTGAAGAATTCCAGTAAAATATGTAGAATCCTCCTGAGGTGGATAGCAGATGTCAGAAATGAGAGATGTGTAACACGATCCTTCCCCATCTTTTGATGTTGTTGAGAAGGTGTGGTCCATGGCACTGGAAACACCTGCCACACCTATGAATCAAAGCAGCAGCAGACAGTGAGTGGGTGCTTGGCGTCAGCTCTCTCTCTTGTCTAACCCACCACCCACCCCTGCCTGGTGAAGACATGACATCCTTTCTCCTTAAGCCCTCGGAGTTCCCTCGGAGCTCCCTCAGAGCACCAGCATGTTAAATTTCCTAATCTCCCCGATAGTCCATACTTGTGGTATTTTTCCAGTAACAGACCCCAGAGGCTCACATAAACTGCCAGGACCAGATAAGTTGGGGACAGATCCTATAAGACTAGGAAATTTATTTTCAACGTCTACCACCTCAACACACAGTGACTTGATCTTAGTATTATTAAAAAGAAACCCTCTTTGTATCTAAAGTATTAACAGCTCTTTAAGTAGAGGTGGAAATTAGGCTACCTCAGGATTGTAACTGCAACAATAGGATAGCTGACTGGGTACAGGAGCTGCTCTTGGAAATTCAATGGCTGGGAGGAGCCTCAAAGAACCCACCTGTCCAGTCCTTTCATTCATGGACTACTGATCCATCCAGTCTCTTTTTCAAGGTCCGCAGAGAAAGGACCTCCTAGCTTTGGGCCTCATTCCAATGTCATATCACCCTAATGGTGTGCTTCCCTGTTTATTTCATCAGTTTTCCCTCTTGTTTTGTTTTCCTCCTCTTTTACTCCTCTACTGCCCATTCATTGCCATCCAGTGATATTCAAAGTCACCCACTGGCAATTCCTTCATTCCACTGGTGGTGCTAAGGGTAAGACAGGTTTCCAAGTTTGAGTCTATAGAATATTTTCACCAGGCTCTAATTCTACTAATACACCAGCCATTTTTTATATTCATTAATAGTGGGCATAGGCCAGGTGCAGTGGCTCACGCCTGTAATTCCAGCACTTTGGGAGGCCGAGGCAGGCGGATCTCCTGAGGTCGGGAGTTCGTAGACCAGCCTGACAACATGGAGAAACTCCGTCTCTACTAAAAATACAAAATTAGCCAGGCGTGTTGG
The DNA here is from genome assembly GCF_000001405.40 of Homo sapiens. Taxonomy (NCBI): domain Eukaryota; kingdom Metazoa; phylum Chordata; class Mammalia; order Primates; family Hominidae; genus Homo; species Homo sapiens. Next base: position 59,747,477 of record NC_000014.9, read on the forward strand.
CGCATGCCTGTAATCCCAGCTACTCAGGAGGCTGATGCAGGAGAATTGCTTGAACCCAGGAGGAGGTTGCGGTAAGCTGAGATTGCGCCATTGCACTCCAGCCTGGGCAACAAGAGCAAAACTCCATCTCAAAAAAAACAAAAAAATAGTGAGCATAAAAGGAAAACCCTCCACTGTTTTACTTTGCTGTAAAATTCTACCAGAAGGTATGAAAACCAACCATACCAGAGCATACATTGAGGCGTCACTATATGCTAAGCAGTGGGATTTTTAATCTAATTTTTACAATTGTACAAATTAAGTCCCACACTCTCTACATCTACATACAAACACATTACACACACACATATACACAAACACACACACAGTACGTACAATATCAAAGGTCTTAAGACACACCTGAAGAATAGACTAGAGCAATAACTCATATAAAAGTCATCAAAACAGTGGCAGTAACAGGTCAATAGCTAACATGCGAGTGCTTGCTATGTGTCAGGCATTGTTCTAAACTTTTCATTAATATCAACTCATTTCATAATCAAAGCAATCCTAGAAGGTTGGCAATATTGTTAGGCTCATTTTACAGATGAGGAAACTGAGAAACAAAGGGGTTAAATAACTCACCTAAGATCTTACAGGCAGTAAGTGGTAGAACCAGGATTCACACCCAAGTAACCTGGAAGCCAAGAAACCTCCCCTAATGCGCTTTGCCCCGATTAAGTCAGTCTGTGAGGTTTTTTTTTTTTTTTTTTCCGGGAATATTTACTCAGCATTATTACAAACGAACTTAACTTTTGTCTTTTCCTAGCTTTCTTTTTGGTTGCACAAGCTATTGTTTCTCTACGGGCAGTGGAAAAGCACAAAGCCTCTTCCCTGTTCTAGCACTTTCCTACCTCAGCGGCTTTGCACTAGCTGTTTCCTTTTCTTGGAACTCTCTTCTCCTAGATACCTATATACCTAATTCTCTCACCCCCAAGTCTTTGCTCAAATGTCGCCGTCTTAAGAAAAATGACCCTAACCCTCCATCTCAAATTGCAACTTGCCTTCCCCTCCCCACTCCTGGCAATCCTATTCGCTACCCTTCTCTGATTTTTCTTTTTCCTGTATTGCTTATCTCCTTCTTAAATACTGTATAGTTAACATATGTTTTATGCATCGATTGTCTCCTCTTGCTAGGTGAGCTCACACACACAGCATGGTAAGCTCCATAAGGGCAGGAATTTCTGACTATTTTGCTCACCAATATAGGCACCTAAAACAGGGCCTGATGAATAGTAGGTACTCAATACATATTTGCAAAATAAAGGAAAGTGATATTTTTGTGGGGGCGGAGGACAGAGTCTTACTCTGTCGCCCAGGCTGGAGTGCAGTGGAGCGATCTTGGCTCACAGCAACCTCTGCCTCCCAGGTTCAAGCAATTCTCTTGCCTCAGCCTCCCGAATAGCTGAGATCACAGGCATGTGCCACCACACCCAGCTGATTTTTGTATTTTTAATAGAGACAGGGTTTTGTCATGTCGGCCAGATGGTCTCGAACTCCTGACCTCAGGTGATCCTCCCACCATGGCCTCCCCAGTGCTGGGATTACAGGCGTGAGCCACCACGCCGGGGCATCTATATATATATCTATATATATATATATATATATAGATATATCTATATCTATCTATCTATCTATCTATATCTATCTATATATCTATCTATATATCTATCTATATATATCTATATATATATCTATATATATCTATATATCTATATATATCTATATATATCTATATATCTATATATATCTATATATATATCTATATATATCTATATATATCTATATATATCTATATATATATCTATATATCTATATATATCTATATATATCTATATATATCTATATATATATCTATATATCTATATCTATATATATCTATATATATCTATATCTATATATATCTATATATCTATATATATCTATATCTATATATATCTATATATATCTAATCTATCTATATATCTATATATATCTATATATATCTATATATAGATATCTATATATTTATATATATCTATCTATATATATTTATATAGATATCTATATATAGATATATATATATAGATATTTATATATATATCTATCTATATATATTTATATAGATATCTATATATAGATATCTATATATATTTATATAGATATCTATATATATTTATATATCTATATATTTACATATATATCTATATATATCTATATATTTATATATCTATATATTTATATATATATCTATATGTATATTTATATATCTATATGTATATTTATATATATCTATATGTATATTTATATATATCTATATGTATATTTATATATATCTATATGTATATTTATATATATATCTATATGTATATTTATATATCTATATATATACACATATATATATTCCTCCTGGGAATCAACCTCTTCCTCCTTGGTTCAAATATATATATATTTATATGTTATATATATATTATATACATATATTATATATTATATACATATATATTATATACATATATATTATATATTATATTATATACATATATTATATATTATATTATATACATATATTATATATTATATATTATAGACATATATATTATATATTATATATTATATATAATATATATTATCTATAATATATAATATATATATTATAGATAATATATATTATATCTATAATATATAATACATATATTATATCTATAATATATAATATATATATTATATCTATAATATATATATTATATCTATAATATATAATATATATAATATCTATAATATATAATATATATAATATCTATAATATATAATATATAATATCTATAATATATAATATATTATATCTATAATATATATTATATCTATATATTATATCTATATATTATATATTATATCTATAATATATATATTATATGTATAATATATAATATATCTATAATATATAATATATCTATAATATATATATCTATAATATATAATATATCTATAATATATATATTATATCTATAATATATATAATATATCTATAATATATATAATATATCTATAATATATAATATATCTATAATATATATATTATATCTATAAATATAATATATATTATATCTATAAATATATATATTATATCTATAATATATAATATATATATTATATCTATAATATATAATATATATATTATATCTATAATATATAATATATATATTATATCTATATGTCTTTTTTTTTTTTTTTTTGAGACAGAGTCTTGCTCTGTCACCCAGGCTGGAGTGCAGTGTGGCATGATCTTGGCTCACTGCAGCCTCAACCTATAGGCTCAAAACATCCATCTAGTTCACCCTCCCAAGTAACCGGGACTACAGGCATGCACCAGCATGACTGGCTAATTTTGTTTTCATTTTTTCATAGAGATGTGGTCTCACTATGTTGCCCAGGCCTGTCTTGAACTCCTGGGCTCAAATGATCCTTCTGCCTTGGCCTCCCAAAGTGCTGGGATTACCGGCATTGAGTCACCTCACCTGACCAAGGAAAGTAATTTTGAAGTTTAGAATTAAGCATAAATATCAGTATTGTGTGAAAAGACAGGTTAGAAGATTCCCCCAAATTGCTAACGATACTTCATTTAGCAAGTGACTTAATTTTGTGAGCAACAGACTAGTTGAAATCTATACATCTCAGCTAGGCTTCTCATTATACCTTTTTTTTTTTTTTTTTTTTTTTGCATATGGCAGCCCCTCTTTTAAAGTTAGACCAAAAAATCTCAGTAACAAAAGGAATAATACTAAGGATTGTCCTTATTTCCTAAGCATAGATAGAACACCAAACAAAAAAACTATTAAATTTAAATCCATGGGTGCACACACACCTTTATCCTGAAGAATTATTAAAGCTTCTTTCATTATATGGGCTCAGCTTATAGGTAGACCTCATTGGAGGCAGGGAAATCAACCCGAGATAGATATTTCACTACAGATATTTGGATCCTAGGATTCTCTACCAGTTATTTGGAACTATTTGCAGGTGTTAATAAGTAATTATTCACCAGAAAGTGAGGAGAGAAGGGGTTTGTCCATATAAATGAATAGTCTGGAGAGGTGGGGAGTGAGAAAGGGAATCTGGAGAAGACATAGCAGGTGGTTTATTTGGTTTCCAAGGCTGTATCTCAGTCATTATCATCCAAATCTCACTCAATTCCCCCACTGCAAAGGCCACCACAGGGCTCCTGGCCCTGATTACCTATACTTGGCAAGTTGCATATCCCTCTAGACCGCTGTCTCCTACCACCGGGGTTATCTCACTAAACACAAGTGTCACTTGCTCAGTGCCCAGCCCCTGGGCTCTGCACTGCCTTGCTGGATAATCCTTAAACTCTGTAGCCTGGCATTTGAGACCATGTGAATTCCACCTGGTCACAGCCCTGTTGCCACCATTCCTCTCACCCTCCACTCCGGGCATACAAAGCCCTTCACAGTCTCACACTCACTTGACCAGCTTTTCTAGCCCTGTCTTCCACTCTCCAATTCAAATTCTAAGCTCCACTAATATAAACTACCCAACACTTCTTCAACACTGGATCCTTCCAACCTCCACATCCACACCTCTGCCCTTCAATCTCAAGCCATTAAACATAAGGAGCTTTAAATGTCACCATCTCCATGATGAATTTGCTGACTGTCTTAGTCCATTTAGGCGGTTGCAACAAAAAGACTATAAACTATGTAGATTATAGACGACAGAAATTTACTCTGGAGGCTGGGAGGTTCAAGATCAAGGTGCCAGTGGATTTAGTGTCTGGTGAGGGCCCACTTCCTACATAGCCATCTTTTTGCTGTAATTTCACATGGTAGAAAGGGTGAGGGATTCTCTCTGGGGCCACTTTTATAAGGTCACTAATTCCATTCATGAGAGCTCTGCCCTTGTAGCTTAATCACCTCCCAAAGGCCCGACTCCAGATATCATTGCCTTGGGGGTTAGCATTTTAGCATATGAATTTTGGGGCGGGGGTGGTGCACAAACATTCAGATCACAACACTGACCAATGCCTGCAGGACCTGATCCCATCCTATTGTCTCCCTCTTCATTCTCATAGCACTTAATTTATACTGCTCATGTAGCATGTATGACATACAGCTTATATATGTACATGTTACCTTCTTCTAACCTGTCAGCTCCTGGATTTTGATGCTTATGTCTGGCACACTATATTGCACATAGTAAGCATCCAATTCAAAATAAATATAAATAAATGGACTCTTCAATCCATTAACGAGTGGTCTTATTCTGTGCAGCTACTGAGAACAAGCTATGACTAATTAATGCAAATTACAAAGAGGACATTTTAAATCTGTCATGCAAAAAACAGTCTAAAATGTGAGTTATCCAACAATGAAATACAGCAAGAGTATTCTCAGAACAAGAGTATTCTGATCATGGTAGACACAGGCAGAGAGAGACCCAGTGTTTGTCTAGACAGAAACCAGTACTTTGTAGAAAGTTGGATGAGACAACTGCAGAATTCCCTTCCAACTTTCCATGATTTTTATACTAATTGGCTACCACTGTAGTTTGACACAACTTCCTTTTTACTTATTGCTTTCCTGTGTAACAGAATCAATATAATTTCCCCCAAGGTGATGCCTCTGAGAACAGGGGCTTCTCAGATGTACAGTAATAATTGAGGGAACAGAATCTAAATGACATCTATATTATTCTAAAAATAAAATATTATTAGAGAGGCTATAAATAGAATCAACAATTGGGAAGAAGTCCCATTCCTACCCTACTGGCTCTGTCTTGCTCAGAAAACCCAGTATGAAATTGGAAGGACCCCTTTACCACACTCTAAAAATACTGCCAGCTAGAGGAAGAGAAGAGGAACAAAGTTATTTGTGTAAATCACACATTTTATTTTTAAAACTTTTTTCACACATTTTAGATGGGATCGTATTAGAATCATCATAAAAACAAAGAATAATTCAAATACTTTGAATGTAGTTATGTCCCATTTTAAAAAATTGAGCTAAATACCCTAAAAAATCCTCAAGGTTCTAACTTATTGAATTTAAAAATATACATGCATGATATGGTGCCTATCAGTTAGAACTCTTGTAAACAGAAAGTCCTCCTAGACAGTAAATTATGTTGGAGCAGAGTCCTGTGGGGATTGTTGGAACTGAGAAGCAGAACTGAGCCTGAAGGCCCAGGAAAGCCAATTAATTCTTGTCAGCACTTCCTGCAGAGCTGGCAGATGTGGGACCTGAGAGAGCACAAGCCATTTGCCCCAGGTAGGAACTCACATTGCCATATTGTTAAATACAAATCCACTAAATTAAAGTGCCTTGTTCTAGACTAGACATTGCCACATAACCAAGGATTCTGTGGAATATCTGATTTCCTCAGATATTTCTCCACAGCTGTTTCCTGGACCATCTAGAGGTCTAATTCATGCAGAGGCAAATGTACCTTGAGAGTCGCTGTGTTAACCTACAGATGCCCTCTTGGGAGGTGGCTGTTCTGGGAAGACACAGCAAATTCAGTTACCTGGATGCATTTAAAATGGCATTGATTTTCAAAATTTCAATTTGTAATAACTTCAAAAAAGTACTTATAATAAAAACTGAAGGATTCACAGGCCACTATTTCTAGTCAAAACCTAAGTAGGAGAAGGATGAAAAGAAGCTGAAACTATTGCCATTAAATCCCAATATGTGTTGATAAAAGTGAAGCTTTTTAATCTACTGATTAAAAGAGGTCAGAAACACTCATCATGAGGCAGACAAATTCAGTAATCTCATAAAGGGTAGGTGTTTTATTTTATTTTAAAAATTCTCTGGCAACACTAAGGGATAGGATGACAACGATGACTTGCTGAAGATGATTCTACTTTTCTCAAGGAAAAGCTTTAATCCTAAAATTCTATTAATAGTTCTTAACGCTGACTCATCCTCACAGAATGGAGTTCATTCAATTGGTGATCCATAGCTTAGGCAGTTTGTATTCTGGCTCTACCACTAACTGGCAGTTGTGAGATGTTGGGTAAGTTAGCCTCTTAGAGCCTCGGTTAATCCATCTTTAAGATAAGGCAATAATAACCCCCACCTTACTGGGCTGCTAGGAGGACTAAATGAGATAATGCCCTTAGATCTTTGCCTGATACATCGAACACACTCAATAAATGAGAGCTGTTGATTTTCTTATTATCTTTATTTTTCAGGGAGAACACTACTCATCTCCAACATATTACCATCTGTTCGTTAGTTTCTTCCTTTATCTCTAATGACATCCTCTCATGGTAGAGTGGGCCAGAAGGAGTTTCATGTATCCAGCCCACACCCATGCTCTCTGGGGTCCACCTTAGATGCTAAGTCCCCAGAGTCCAAGGCCATGCTGTCTTCACAGCTCCACGAGCAGGTGGCGGTTCATTACGTACTTTAAATGGACATAGATCCTGTCATGAACGTGATGATGCCTGACTTGAGCACAAAAAGCTGAAATTTACCAAAACTACAGGCAGAAAAGGAATGAGAGGGTTAAGTGCCTACAGATGCCTTCTTCCTGTGGACGGAGCCTATTCTGACTCGCTAGGGTTGAGATAAGGGGCTTATGGCTTAAGGTGGTACTTCCACAACTCTATAAAGCTCCTCTTACTGCACTGAAATGGAGACATAGAAAATGCCAGAAAGAAAAAAAACAACAAATTATACAAAAAGGTTTTCTGAGAACAGAGATAGAAATGCTCCATTAGACAAACATCTGGCTTACCCTTCTCCCTGGAATTAGAGAAACAAAAATGCCAATTATTGTTTGAATAGAGCCAATATTAACAGGTATAGGGGACATTAGTCCTATTAAATTGAGAATTTTTTTTTAAAAAGTGTGGGCATAATAAAAAACTGTAATGACAGTGCAGAGAGAGGTGCATATTAAAATTCAAGAATTAAAAGCCAGAATCAATGACCAAAAGTAAATCTGCATTCACCTTTCCCAGAATCCCCTGCCCTGAGGCTGCCCATGTGATGGATAGCAGCAGCCTGCACAGAGGTTAGGCTGGGAGGCTTTTTCCTGAACACTCCTACTCATCTTTTCTAAGTGCTATGAAATCAGCAGGCCCACAGTCTGGAGGCTGTGACACATTTGACAACAGAGTCCTCCATGAGGGATGAATATGCCAGAGAGACTCTAGGAACCTCTATGTCACCTAGAAAACATTCTCCTTCTCAAATTAAGTGGACTGTGATTTAACATGACAAATGGGTACTGAGAAATCCAGGTACACCCATTTTTAATCAGTTTTATCTGTATGGTTAGTTAAGAGAGTTAAAAATAAAAAGAGCCTGCATTCTCTAGCAAAAGACTAAGTCAAAGCTGATGAACATGTTTGGGGGTTTAAGAATATGAGTAACTACTCTTTCCCCAACTCACTGCCTTATTTAAAGCTTGTCTGCCAGAATAATAGATTTCGCTTTTGGTTTTGCAAAATTAATGTTTAATAAAAATGATTCAGCAATTTGTTCTTTTCTCTATGAAGAGCCAAGATTCCCATTGCCTAGGATGTTTTCACTTTAGCAAAAAATTCTCTTAAAGGAAAAATAATTGCTTTAGCAGACAGACTAGGGCCTAAATGTTTTTCAGAGTCCTCAGTAGTGCCTTGGAAAGCATAAAGTTGCAGAGCACTAAGATGAAATGATGGTGAAAGTTCTGATGAGCTTGGAATCATGTTTTGGATTTTGTTTGTTTTTGCCCACTGTTTAAAGATGGAAATGTGGTTCTGTGGTCTTCTTTGAGAAACAATCTTTTTTAGGGAAATGGTGGAGGTGAATACATAATTTACTTAGATCTTAAGAAAAGGTGCCTAAAATCCTATATAGACATTCCTTTGCTGTTTTGAAGAATAGGTTTAGTGATATGTAATTCATATAGCATAAAATTCACTCTTTTAAAGTGTACAATTCAGAAGTGTTTGTATACTAATAGTTATTCAACCACCACCACTATCTTCTAATTCACCCAACTGATTTAAATGTATTCTACTCCCAATGTTTCCAATCAGAGAGGGCTCTAAATTTCCTTTACTATGTAAATAATTACCTTTGGAATAAAAACAAGGGCTATCCCCAAACATCTTTCTATTTATCATTTACTGATAGAATTTTGCTCTCTGATTTCCAAAGAGAAAAATAATTGTTCTTGGTCAGATTCCCTCAATGCTATGTATAACATGGATAATAGCAAAAAAATGTGTACTATAAATTTGTTTGCACTTTAATAGCTCTTTTGCTCCCCACCCCCCACACAGAATTATCTTTTGCTCCCCACCCCCGACACAGTCTCCATAATTCTTTTTTTTGTTTTTTTTTTTTTGTCTCTGTTGCCCAGGCTGGAGTGCAGTGGTACCATCATGACTCCTGCAGCCTTGACCTCCTGGGTTCAAGCGATTCTCCTGCCTCAGTCTCCCAGGTACCTGGGACTACAGGCATGAGCCACTGCATCTAGCTCTTTGTTTACAAAAAAATACTTTATTCTTATTATTTTTTGAGCAGATTTAAGTTCACAGCAAAATTGCAAGGAAGGCACAGAGATTTCCCATATGCCCCTGCCTCCACACATGCTGCTGTGGTCTGAATGTCTGTGTTCCCCTAAAATTCCTGTGTTAATATCCTAACCCCAAAGATGATAGTATTAGGAGATGGGACCTTTGGGAGGTGAGGAGATCATGAGGGAGGAGGCTGATATAGTTTGGCTGTGCCCCCACCCAAATCTCATCTTGAATTGTAGCTCCCATGATTCCCACATATTTGGGAGGGATCTGGTAGGAGATAATTGAAATATGTGGGCAGTTTCCCCCATACTGTTCTCATGGTAGTGAATACGTTTCATGAGATCTGATGGTTTTATAATGGGAAACCCCTTTTGCTTGGTTCTCATTCTCTCTTTGCTGGCTGCCACCATGTAAGACATCCTTTTGCTCTTCCTTCGTCTTCCGCCATGATTGTGAGGCCTTCCCAGCCATTTGGAACTGTGAGTCAATTAAACCTCTTTCCTTTATAAATTATCCAGTCTTGGGTATGTCTTTATTAGCAGTGTGAAAATGAACTAATACAGAGCCCTCATAAATGGGATTAGTGCCCTTGTAAAAGAGAGCCAAGGGAGCGCCTTTGTTTCTTCCACTACTTGAGGACGCAGAGAGGAGATGCCATCTATGAACCAGAAAATGGGCCCTCACCTGACACTGAATCTACCAGTGCCTTGATCTTGGACTTTCTAGACTCCAGAACTGTAAGAGATAAATGTTTGCTGCTTATAAGCCACCTAGTTTATGGTGTTTTGTTACAGCATCCCAAACTGACCAAGACACATAGTATATTTGTTACAACTGATGAATCTACAACAACATGTCATCACCCAAAGTCTGTAGTTTACATTAAAGTTTACTCTTGGTGGTGTACATTCTCTGGGTTTGAACAAAAGTATAATGACATATATACACCATAACAGTATTATATAGAATATTTCCACTTCTTCCAGATTCCTGTGTTCTGCCTATTCATCCTTTCCTCCTTCCTAACCCCAGTAACCACCGATCCTTTTACTGTCTACACAGTTTTGCCTAGTTCAAAATGTCATATATTTGGAATCACCCATAATTCTTTTTATAGCTTTCTTTCCATTCCATGGTTACCTCCCTAGACAGACACTTACCACCTTCTCTCAGGAGTACTGTGCTTGTTTCCTAAGTGTTCTCCAGCTTCCAGCCTCACCTCTTCTCACTCTGCACTACTCTGCACATGGCTGACATATTCATCTCCCCAAAGCAGCACTATTACCATGTCACTTCTCTATTTCAAAGCCTTCTGTGACCATCTTTGCCCATCCCTTGGCTTAGAATTCAGGATCCTCTTCAGCAGGGTCCCAGCCTGCCTTTAGGGTTTTATTTCTGAGACTGCACAAAAAACACACCTGCTCAAGCCCACAAACATACCATAAGATTTTCTACTTCTGTGCCTCTGCTCAAGCCCTTCTCCTCAATTGAAAGGCTCCTTCACTCTTCCCAAATCCAAATAACATCTCTGGTGAAGTCTGGCCTCCTCTAGGAAGTTTCTTCCTGTTACCCCACTCCTCAATGTTTTCTCCATCTCCACCCCAAGGGTCATGACCATTCATTTGGGACTCACTGGCTTTCCTGCCTTTGTTGTCAGTTGCCTTTTTCTATATACTTGTTAAGAAACATTTCATATACATCTTCATATCTTTGCACAGTCTGTGCAAAGCAATTACTGATTGGATTATTACCTCCATGTTGCCATCTGATTGAGTCACATTCAAGAGCCTTTGGAATAAGCTTTACCATCAATCATGTGTTAATTCAATGAAAAAAAATTTCTGAATGCTTACTATGTGCAAAGCACCAAAATGAAGGACATTCTCATATGTACATAGGCTTAGTAACCTAGTGTGCCCCCAAAGTCTACTACAAAATCATTGTTTGTAAATGGAAGTTCAGGTGCCCTTGGATGCAGTAGAAGTGATGCTGGGTGGGTTGCAGTATCTGCTGATGGATAATAATGGGAGCAGACAGGTCCCATATGGCACATCATATATCCTGATTCATCTTTTTGGTCAGGCATGGCATTGTCAGAAAAAAACAAAGAAGAAGGATTGGAAGAGTTTCTTTAGGTCATCTAATGCAAGGCCTTCCCAATCTTAGGATCTTATCCACAAGACTCAGAAGTGTCCATCTTCCAACCTTATTTTAAACATTTCCATTAATGTGATCTCATTGCTTGCTCTGCACACTTAGTAAATGTTGTAGTTAACAGCCTGGGTCCTGGGTTCAAATGCATGGCTTGGAATACCGACTCCCCCATTTACAAGCTGTGTGACCCTGGACCGATTACCTAATATCTTTGTGCTTCTGTCTCATCTGTTTATAATAATAGCCATTTCAAAGAATTATTCTGAAGACTAAATGAGATAGTAGAATCAAAGCACTGAAAGTCATACATGACACTTATTAAGGGCTCATTATTATTTTTAAAATTGAACCCCCAAATATCTCACTGTTGCTTCCAGGCTTTAGTCCCGGTTTCGTCTTCATCTATTAGTGAAAACAGACACCTCAACAAATAATTAGAAAACAATACAGCACATAAGGGGAAGTTCCCCTAATATATAAAGAGTTCCTAGAAATCAGGAATAAAAAGACTATTGCTTCATTAAAAAAAAAAACAGAGAATATAAACAAACACTTTGCATGGAAAAAGATGTATGACCCTGGAACATAAAAATGCAAATTGAAAAATCCCTGAAATGACATTTCTTCCTTATCAGTTTGAAAAAAATTCAAAAGAGTTTGGCAACACAGTCTTTAGTGAGGCTGGAGGGCAACAGGCATTCTCACACTAGGAGGAGGCTGGGAGGAGTACAATACGCCATAACCCCAATGGGAGGCAATTTGGGAATTCCTATCCAGATTACAAATGTATTTGCTCTTGGAACCAGCAACCTTCTTACAGGAATTAGCCCATAGACACACTTGCACATGTACAAAATGAATACATAAAAGGTCATACGTTATAGCATAAGTTGAAAAAAAATTGGAATCAAATATCCATCAACAAAGCCTAGCTAAACAATGTATTGCTATACATAGAATACTATGTAGCTGTACAAGAGTGAAGACAATCTCCATTATTGAAGATTTCCAGATAAATATTAAGTGAAAAAGTAAGTTGCAGAATATGTGTGTATAGACTTATAGTTATAGATATCTAGATGCAGATATATAGAATACTAACTCTCATGTAAGAAAAAGAGGAATAAGAATATATGTTTGTATTGTTCATATCTGCATAAAGAAAACACTGAGAGAGTATACAAGAAACCAATTCTTAACCATGGAGGGTGGGATAGGAGACCAGAAGTGGAAGGGAGATTTTTTCACTGTGTACACTTCTTTTTAAAAATTATTTTCCTTTTTCAACCAAATGAATGTATTACTCTTTAAAACTTTAATTTCATTTAAAAACAAAGAAAAAGAAAACAATTTAGGATGATAGTAAGAGTGTTGCACAAACTATGATGGGAACCCCCAGCCCAGCTTCCTTCTTCCACATGACAGACTTTCAAACATTTGAAGACAGCTATGGCCTCTCTTAGGTTCTCATCTTTCAGGTTAGAACCTTCTTCATCCTCTTCTTCACGTTTTGTTTTCCCTGCACTGTGAGCTCATAGGAAACATGGACTGCACAACGTGCTTCACTTTTCTCTGGCGCTAAGCACATCCCTGGCACCTAGATTTTTGTTTGGTAAGTACTTATGGAACACATCAATGAATATGTTTCCAGACTCATCGTGCTAGTTCCAACCAGAGAATACACTGTAGTTCATCCTGGTCCCTCTAAAATCTGACCTGGACCTAATGATACAAAATGAGTCAGAGGGACAATAATGATACAGAGGGGCAGTGAGACTATTTCCCCTCCTAGTTCTGAGTCCCTTGACTTACATTTCCTATTTTTATTCACAGATTTTTATAGCCGCTGCCCACACTATTAGCTATGTTGCATTTGTGGCCAACTAAAACATGCCGGTACATAAGTTGTCAGTTTTTTTAAACATCTGCATCATTTCAAAATACAGTCTTAGCCTCTGCACTGGGTGTATCTCATAAATTTGAAAGACATTAAAGTCAGAAGCAAAGAATTTTCATGCTAATTGTCTTAGACCCTGATATGGTTTGGCTGTGTCCCCACCCAAATCTCACCTTGAATTGTAACAATCCCCACGTGTCAAGGGCAGGGCCAGGTGGAGATAATTAAATCATGGGGGCGGTTTCCCCCGTACTGTTCTCGTGGTAATGAATAAGTCTCATGAGATCTGATGGTTTTATAAGGGGCTTTCCCCATTTTGCTCAGTCCTTCTCTTGCCTGCTACCATGTAAGATGTGACTTTGCTCCTCATTTGCCTTCTGCTATGATTGTGAGGCCTCTCCAGCCACGTGGAACTGTGAATCAATTAAATCTCTTTCCTTTATAAATTATCCAGTCTCAGGTATGTCCTTATTAGCAGCCAGAGAACAGACTAATACATCTATCATTCAAAACAGACTGAAGAAGACCCTAGAAAGGGAATTTACCACAGTCTGGAATAATCCACAAGATCAAGCTAAAGCCAGAGTTGGAATTTCTCAACAGAATCTGTTTTATTAAGGGAAATTTATGGCCACACAGCACAGGACCATCCCTTGTAGAGGTACAGCCAGCCCATACCATGTCTTGGTAAAAAAGAAAGGTGCTCTTCCTCTGGTGGTCACAGACCTGTGCCAGAGGCCTGCATCCTCTGCTGAAAGTCTTGGATTTTGTGCCAGTGTTGGGAATTGAACATGCGTCTCTGGGACCTAAAGCAACATCATGGAGAGTGGTATCCTTTGGGAAGCACACAGAGCAAGCAAATGAGGATGACAACTAAGCGGTAATGCTGTTAGGAACACGACATGGCAGACAATGTGGTGTGATGTGGTATGTGGTGTGGTATGGCATGCCGTGGTGTGGCATGACATGGTATGCAGTAGGGTGTGTGTGCTGTGCTGTGGCAAGACGTGACAGGGAGCATGGGATGATGCAGCAGGGCATGGCATAGTGTGTGGTGTGGTATGCTTCATGGTTACAGCATTCCATCGTAGAAAAATCACAGGCATCAGAGTCCTGGAATTGGACATCCCCATTGAATTACTGGCCTGGGGTTGGACATCCCCATCAAATCAGTGACCTTTAATAAGTCATTAAACTTATAGGGAGGCCCAGTTTCCTCACTTGCAAAAGGAGGATAATAACAACTAACATTTAAAATATATGCTCACTATGTGCTAAATGAGATCATTAAATAGATGATCTCATTTCATGCTTTAACAGTCTATAAGACCTTTTGTTTAACCACACTCATATTATTGATGAGGAAACTGAAGCTTAGAGAGGTTAAGGAACTTGTTATTAGGAAGACAGCCAGAAGTGGCAGAAGCAGAACTCAGATTTAGGGCAATATGACTCCAAAGCTGATGCTATCAGCACTATTCTTGGAATTGTCGTGATGATTAAAGGAGACTTAACGGTTTGTGGCAGGCTTCTTAAGCTAAACTAGATGGATCTAAATTTGCTGTCACATCACAACTAATGAAGCAGTAAAGTAGAAAGAATCTCTGCTCAAGTTAATTCAATAGCTGATCAATGTTCATCTCTTATAAAAATTGTTAAGGGATTGTGTCAAGAAAGTGTGTGTAAAACATGTTTTTCTGAGTTCAAAAACTCATGGGCTGAACACCTTTTTTGAGGTACTTGTGCAAAGGACAATGTTTTTATTTTGAAATGTAATTAACATTAGCTACTATTTTGCCTTTTAACAGAGTATGCCTTGCCTTCTTGTTCAAGTTTTCAAAATCTAACTCACATGTTCTGCTGGTCATGAGACATTTGAAATTTACTTTTGTGTTTTGAGCACTCCTCATTACAAACATAATCTCATGTTGGAATGCAATTTATAAAAATAGAAAGATGTGAATAACATCTTGGGACAAATAGCATAAACCTGGAATTCAGGACATATCATTTGGTAGACTCAAAGGCAAACACTTTGATTTAACTAACTCTCTCTCTCTCCCCGTGTACTCAAAATCAGAATAGAGTATAAAAGTTATTATACTGAGTGCACAGAAGATGTGCCCCAGAGGTACCCATACAAATCAAGGAAAATGACAAGAAAGATTAATGTCCTTTATCAACAGCAGTATTCATTTTGCTCCTCCGAGCTATCGCATCTATAAGACGAGGTAAACTCTGTGTTTAAAGCAAGACAATAATTCAGCTGTTGATGAGCCAGAGTTTGGGAATATTGATCCAAGTGACTCTGAATGCTCAGTCAGGAAACTACATCAAGATTTATTTTCTTCTTTCTTTTCTTTTACCTCCAGGAAGAAAAAGGCCAATAAATTACATGCAATAAATTTAAAATATGCACAATTCATAACAATAACACAATTTTCTTTCTTTTTTTTTTTTTTTTTTTGAGACAGAGTCTCGCCCTGTTGCCCAGGCTGGAGTGCAGTGGCACGATCTCGGCTCACTGCAAGCTCCGCCTCCCAGGTTCATGCCATTCTCCTGCCTCAGCCTCCTGAGTACCTGGGACTACAGGCACCTCCCACGACGCCCGGCTAATTTTTGTATTTTTAGTAGAGATGGGGTTTCACTGTGTTAGCCAGGAAGGTCTCAATCTCCTGACCTCGTGATCCACCTGCCTCGGCCTCCCAAAGTGCTGGGATTACAGGCATGAGCCACCGCGTGCAGCCAACCTTAACACAAAATTTTAATCAACTGTACATTCTAAGGAATAGTTAAAATACTACATTCTCCTGGTACAACCTACCTAGGTGATGACCAAAAAAATACATTGTTTTTAGGAATCTGGAGAATAGTTGCTATTGTGAGGAAAGTGAGACTTGCACTGGGGCTTTGAAAATACGTGTGATTTTTGACAGGCAGAGGGAAATAGTAGGAAGCCATTTTAGGGGCAGAACTAATAGCAAAACCAAAGGTGAAGTAATGAGTGGGAAGGAATCCGTACACAAATATGAGAGCTTATGGAGCCATTGTAACTCAGGCCAGAGGGAGTGGTGAGGGTTATGGAGCCACTGTGAGGGTATTAGAAAGGTGTAGGAAACAAGGATCCAGTGACTGTTTTAGAGCATAGAAGTGACTGGGAACAAGCAGTCCAAAAACAACTTTCCAAAATGATAGCATTCAGGTTTGGGGGTTATATCAAATGCATTTGTGAAGTGCTACTTTTTTTTTTTTTTGAGATGGAGTTTCGCTCTTGTTGTCCAGGCTGGAATGCAATGGCGCAACCTCGGCTCACTGCAACCTCCGCCTCCTAGGTTCAAGCAGTTCTCCTGCCTCAGCCTCCCTTGTAGCTGGGATTACAGGCGCCTGCTACCATGCCCAACTAATTTTTTGTATATTTAGTAGAGACGGGGTTTCACTATGTTGGCCAGGGTGGTCTCGAACTCCTGACCTCTGGCAATCCACCCACCTCGGCCTCCCAAAGTGCTGGGATTACAGGTGTGAGCCATCGCGCCCAGCCGTGAAATTTTAAAAATTGCAAATAATCACTATAACATTTTTTAAAACTAGAAGTACATAAGTTTAAGAGAAAAATTCCCTATTTCTACCCCATTCCTCAGGAAACAACAACAGATATTATTTGGAGAGTTGTAGACATTTTGTTATCTTTTATATGAATGGGATAATTATCTTCATAATTTGCTTTCTACCCCCTACACTGTACCAGGGCCATACTTACATTTCAGTATATAAGGATCTACCTTATATTTTTAACAGTCAGTATTCCATGAAACGAATGTTCTACAATTCATTTAAGCATTCCTCTTTATGTTGTCAGCAATTCTTTTGCTATTCTAAACACTGCTGCTATGAACATCTTTTGAGTACATGATTTTTTGAAGTGATCATTGAAGTCCAGAGACGTAAAATATTTTAAAATGTCTTTTAACTTCATTTTTTACTTTGCAGTATTTTAAAATTGCCTCGTAAAATGCTGTTCTTTGTGTTAAACTGGAAGAATTAGGAGAAAAAAAAAACAAAGAAGGAGTAGGATTCAATAATGCAAAGACTAAGATAAAAAGAGGTTCAAGCAGATACTCTGAAAAAATAGTGCATTTAAGTATAGCCTGGAGCTCTAGGCTTCCCAGTAGGGTGACCTTTAAAGAGACTGGAAAAGATGAGTTCAAACAAAAGTCCTTTTGCTGTAGAAGTGCCTGGTTATGGAAGTTTCTCAGACCTGAAGAGATTTAAGCTCCATCTTGAAGGATGTGGAGAATTTATACAGGCTAAAGAATAGGTAATGAATTTCCAAGGACAGAAATGTTGATGCTTTGATGTTCAGCCAAACAAATTCAGATAGTTATTTGATTTCTATATATTCCATCTAAACTTTGGATACTAGCTTACAGTCATCCTTTTTGAATAGTCTGAAATGAATCTGTGATGTTTGAAGGCAAAATAGACATCATAAACAAGCTAGTATGTGAATAGTTAAAATGGTCTAGGTAAAACCATAAATAAATAAGAGCTTGCAAAAGATACTGCATTTCTTTGTTCTGTAAGATTTTATAAAACGTAAGCAGAAACCAAAACCAAATGTGTTCTGGAAAGGAACCAGCAACCAATTACTGTGTCAATAATTCAGTATAAGTATTAAATGCTCATGGTTTTTTTTTTTTTAAACTCCTAAAAATAATCTGTAAGACATTATCTCCAACATCTGGTGTTTGGCGTCCTCTAATCATGACTCCTAAAGATTGTGCTTTGTACTAGTTAAGGACTGAATGAACAGATTGGGCCACAAACAAAAGTCAGTTGCATTTGATGCTTTAAAAGAAAAAAACTTGGCTGGGCATGGTGGCTCACGCCTGTAATCCCAGCACTTTGGGAGGCCTAGGCGGGTGGATCACCTGAGGTCAGGGGTTCAAGATCAGCCTGGCCAATATGGTGAAACCCAGTCTCTACTAAAAATACAAAAATTAGTCGGGCTTGGTGGTACACACTTGTAGTCCCAGCTACTTGGGAGGCTGAGGCAGGACTATTGCTTGAACCCGGGAGGCAGACATTGCAGTGAGTGGAGATCATGCCAATGCACTCCAGCCTGGGTGACAGAGTGAGACGCTGTCAAAAAAAAAAAATTCATTAACAATTACCTAGAATTTAATCTGTGCCTCAACACAAGGTAGTTTTCGAAATAAATGCTTACTGAAAAGAGCAGCTGGATAGAAAACAGAGAATTAAATTTTCCTGTCCTAAGTGTGTAGAAACAGGCCAGAGTCAAGGTATACTTTCTATTTTACCTTTGTTTTTATTATTTTTGCCCCAAACTCATATATATTGTTCAACGTATTATTTTCTACTTACCTGTAAGTTGGTAAGGTAGCTGCTCTTATATCTGGGGAAGAAACTAGGGGTTCAAATAGAGCTATCCAGTTACCTCCTAGCTTCTGGTTGTTTATCAGATGACCCCATGATAAGGTTTAAGAGTATTTTTAAAGTGAAAATGCTTCAGATTTCTTCCTTGAATGGCAAGATAACAGTTTCAATATTATTTCTTAGCATATTTTTATATGCTGTATATGGATCTTTTCTTCTGGACTAGAAGAAACGGAAGGAAAGAGTGTTGAATACCTGCTATGTGCCAGTCACCATGCTCGGTGCTTAAAGTCTCAGTCATGCCAATAAGTAAATAAGTGGAAATCCTAAAGTAGATATTTGCTAACATTATGAGAATTGTGAAGACAAGACAAATATAATAATGATAAAACAAACTTGATAGTTTCAGTGTTTAGTTATTTAACTCCACCCATCCCAGTATATCGGGCACTGAGCACCTACTATGTGGTAGGTACTTATTCTAGTTTCTGGGGATTTAACAATGAATGAAACAGATAAATAGTCTCTGGTCCCATGGAGGACAGAACCAAACAACAACAACAAAAAAACATAATTATGCAGGCATAGCAGAGCCTGCTAAATTGTCCCCCAGTGTCTGTCCTGCCTTTCTTCCCTTTAGTAAGTCCTCTCCCCACTCTTGCTACCTTCCCTGCCAAGGAATTTTAGCATATGGTCACCCAGCTGAAGACCAGGCTTCCTAGCCTTCCCCTAGGTGTGGACATGGACTATGTTTTGAATGAAAGTAATATGTGTTGCTTCTGGATCACATGCTTAAAGAAGAAACTGGTTGCCCTTCAGTCTTTCTTTACCCTCCCCATGAGCTAAACTGTGAACATGGTCTTGTTGAACCAGCTCTAACAATGCAGATGAAGGCAATACCCAAAGGGGTGATGAGCAGAAGGAATATGGAGCCCTGAATGATCTCCTGGTACAGACACTTACCTGACCGCTCACCTACCTCTGAACTGATAAATCAGAGAGAAACTTTTACTTGCTTGAGCCATTCTATTTTTGCACTTCTTTGTTATGGCAGCTTAGCCTATACCCTAACCAATACAGCATGCAAATAAAACGACTGAGAATTACAAGTTATCTGAAGAAAACAAGTAGACAGCAGAAAGAATAAAAAGCTATCAGTGGAGAGGGGTGGGTTACTTTAGATAAGATGCTCAGGCCTCTATAAGGAGGTGACATTTAAACTGAGACCTAAAGGATAAAAAGAGGGAATATGCAACTTTTAAAATTTCCCTATGGTGCTTTCCTTTAGTTCTTTCTCCCTTCCAATGTTTTCATTGCTTTGTTCTTCTTACCCTTGCTATGGGCCAGAGTGCAAATACTATACACTTGCATAACAGCCCTAGCATAGTATCTGATCGCTCTGAATCTGCCACAGCTGTTGCCTTTATGTAAAAAGCTACATACATCAGTTAACCAGCCAGTGACAATCGTACTGAACACTGGTTTACCTTGCATTATAGTCACACTATCTGTCAGTGACTACTTGATATATTAGATGAATGAAGTTAAATAACAACACTGAAAACTATCAAGTTTGTTATATTGTTATTAGGTTTGGCTTGTTTTCATAATTCTTATGGCATTACCAAATGTCTACTTTAGAATTTCCACTTATTTACTAATTGATATGATTGAAATTGGGAGATACTTGAGGGAAAGAATGGTCCTATTATCTCTGTATTCCTAGCACAGTACCTAGCACTTAATAAGAGTTCAATACATTTTATTGAATGAGCACATTTACAAAGTACAACTTGATAAGTGTTTTTTAAAAAATTCCCTATAAATGACATTATCTGGTTATAGACTTTTCTTTGGCAACACAAAGACAGGAATTTGTTATCTTTTAAGATAGCTCTTCTAAGGATGTGGTAATGATCCAGTGACCGAAATCAGGATTTAGATACTCTTCTCTGCCCTTGTTTGGGCCAGGCAACTGGAGGTAACTGGGGTGTGACTCTACTCCTAGAATGTTGAATGCATCCTGGCTCTTGATCTGGTCGTTGCTACCACAGAGCCCTGGATTGTGTGTAGAAGGCTAAACGTCCTCTGCACCTTCACTCCCCACTCCAGTTTCTACCCTATCAATGACTCAGGGTTGGAAAGAGGGGAGGCTTAGCCCTGGGATAACCTTATTAGAATCTTGCCACTAACATGCTAATATGGTTCTGTTCTTTTCGTTTTATTTAACTCCATGTGTCTCGCTGTTAAAAAAAAATTATACTGGCTAATACTAAGGATGACAATAGCTACATTTATTTAACATTTCTATATGCTAAGCACTCTGCTAATAGCAGAGTATATGAGTTAACTCATTTAATCTTTAAAATGACCCTATAAGACAGGCAATATTATTCCCATTTTGTAGTTGAGGAAATTGAGAATTAGAGAAAAGTCAGAGACTTGAACAAGGTATTACTTTTCTAGGTGACCAATCACCTCAGGTTGCCCAGGACCAAAGGATTCTGTAGGATGTAGGACTTTCAGTGCTTAAACTGGGAGTATCCTGGACAAAGTAGGATGAGTTAGTCATCCTATAAGTAGCTGAAGAAGAATTCAAGACTACGTCATTGAATTCTAAAGCAGTTGCTCTTAATCATTATGTTATACTGCTTGATTTTTAAAAAAGTGTTCATTACTAAAAAGAATGAAAGTTCTCTCTAGGGCATCTAGTAAATGTTAACTGAAAAGTATGATAGAAAGTCTTTTACATGAGGTCATGTTATTCTGCATTGCAATTTCTGTTAGGGTACTTTTCAAGATACTATTAGCATATGCACTTTGAGAGAGATGCTTTTTGGTTTGGCACCTGAATAAAGTATCAATGCATAGCAAGCATTTCTGAGGCTTAAAGTGCTAGTTACACAATATGAATATAAAAACATTTACCACTAAGCCTCATAATAAATGACATATATTTTTCATGGATACTTTCCCCAGCAATGAGTTGTTTTGCCTCTAGAATTCCAGAATAAATCCTGAGAACTATGTTGGAAACCCTGAAGGAGCAAACGCTGCTCCTTGTAAAACCAGACCCACAGCAGAAGAATCTGAGAAAGTAGAAAACTGAAATAGTCTTATAAGACCTGCCATGCAGATTTTGTTTTGCATTAAGAGTAAACTGAAACAGAATTAAGATAAAAAGGGTTATTTCTCTTTGCCTTTATCACGTAACAGTCTACCCAATTCCTGACAACATCAACTCACCTTGATTGCAAGGTGAGTAAGGCAGTCTGCTGCCCTCCAGGAGTTTACAGTACATTGTCGACAGCTGTGATGAAAGACAATGAACAAAAGATACAGGAAGGAGAAAGTGCTGTGAGAATACAAGTGAGGGAGTGTCTTTTCTTACTTGTGGGACAAGGAAGAATTTCCCAGAGGAACTGGTGTTTTATGGATGGATAGAATGGCAAAAGGAGATAAGGAACCCTACCTTTCCCAGGCAGAGAACATGGAATGAGCAAAGCCATGGGAAGTCTGACTCTGAAGAAAACCAGGACTGTCACGTATAGTTGACACTACATATGGGAACATAATAAAATAAATAAACCCAAAGCCAAAAAGAACATAGAACTTAGGGGCCAGGCGTGGTGGCTCATGCCTGTAATCCCAGCACTTTGGGAGGCCGAGGTGGGCAGATGACCTGAAGCCAGGAGTTTGAGACCAGCCTGGTCAACATGGCGAAACCCCGT
Organism: Homo sapiens; assembly: GCF_000001405.40. Taxonomy (NCBI): domain Eukaryota; kingdom Metazoa; phylum Chordata; class Mammalia; order Primates; family Hominidae; genus Homo; species Homo sapiens. The sequence goes on from NC_000014.9 coordinate 59,770,209, forward strand.
ATCTACTAAAAATACAAAAATTAGCTGGGCATGGTGCTGCACGCCTGTAATCCCAGCTACTTGGGAGGCTGAAGCAGGAGAATCGCTTGAACCTGGGAGGTAGAGGTTGCAGTGAGCCGAGATTGCACCATTGCACTCCAGCCTGGGGAACAAGAGTGAAACTCTGCCTCAAAAAAAAAAAAAAAAAAAAAAAAAAGAACATAGAACTTAGGATTTCAAAGACTAATGCATGATTTCATTTTGTTTAGAAATTTGGACTTTGGAAATGCATCAGATTTGCAGTAAGGCCAGTTCAGTATTCTCAGAACTCTACTCATTTCTGTGGTCCTTTCCCAGAATTTATCATTAAGAACCTTAATGTTATGGTAAAGCTTTATATATGTATTTATGTGTATACGTATTTTTGCATTGTTTATTTTCAAAACCCAGAAATTCATTGGAATTAATATTGATCAAATTAATTACAGGTATTCAAAAATGAAAATAAACATTTAGATTTTTCAAACCAGGCTCATTTCCCTGAAGGCTTTACTAACCTTAAATACTTTATTTAAGAATTCTGTTGGCCGGGCGCAATGGCTCATGCCTGTAATCCCAGCACTTTGGGAGGCCGAGGCAGGTGGATCACGAGGTCAATACCAACCTAGCCAAGATGGTGAAACCCCATCTCTACTAAAAATACAAAAAAATTAGCCAGGCATGGTGGCCGGTGTCTGCAATCCCAGCTATAAAGGAGGCTGAGGCAGAGAATTGCTTGAACCCAAGAGGCAGAGTTGCAGTGAGCCGATATGGCGCCACTGCACTCCAGCCTGGGCGACAGAGTGAGACTCCGTCTCAAAAAAAAAAAAAAAATTCTGTAATGGCATGAGCTTTCCTTTCTATATCAAAGTCATCCCTCATCAACATGATCTGTATTTTGAACATGATCTGTATTACCTCTCTGTAGCCATGATGGACTTGTGAGGGCCCATTTATATTTTCACTCCCAGTAGATATTTTGATCTCATATTTGCAAAACAGTTAGATCAGACCAAGAAGCTACCTGTGGCCATGGAATCAAATGAAATCTCAGGCCTCAACAGGGGTCATCAGCTGACTTCTAACCCAATGGGTTGACTAAGAATAAGCAGAGTTGCTGGTAAACCCATAAGTCTGAACTGTGTGCAAGAAGTGCAGGTGTTGCTTTTTAAGGTGTCAACTTGGCTTCTTAACTTTTACAGAACCAAAACTCAAGTGCATCTGTGAGTACCACAGAGGTATGTGAATCATAAGCTTCCATAAAATGCCATGCCTAAATTAAGTCTTATCATCAAATATTATTTATTAAACTCCCACATCCCTCATACACATGGCAATGTGTGAGGCACATTAGCAACAGAAAACTGTATCTTCAGCCATGAAAATACTTCATAATAAATGCCAAATGGCTGCTGGAAGTCATAAAGATATTCTTTCACCGAGGCTGTATCCACCATAAATTTCAAATAAGCTGTGGAATGGAGTAACTCCTCCCATATGGTGAAATCCTCACAGAAGTGCTTCATGTTCAATTATCCTTATCAGTAAATAGAAGGCTTTTATGTCATCCCAATTATGCTTCCTGTGGATATGAGACAGCATTCCCAGAAGAATTACTCATGTATGGATTCATGCCATTTTGCATTGTGCTTTTAAGAGTTATTAGACAATTAGATACGCAGTAAGAAGAAATATCTGCATTTAAATTGTAAAATAACCATTTTATTTTAGACTCCACTATACTATTCATTATTTATTGCTAGTGCCTTTTGTAATTACTTCTGATAATATGTACACTAAAAAGGTTAATAAAAGCTGAACAAATAGAACATCTGAAGACAATAGCACTGAAATAACTTTTTATATCTGGAGACTGAGAATACATGCTACTGACTGAAAAATAAAGTTTTTAGTTAATCAACTGGTGTTCTGTCTACAGAATATTTTAAAAATCTGTTTGTTTTTATATAATGTAATTGGCTTTTAAAAAACAAAAGGATATTAATCAACATGTTGTTTATACATCTTTTAGAAAGATCCTGAAATGATTTTAAATTTGAATGTATTATGTTATCTCCCATAGATTTTTTTTCTACTTCTTAGTCACTTTTCTTTACAAATGTTCTAATTATATTCCAATTCCATTGTTCAATTCATGTGCAAGTACATTTAACTGCCTTTAGTGTGCTCAGCATGCTATTAGGTAATTTGAGTGCTACAGAGGAAGCAAAAGAAGGTCAAAACAACAGTTTACATCTTTCCGGATTAAGTTACGTGACAGCCCAATTCCTTCCTCTTTCTCCCCAATATTAAAAAAAAAAAAACAGTGGAAATACAGTAAAAGGAAATTATTGCTCCTGGCTGATTCCTTAGCTAAAATGATGCTAAATCATAAAACTATGATGCATGTCTTTTAGGGTACTGCTTTTCTGCCTTAGGGAGAGCCTGGGCTGTAGAAAACACTCATTCCCCAAGATGAACGAGGCTCATAGTCTTTGTCCTTTATTGTTTAGCATCTAAGATTTTCAAACAAACACTTTAGGCAACCCATTAATAAAATCATGACTAGTCAAAAAAGGACTGGGTTTTTTTTTGGCCATTTTAGAGGTGGGAAATTTAGAGCTTAGAAAAAATTAAATGATGTAATACTTCTAAAATCCTGTGGCTGTGTCTCTAATCCCTGTGAATGAACTCCAGGTAAATGGCCCAGCCTGATAATAGCATCCTACTGTCCATCATTCTTTGCATTCTTTTAGATGAGGTTCAAATTATGCCTGGCTTATGCTGCATTCTGTCTCTAATGAACAAAGCTACAGTAAAACTGCGGAGCAATTAATTTCAGATGGTTTGCTATAAATTAATATAATGGCAAACTTGTTAATTAAGGATATAATTCCTTATCTTAAAGTAGTTCATTAAATATTTTATTTGAAGTAGCTTGTCATCTAAGAACCCCAAAGATAGTAAAATCTAAATCTATGAGACATATTTCAAAGGCTATTTGAACTCATTAGTTATGAAGTATTACCGTGCCCAGTTAGTTACATTAGAAAAAAAATTCTCATCATTTATTTCTTGTTATAGTGAAAATATTATCTTATTAAGTCTAATAAGGAAAAAACTGAAGATAGTACTATGTCATGTAATTCACTATTGTGGTTCCAAGAATAAATGAAGAAGTATTATATGTCTATTACATATCTTCTGATGACTTTAAAAAGTTAGTTTCTGATAAATAAATCAGCACAAAAAAGACAGAACTTATTTTTAACCACAGCAATATTTATTTACAGATGACAAATATTCTAATTTCCATTAAGCCTTTAAGTATTTTCTGAAAGCTCAATTTTCCATAATTGAGAATCAGATGCAGTCTTTCCATCAAGTTAAGAATCTCCTAAAGACAGTTTCCCCACCTGAGTTACCAACTCATAACTCTATATCTGAGATTTAATGGGGGAAAGAGCATGATGTTAAAAGTGTATGGGATACACTGCCTCTTTTCAATTATTCAAGAGCTGATTTATTTTGGCTTTTTTAAAGCTTACTGTCTTTCTTCTACCCTGGTTTCTATCATCTCATTAATTATCCTAAACAAGAGAAGATGAAAGAAAAAGACATGAGACAGAAAAAGAAATGAATATTCAACCCATCCTCTTCATTTTTGACCCTTTCAGAAAGGGAAACATAGTGACTAAAAGGAATATTTTAGATTATCTGGACATTTCATTCATATATGCCTTCTTTTCTCTCTTTCATGTGATTAGAGTTTATTATTTATCCATTATTGAAAAATTAGGATAAAACTGCATCCACGTTTGTGAAATAGAATGCCAGATTTACAAATTTGGGCAAGTATCCACATTATGGTAAAGAGTGTCTGTAGTGGACTGACAGTTCCACTTACATGAAAGAGATGCTTTAAGTAGCAGAATTAAAACACAGTGCAACTGCTGAGTTAATGATGGCACAGCTCTTTATTTTTCTATGGCAAAGAATGTGAATCTCTTACTAAACTGACTGTTTAACATGCTGAGTTTTTGTCCCCAAAACATTCTGCATTCCATTTGTAAGAACATGGACTCGACTCTGAATTAAAGTGTAAAAATGATTTATAATCTATACAACACTATAGATTATTATAATTTGGCTCTGAAGGGTTGGTTTCTTTCAACTTCTGCAGTCTCAGTTGTGTTGCCTGCTGTTCTAGCTGTGTCAACACGGGCAAAATTGAGAGCTGAAGTAATTAGGCAAATAATGCAGGCCAAAAATATGTCTGAAAGCTACTTGGCAATTTCACTCCACACTGATCAAAATCAGTTCAAAATAGTCCAGTTCTTTAATTTGCTTTCTCCTCCCTAAAAGCCTTAAATAAAAACACATGAAACCAATGAAATGTAAGTAATTTTCATTTGGAATCTCATATTTATATGTGTATTCTTAATGTTCCTTTCTAAATAAACCATTAACAGTGTGGATAAATCTAGTCCCAATAAGTCACCACTACTACAGTTGAGACTGAGGAGTGGTATGGTAAAATCAGCCAACAGCCAACTCACAACATCTCCCCAAGGAGACCACATGATCAGAACTCACTCTTCTGAACAATTTCTTGATGATTAAAGTACCGTCTTTTTCTCATTAAGTGAAGAGGCAAAAACATCCAAGTAACCACTTCTATAATGCTTGACTGAATTAACATTTCAGGGGAAAACTGTTGCAATAACAGACAGAAACCTCCTTTACATCTATGGCAGAGATGGCTTCCTAGCCACCTATTCATGCCACTCTGCCACATTATAAGGTATTACCGGGATGTAGTTGTCCAGCTAGGGAGTACATTTCCCAGCTCTCTTCTTAGATGGGGCCATGAAAACTGCTCTTGTAAAGGCGATAAGTTCCATCTCTAGACTGAGTTAAGAGGGGAGTATCTCAGACGTTTCTCATCTTCTGTCTACTGGCTGAATGTCACTGTCCCATAAAACCTTGAAAATCTCATATTAGAGATGGTACTAGAACCCAAACATGAAAGGACCCTGGGTCCCTGAATCACCTTTTGAGGCCAGCTGCCTGCTAATTAGGAACACAAATTCTAGACTTTATGTGAGAGTAAGAAATAAGCCTCTATTCTTTTTGAGGAATTATACATTTTTGACCTTTTTTTTTGTAGGAGCTAGAATTACTATAGCTTAGACAAATCCTATCCCAGTATTTTGAACACAATGCCTCTTTATTGGAAGCTTTCTTCACTGCATAATGGTGGTGATAGTTAATACTTATAAACTGCGTACCCTGTGTCATACACCGTCTAAATCCTCTACAAGTATCAGCTCACTCAATCCTTACAACAACCCCATGAGGCAGGTACTATTAATTATTCCCATTTAACAGATGAGAAAATTGAGGCATAGTGAGAGTAAGATCACATAGTAACAGAAATTGAACTGAAAAGCAAGATGATACATCTCCAGACCAAAAATAAAATACTCTGCACTCTGTATTTTATAAGTACATCTTCTATTCCATGTACATTTTAATACATTCTGCAGATAAGCAATAACAATTGTGGACTGGTCATCTGATTTGTTAAAAAGATCACTCTTTCATACAGCAGAAAGTTGTCTCTAATAACTGAAATAAAGAAGAGAAGCCATTTGAAGTCTAAACTGTTCCTCTCACAACCAGAAATAAGAAGTTTTAAATTAAGGGCAGCAGAGATCAATCCGTATAAATAATATCTAATAATTTAACAATGAAATAAAGATGATTCAATTAATGTCATATTATAATAAAGTTTAGGGCATTTCTAGCACTTTCCTAGTCATTTTCTATCACTTTTTACTCTGTAGTCAAAAGCCTATTGTATCTTTGAGAATAAATACCTTGTGCCAACATTATGATGTTGCTGAGCCATTGTCTTCTCTCCTTCTTCCTGACAAGGTCCATTGCTATGGGCCTTGAATGTGTCCCCCAAAGTTCATGTGTTGGAAACTGAAGTCCCAATGCATCAATGTTGGGAGCTGGGGCCTAGTAAGAGGTGGATTAGGTCATGAGGGCCATGCCTTCATGAAGGATTAATGTTATAGTGGAAGTGGGTTAGTTATTGTGATAGTGGGCTTGCTGTAAGAGCAACTTTGGCCCTATTTTGCTCTCTTGCTCTCTCATGCTCTTGTCCTTCTGCCTTCCACCATGCCATGATGCAGTAAAGCCTTCACCAAATGCAGGCCTCATCCTTGGACTTCCCAGCCTCTACAACTATAGAAAATAAATTTTTCTCTTTATAGGTTACCCAACCTGTGGCATTCTATTATAGCAACATGAAATGGGCTAAGACATTCAAAAATAGGAACTTTGTTCATCTTGAAAGTGTTTGGTGAGGAGATTTTTAGCCCTTCTCTCTATCTCATTTGTTCTCAACCAGAAGAGGTTTAGCCTTCCTCCGCTGTGTGGGGCCTTCCCCTTACCCTCTCTGATGCTCCTTTGGAGCTTCATGTCACTCCTTTCCTTCATCCAGTAGGAGGCTCTGCTGGGGACCAGATGAAAAATTTATTTCAGGAGGAGGCGTAAAAAACCTATTTTACCACAAGTCCAGGCTGTGCTTTCCAACTCAGTTTACCAGAAATAAAGCAACAATGTAGGTTTCAATCTGACTGGATTGGCTCAGAACTCAGAGGGACATGAGTGAGATTAATTGGTACTCTGAAACTCCCATAGATATTCTAAATTATTTATTGAGTTACAGCTCTTAAACTAAAAATAATCCACCTACCATCACTGAAAGGCTACAACAGGCAAGCGTTCATTACGGAGTGACATGTCCCTCACCTAGGAAGACTGAACATGTCAGCATGAGCAAATGTTGTCCTTCAGGCATGGAAATCTCAGTAATAAAATTCTGGCTGTACTGCAGAAGAGTAAGAGACTCTACCTTGTGCTGTCTTTGGTCCGATACCGTGTTATTGGAGAAGAGCAAATGGTGCACACCATGATCATAGGCATGATGATTCATCATCTTCTCTTGGTTTAGAAACATATTCTAAAATCCCTGGGAGTCTGGTTGCTTTTGTGTTTGACTGTTTGTCTTTCTTCTTTACCCACAGACTTTGTACCCCTCAACACTTCCTCTTCTCCCAATAATAGTTACTCATCAATTGGAAATAGACCAGATTATATTTGCTAAAGCTGCAACAAGGCTACACACATACCATTTTAGCAGTGTATCCTTTTAAGTGTGTGCTGATCATGAGTGGTACCTACTGCTGGCCCCTTCTTCCCTTTGGCCATTGACTTGGTGGCACTCCTTCCAAACAATCTCTTTCTGGAGTAACATGGAAGTTTATGATGGTTTCTTTGGTTCAGCTAAAGGAAGTTTTAATGCTGGGCCCTGAATCCCAGCCCCTTTGCCCCTTTTTTCAGGAGTTCCTTAGGACCAAAGGGATGTCCCTCCTTTCTTGGGGAAAGTGTGGATGTTTCATGAGATTGACACTGTATTTCCAGCAAAATATAATAACCTTTTCCCCTCTTTTTCTTTCTAGGTCTTTGGAAATCAAAAACGGAAGCAAGTCAAGACAAAACAACAACAACAACAACAACAACAAAAAAAAAAAACAAAACAACAAAACACACACACACACACACACAAAACACCCTAATATTTACTCTGTGTCTCTCCTGTGCCAAGTCAGGGTGGCATGATGCAGCCTCTACGTGTCTCTTTAGCTTCTTTTTGTACCACATTCACTCTTGTTCCCTGCATCCAAAGCACACTGTGTTGCTTTAAGTTCCCTGAATGTGCTGTTTTCTAATGAGCTTTTGCATGTGCTGTCCCTGCTTAAAAAAATGCTTTCCTTCCCCTTCCTCAGTACCTCCGTCTTATCCTCCAGATCTTTGCTCACTCATCACCTCCTGAAGGAAGGCTTCCTTGACTTCTTTGACCAGGTCATTACCTCTATCATGGCTTCTCTTGGCACCACATGGCTTTCAATCACAGTTGTAATTTTATATTTATTTTTGTGATTGTTTTAATTTCTCTCTAACTATATTGTATGCTTCATGACAGCAGGGACCATGTATGCTTTTTCTCATCATGGCATATTGTAAGCTATGTGTTGAATTAATGAATGGCTTTTGTTAATTCCCACAAAGTCCTGTGCTATAGATATTTTAAACTCTGTTTTCTAAGATAAAGAAGCACTATTTGCTGGGCTAAATGATTTGTCCAAGTCGCAGTAAGTGATAGAGCTTGAGACCATACCTATTCATGCATTCGTCCAATATTCATTGAGTGCTCACTGCATGCTTTGTTCTGTGCCAGACACTGGAATAAAACAAGTCATAGTTCTTTCAGGGCCTCTTAGTCTATTTGAGTGAGGGAAGTTTGTAAACAAATAAGTCAAGTAAAATATTACACAAGTGAAGATGTTTGTGCAGCATACAGCAGGCACACGGAGGAGAGGGTGGGCAGTTGCACTGAAAGGCAATGAATCCTAAAATACAAGCAAGTGCTTACCAAATAGACCAGTAATAAGGGAATTAGGGTGGAAGAAACCCCTGGGAGCAAAGGGATGGAAGAACATGAGAGTGAGGCCCCTGAGATCAAGCAAACAGACTGTAGGTGCAGGAACACAGGTTATGAGGCTGGAGAGGGAGAACAGGGTCAGGTTGGGGAGGACCTCATCTGCAATATAAGAACTTCGGATATCATGCTATAGCAATGGGGAGTCACCGAAGGGCTTTAATCAAGGGAGATCTGACCTGATTTCAGAAAAGTCACTCTGGAAGTGTGGTAGACAAGGAGCAGGGGAGTCTGGAAACTGGAAGATCAGAATAGGAGAGTACACAGCAGTGGTCCAGGGGAGCAGTAATAAGGACCAGGACCAGGGAAACAGTAATAAGGGCCCTTGCAGTGGGGATGGAGAGGAATAGATACAGGAGTTGTTCAAGAAAAAGAAACCAATAGGATCTGATACAGATTGAGTGTGAAAGCTGAGAGTGAGGGAGGAGTCTGGGGTAATCCCAGAGTTTAGGGCAAGGCCAACTGGGTGGATGGTAGTATAACTTTCTGTCATACGAAGGGGAGAAAGAGGTTTGAGAAGGTAGAAAATAAATTCTATTAATATTTAAGATCCCTTAAACTGCCTGGGAAACATACTCTAAATATGCTCACTGGGATAGAGAAATGAAAGTGAGAAACCTCAGTGTGATGTTGGCAGGTGGACCATGACCACACACAGGTAATGGGGAGATCCTGCAGAGGGGGAAGGCAGAATTCCAATGAACCAAATCTCCATTTCAGGTGTTGACCGAGGCGCAGGAGCCAGCAAAGGGGACAAGAGTCCCAACATTCTTATTCCAAGCAGTAGACAATGGAAAACGATTCCTAGCACGTGAGGAAAATCATACTCTCCTCCTGATACATTATATCCCTTTTCTGGGCATTTTCACGGCGTTTTGAAACACTTTCACCAGGCTGCTTAGTGATTCTGAGAATTTGCCTGACCCTCTTTTAGAGAACTTACTGCTTCCCTGGTCCTGGCCCAGCTCTCTGCATACACACTTAAATTGTCTATATGTTGCTTAGTTTTGAAATTATTGCTCATAACCTCATGGCTTTTCTTCCTCCCCCCACTTCCACCCTGCAGTCTCAGAGGAGACCATTAAGGCACAGGTATTAAATGATTTAGCAAGGATTATGTCACTAGTCAATAGCAGGGCAGGAAATTAAGCCCAGAATCATCGAGTTTCCCTTGCTACACTAAAGTTCTACCAGGACTTGAAAGAAAAATCATAGATCACTCAACACTAATTGGTATTTCCTGCACATTCTGGCCTTGATCCCTCATTTACCACTGTGCCAGGCACTGAGTAAGTGCTGAGGATAAAGGGTGAAAAGCCATGGTCCTTTTCCTAAGGAAACTCCCAGGCTAGTGGGAAGCTGAACTGGTGGAAAGTTAGAGGTCACTGTGATTTGTGCTGTAAAAGACATATTTTCGGTGCCACAAAGGGTAGAGAGGAGGTACTGAATTCCATCCTGAGGTTTATGGAGGGTTCTCAGGAAATACAATGCTTATACTGAAACCTAACCTTCCTAGTGTGTAAACATAGACATAAAAGCAAAGAAATTCAAATTAGTAAATGAGGGTATATGTCAAATATTAACAAAACTTAATATCATCTTGGATTTATATCCAATTGTCATGAAATTGAGAGGATGCTAGAGAAAAGAAAACCATTTAACAGAAGAAAGCATTACCTAATGGTGCCAACCATTCCGGAGGAAGTCAAAGCTGGTGGTTATCAAACTCAAGAAAAAATATGGAGCATAATCATTTTAAGTGAATTAAGAAGCTACAGAAAGCAAGAGCCAAGGTCTAGGGCAAATCTCAGATGTCACAGACTATTTTTGTTTTGTTTTGTTTTTCTTTTTTTTCCAATATAAGGCAACTTCATTTCTATTTGTTTCTTCTCATTGCTTCTCACAAATAAAGGACTGAGGAGGCTGTGGATTGCCACAACATAAGTTCATTTTGGTAGTAGTGAATCCAATTGTATCATAGAGAGCAAGGAAATATAGGAAGGTGCAGCAATATCATTAGTTCCACAAATATTTATTCACTGCATCTGCACCTTGTAACAGCAATGGATATGATCTTAGAAGTGGAGACGCCTGTCTGGGAAAGAGAGGAAGCCCCCCAAATTCTGATTCCATCTCCCCTCTCCCTACAGTACTATCACTGGATGCCACTCCAGGGCATGGCACCTGCATAGAAGGCATGTTTATCAGTATGTAATAACATGTAATAATTATATCATAATCATAAAGAGTCCTTTTACTTCCACCATCTTGTTTAGTACCCCAACAACCATGTGGAACTGGTGTCTTATCCCTGTTTTGCAGATAAGGAAATGGAAGTGTCTGGACCAAAAGTGGGCCTAGGATCCAAACCCAAGTCTCCCTGATGCCAGAGCCCATGCTCCCCATCACTCGGCCAGCTCCCTTCTGCTTGTTCACTGAACAAAAAACAGAGCAACACCTCTTGGGCCATTTTCTTTGTTTTAAAATAACTTTATTGTAGAATTTAATACTGTTATAGAAACAAAAATCTCCAAAGTGTCAGTCATTGACTGTTTATGTTCCACTTAGTGTTCTGTTCCAATTGTTCTTGCTGAATATGCATATATGAATGTGAATCTGTTCAGCAACAACAATTGGAACAGAACAGTAAGTGGAACATAAACTTAAAATATGGTTTGCCTAGCTCTAATTGGGATATAATTCTCAGTGTCTGCTATTTCTACTCAATGTTACTCCAAAACCCAGCCCCATGTTCTGGCATGGTTCACACCACTTGTCATTTTAATGGCCATAAATATTCCATTCTGGCCAATACTTTTTCCTTCCAAGTAATCATGAATAGTTTCCATGTACCCTTCTTCCCATATTTCCATTATTATTTGCCATTGAGATGTTTACAAATGATAAGAAATCCTAAAGTAACTACAACTTAAAATTTACTTTTCTTGTATATTGAATTCCCTGGGTATTTGATTTGATTAAAATTACAAAATTGCAAAAATATTAAAGTGAATAAGTTAGATAAGAATTACTTCAAAAATATATTACAGACAGCTTTTGAAATATTTCTGGAACAAAAGATAAACATTTCATGAAGATATGATCCTGTGACCTGTATGTTTGTGTGTCCCCAATGGTCATATGTTGAAATCCTAATTCCCAAGCGATGGTATGAGGAGGTAGGGCCTTTGGGAGGTGATGAGATCATGATAAAGGCAGCTTCATGAATGGGATTAGTGCCCTTTTAAAGAGACCACTGAGAGCTAGCTAGTCCCTTCCACAATGTGAGGATGCAGTGAAAAGGCACTGTCTATGAATCAGGAAATGGGTCCTCACCAGACACCAAATCTGCCTTGATCTTGACCTTCCCAGCCTCTGGATCTGCAAGAAATAAGTTTCTGTTGTTTATAAGCTATCTAGTTTATGGTATTTTGTTACAGAAGCCCAAACAGATTAAGACATAGGATAGAAGAGTACATAGACTCACAGAAAAGTGGGTCATGAAGGCATTGTTACTGGAAGATAGTCAACCAGCAACACTATCTAACAAAATCTGTTGGAGAAGGAGAAAATAGATTCACTTTTTAATCCTTGGTTTTGAACTTTTCTTTTACAGTGAAAAGTACCTGGGAGCAGAATTAAAGTTGAAAAGTTTAAATAACTTTCTGCCAATTTAGATAGTGCACTTTTCCCCTGGGTTGACAACGCCTGAAACATTTTAAAGCACCAATAAAACTTCACTGCACACAGCTGCAAGAATGGAAAGAAGTTAAGTCAGCTTTTTATCCCAAGTCTCTTACCTAATTAATTATTAAGAGCCAATAAAGAGCCAAAATGTAACTAAATGGATAGGGTAGAACAATGCTTGATAATGATTTTCTAAGAGGCTATAATGTTTTGTTTTTATAATCTAGGACCTGATTTATAGCTGCCCTATTGCTGCAAGAAAAGTAATGTACTTCACCAACATTTTTTTCAGGTAGCTGCTATATAATGTTACTGAATAGCAGCAGTTACGTGTTGGTGCAGTTTCTCTCTCTCTCTTTTTGAGAATGATTATTTAAAGTGCTACAGGAGGGCATTCAAGATGATTAGAGAAAAAGTCTACCATGCAGTCTATGTTGAGTGATCATTCTGTGGAGGCTGCAGGGGCCCTGACTATGTTGACTCCCCACGCTGTGCTAATAAGCACTTTGCACATTTTGCAGATATCATCCCATTTACTCCCCACAACCACCTCAGAAGGAAAGCTCAATCAATCTGATTTTACAGATGAAGAAAGCAAGACAGAAAAAAGGTTAGGAAAGCTGTCCAAGAACACTCAGTTAGTGGCTAAGTTTCTAATCAAATCTATATGTTGATCCCTATGTTGTGCTACACCCCTCTATGCCTATGTATATGGGTTTTTGGTTAGTTCATCACAAGTATCTCCCAGTTTCCACTGTATGTGCAATAAAATGGACAAGAATATAAACACCAAAATTTTGGGTGGGGTGGGGCGTAGAGAGGGAAGCAAGAAAGGTGCCCTGGTGGGGTTATACCTTATGAGAAAAGCAGTTGGAGTGGGGTTTGGATTACATTCATTCCTCAAGAGGCTGGGTGCTTAGGGAATAATATGTCAGCTGAATTTTGGAAGGGATGGAAGACAAAATAGCTGGGAAAGTGGAAACGTGGGAGACAGAAAGAGTAGGTGAGGTCAAAATTGTGTGACATGGGATTTGATTCCTCCACCACAGGCCCTCTGATTTTCAGCAAAGAGATTAAATTCACAAAGTGCTCTGGATGTTGGTATTCCTTGTCGAGAGCAGTGATGAGCGGCCTCTGGACTCAGAAATCAAAGATGCAATGGAAATAGTGAGAGCAAGCCTTCTGCTTTTCCCTAGAATAAGGGAGAAGGGAGTGGGGCCAGTGTTACCTGAATAGCACAGGGGTATCAGACACTGAGGGTTCCTTTCTTTGAGGATAACCCAAGGTAAAACAAAAACAATGAAGGGATGTTTTTCTCAACAGCTAGCAAAATGCACTATAGACCTGTATGAATTAAAAGTGTAGTATAAACAAAAAAAATTGGTAATAGAATTTTATAACCTTATAATTTTCCAATCTGGGGGCAAAAAAAAAAAAAAAAGGTAACTGGTGGTTTAAATGCACATATTTCTGATTTCCAGACAGGGGCTTGGATCCTTAGAAACACTTATTGGCTGTTTGTTATTTCTTCCTCTGCAGATTGACTCTTCATATCCTTTGCAAAGTTTCTATTAGGTCATTTGTCTTTTTTTATATTACTGTCTTGGAACTCATTATATATTTTTATTGTTAATCTTGTCTTTATGTTTTAAAAATCTTTCTATCACTGGCCAGGCGTGGTGGCTCATGCCTGTAATCCCAGCACTTTGGGAGGCCAAGGCAGGCGGATCACCTGAGGTTGGGAGTTCGAGACCAGCCTGATCAACATGGAGAAACCTCGTCTCTACTAAAAAAAATACAAAATTAGCCGGGCGTGGTGGCACATGCCTGTAATCCCAGCTACTAGGGAGGCTGAGGCAGGAGAATTGCTTGAACCTGGGAGGCGGAGGTTGTGGTGAGCCGAGATCGTGCCATTACACTCCAGCCGGGGCAACAAGAGCGAAACTCCGTCTCAGAAAAAAAAAAAAAAAAATTGTCCTATCATTTTTTCAACTTTAATTATTGCATCTATGGCTGTATGAAAGTTTTAGTTTGTATGTGGTCAAATCTACAGATTTTTGCTGTTTGTCTTTTGGGTTTGGGTACTGTAGGGAGATATTACTTTAATACTGTTGGAAAATACTTTGTCAATATGTTTTGGTATAGCCTTTTGGGAGGGAAATTCAGCAGTATTTCTTTTTCAGACTGAACATTCATTTTGTGAAATATGTTTTCTCTCTTTATTTGAATACTTTTGTAAAAGAAAACTATTTGCCATGTGCAAATTCATATTTTATGTTGTAGTTAAGTATAATAACTCTTGGTAGCTGAGGAGTATGTAATTAACGACACTTTTGCTTCTGTAATTACCAGGGCTTCTATTATAGGGAAGACAGGATGAAAAATAGGAGTGGAAGCAGGTAAACTTTTTGAACTTGTCAAGCTATGTAGTTTCACTTTTTGAATTGATACATTTTAATAACATAAAGGCTTCCTGAGCTTCTTGATAGCTTTGTATCTATCTAAATTGATCTGTTTGTCATATTTTATTTCCAATTTAACTTGTTTTTATAGATCCTACAACACTGTAGAGATGATACAGAGCTTACCTCACTGGATAAATCCCACAGTAGTTGCTTCAAATGGAGAGAGGTCTCTGTCTTACAACTGTAAATATCCTGGCTTGTGTTCCAAAAGGCTGGGTTTCAACTACTCCTAATGCTGCAGGTATCACCTTGGACACCTTTTCCATTCCCAAAATACTGTGTCTTCCAATCATTTATGTTAATCTAATTCATGAAACTCATCAGTGCTCAAGCTGTTTCATCTGAATTCTTCCTGCGTCATTGATTTTTAATTTTCTATTTTTTAAAAAGTCACATTTTGCATTATATGAGTTAATTTGAGTGCCTCATAATGTAAATACATTACTAAAACTCATAAGAAAAATTACAACAAAAATAAAACTTCCCAGATCTGAATGCCAAGGTAAATTTTGTCATCTGGTACTTTGTCTCTACCTAAATACATTTGTTTCTTTCCCATCTGTTTGGAAACTTATTTAAGCAAATTAACATTTCTCCCAGAATTAATCTGGCTTGCATATCAAATGGCAAATAGTTTTGCTTGAAGAAATCATACTTTATTATTTAGTATCCACCACACCCTCTATGCCATAACTATTGTTATTTGCATTAAACAGATTTTTAAAACTGCCACTGAAAAAGGTAAAACAACTTGCTTAAAGTCATATGGTTCTTAAGCAATGGAGCTGGAATTATATTTCCCCAGAGGCTGAGTGAATGAGCTTGCCTCACTCCACACCCCTGCCCTTTCCACCCTTCCATTCACCCATGAAGATTAATATGGTGTTATTATTTGACTCTGACTCCAGGATTAGAGTCCTCACTGTTCTCTCTTGAGAGAGTTTATCTCAGGAAGGCTTTAAAGGTTGAAACCCCAACAGTCACAAGACAATGGAGCCATCCATAAAAGCAGTTCCTTCTTCTTTCCAAGTCTCTGTGCTTTCTCATTTTGGCCACAAGGCACATAAATTCTCTCCTCCAATCAGAAAACAGGAGGGTATAGAAAGAAGCCACTTAGAGGTAGAAGAGCCCAACAATAGCTCATAGAAGTCAATGTCCCAGTGAGGACCACAGGCAGCATAGAGTAGAAGGAGGGACAAGCACCTTGCTAGACATTACTAAACCACCAAGGTGGTCCAGCTGCAAACCTACCTCAAACAGAAGTCCATGGAAACAGCAGAGGTTTTGCAGTCAGATAGGCCTAGGTTTGAATTCATGTGCCACTATTTACTATTACGTGAGTTTGGGGGCAACTTTTAGAGCCTTAATTCACCTGTAAAATGGAGTGACTGGAACCACTACACAGCACCCAGTAAGTGGCAGTGACTATTAGTATTACGAGTAGTAGCAGAAGTGCAGGCCTGAGCTCCTCTACCTTTCTTTTATGTGAAGAAATAAATTATACTGAATATAAAGTACCTGCAACAATGCATGGCTCATGGACACCCAGTACATATTAGTATTATTATTGCTACTAGTAATGGAGAAGATTACAATTGGTCTTGGTAAGACCCTTTTCAGATTTTTCATTTTGACAAAGGGCAGAAAGAGTTTTGAGAAAGAGTAAAAAGTATAGGATAAAGAGGGAGGATGGGGAAGAAGGAAAAAGACAAAGAGGCAAAAATATATAACCTATAGAAAAGTTACCATTAATTTCTGTTCAAAGAATCTGATGAATACGCAGGCTAACATGTCATCATTGGCATAAACTTCTGGCCAATGATTTCACCTTTGCTGTCTGAGCAACATACCATTGTGAGAGAAAAAATATTGGCTTGCCTGGGACTGTGTTTAGCTGTAAGAGTCACTATGTCAGAACTTAGTAACCGAACTGCAGCAGAATGAGTAATACCAAAAATACACCTTTGAAGTACCAAAAGTAGTCCTAATGATTATAAAATTAAGCAATCAGAAATTATTTGAGAAAAGCAATCAAGAGACAGAAAAGTACTTAAGGAATTCTGCTATACAGGTATTACTGAAGAGAAATAAACATTAAGTTCAGATGGTCTTCAGCTTATAAAACAGGAGCTTCATTTTCCAAAGTCTATTTTGAGTCACTATTTTGAACCTGAAACACATCTCCCCATCAAGAAAATAATGTTATAAATGATGATTTGCACTGGCCCAGGAAGCCCTCTGTGACTCACTGTGGAGCTGAGCCCCCCTAGGGGAGCTATGGAGGTGGTGTAACAGCTGTCAAAAGCCCTCCTGCTGCGGTGGGGGCTCACTAGGGCTTGAATCCTTGACCTGCTTCTTACTAGATGTAGAGTCCTGGGCAAGCAACCACATCTCTATAATCTTCAGTCTACTCTTTTGTCAAATGGCTGTGAAAATAGTACCAGTCTCATAGGTCCATGTGAGGAATAACTGAGACCAGAGATATGAAGTGCTTCACACAGTGTTCTCTCCTCCCCCTTGGTCAGCACTTGGTCAGCGTTTATTAGATGGCAGTGATGCTAGTATTAGCAGCAGAAGTGCAGGCCTGATCTCTGTCTTTCTTCTATGCAGCTTTTACTTGCCAGTGTGAAGTCAGAACTAAAGAAATGGCCATGAATGTGATAAAATTGTGTTTACCTCATAGGGAGAAAATGGTGGGGACCTTGTGCCAAAAGTGGGCAGAATTACAATGCTGGGAGGTGGGGAAGAGGCTGGTGGCAGGGCTGTTGTGTCTGGGGTCTCATGTAGACTGGGGTGATTTGTATAACACTTCTACATGCACAAAGTTAAAAATTCAAACAGGACAAAAGGCATAAGATGGAAAGAGAAATGGTTCCTCTCCCTTCCGAGTCCCCATCGTTCATTCTTGTATATATCCTTCGGTAAATTATTTTATGCATACATTAGCCTAAATCGATTTCTATACCTTTTTCTTTCCCTATACCTGTATTTAAACTCCTTACACTTTATTGATAAGGGATTGCACTAGATGGGATCTTTCTTACCCTTTTCCCCAATAAATACATCTTTGAGCTCTTCACATTTACAATTATTGATCTGTCTCATTCTCTGTAATGATTCGCAGGTATTTCATTGTATGAATGTACTTTGATTTT
This sequence comes from Homo sapiens, assembly GCF_000001405.40. Taxonomy (NCBI): domain Eukaryota; kingdom Metazoa; phylum Chordata; class Mammalia; order Primates; family Hominidae; genus Homo; species Homo sapiens. The sequence goes on from NC_000014.9 coordinate 59,788,109, forward strand.
TTAAATGGACTGCTGTCAGTGGAAATTTAACTTTTTTCCCAGAATTTTATAACAATGCTCCAATAAATGTCCTTGTACACATAAATTGATGTATTTTGCAAGTTTATCAAGAAGGCAAATTTCCAGCAATGGGGCTGCTGAACTGAACAGTATGTTGGGTTTTTTTTCTTTTGAGAATTCCTGCCAAATTTTCTTTCAGAAAAAGAATGCACTGATTTGCACTCCTACCAACAGCATGAGAGTTCCTGCTTCCGTTTACCTTGGCCAACACTGAGAATTAGCAAACACTGCAAATGTTGCCATCAGATATGCAAAAAGCAGCATCTCATTGTTTTGGCATTCCTTTGATTAGGAATGAGATAATCATAATATTTGTTTTTCATGTTTGTTTGCCACTTGTATTTATTTTTCCATGAAGTTCCTGTTCATATTTTTCATTTAGTTCTCGATTTTGAAGGGATTTTTTCTTTCTGTCAGTCAGTTAAATACATTGGTCATGTATCCGATTGTTTTTAATACTAATTTGAAATGCTTCATTTTTAAATACCCAATGTTTATATGAATTTGCATTCACAATAATGTTTATTCTTTCAATTGATCTATTTCTTTTTCAGCTCTAAGCTGTCTGGGTTACCATAGCTTCCTAATTTATTTTCATACCTTGATAGGTTATCATTCTATTCTCCCTGTAATCCTCTGGCTATTTACATGGGTTTATTTTTCCAGATGAACTTGTCAATTTGTCAAGTTCCAATAAGGATGCATTGATTTCAGTTGGTATTTATTTAGAGGTCAATTTAGGAAAAATTAACCTCTTTATTTTATAATTTTCCTATTCAAGAATAAGGCACAAATTTATGTAAGTCTACTTTTATGCCATTTGGTAGATTTTCAATTTTTCAAAAGCCTTTTGTATATTATGTAATATTGTTAATTTTTCCCTACATATTTTTAAGCATTTGATTATCATTAAAAGTATGTTCTTCCTTCATATTTTCTATTATTTATTTCTTTAGCTTAATTATGTAATCATTCATCTTACCATATTCTTTTGATTTTTTTTAGTTTGATTCTCTCAAGTTTTCTTGATATGCAGTATTTTACATCCTCCTTTCTTTATTTCTTTCTTTGGTCTAAGTACATTTGCCAACAGGAAAATGCTAATAAAAATAGATGGCATTTGTTCATGATTCTAATGGGAGAACATTTAATGTTGTATGATATATGTTTATTTTTTAATGTCAGTCCATCATCCATTCCTATTCTGGTAAAAGTTACTACTTCCTTTTCTTAAAGATTGAATTTTATCAAGTGCCTCTTTGGCATCTATTAAAATGATTAGGTGTTTTTATCCTTTAAAATAATCGACAAAGGAAAACAAAATTAATTATAATGAATACTTTGTAAACTTTTATGCAAATGAGCTTGAAAGCCTCATTGAAATGGATGCTTTTCTAGGAACTATATGCTTCAAAATTTTGCACGTTTGAAAATATTCTGTCCTCCTTAGACATCAAAAATTTGGCTGGGTATAACAACATGCTTGGGACCAAGAAAATTTATAAATCCTGCAATTCAGAACTTCTACATCTAATGCTTACCTTAACATTTATATTTGTGCACAAGGAGACATCTAGGATGTCCACTGCAGCTTTATTTGTAAAGCTAACAAAACTAGGAACAATCTAAATATCTACATATAATGTAATAAAATACACGTTAAAAAGAATAAAGAACTGATAGGTATCAAAAAAACAAATCTAAAAATTTTGTCAAGAAATAAAGCAAGTTGCAAAATTGTGTTATATGCACAAAATTTTACATGGCTTTTATAGGTAATTTCATATAAAAGTATAAAAATGAAAATGGAATTATATATAAACTTACGGCTATCGAATGAGATAAAAAAGGGAAATGCCCGAGCTAAAGCAATGAATCAAGGGCCAAAATGATATTGTTACCAAAGTGATAAATAATTAGAAATAGATAGGAGAAGATAGGCATGAAGAAAACCTGAAATAATGACTTAGAAGAAAGGCTTCAAATAACCAGTCCAAGTTCAAATAACAGAGTCTAGTCGTGTGTCTTGGGAGATTTTAACTAGTCTATAATTTTGTAACTTTTTAAGTGGTAACAATCTACTCATTCATTATGTATGTCACACACACACACAGACACACACACACACCTCTAGGAAAAAAGTAGTGGGAAATATGGCAACACATTGATAGCAGTAGTCATTTCTGAATGGTAGCAACAGAGGTTTGTGTTCCTTTTGGTTTTTTTAATGTTTAAATTTAAAACTAATAATAATATGAAACTCTTGTGTCACCTTTTATTCATAATTTTTCTCCACTTTGCCTTATTGTCTTTTGGCTTTGATTGCTGCCTTGGAAAATTCTGATAGAAGCCTGATTTTTCCTCTTCTAGGGGATTTGGTTTTGTGTGTGAAAGATGCCTGAAGAATTCATTCTCTGGCGTCAAAGCTTAACCAGAGAATATATGTCTTGGCATTGAAGTTTCTGTATCAAATTTTCCTAGCACAAAGTTTACTCTTTTGATGTGTAAAATCAGTTACTTCAAGACTTTTTTTGCAAGTTCTTTTTAATGTTTTTTCTTTTTCATTTGTTCTATTTCCTACCCCAGATATACTGATTTTTCTTTGGCTGTATCATCTTTGAGTTTTGTATCTATTGCCTTCTGATGTTTAACTCAGTATCTTATGTTTACTGGTTATTTGAAGCCCTTTCTTTTATGTTCACTGATTATTTGAAGCCTTTCTTCCAAGTCATTATTTCAGGTTTTCTTCATGCCTATCTTCTCCTATCTATTTCTAATTATTTATTACTTTGGTAGCAATATCATTTTGGCCCTCAATTCATTTCTTTAGCTCTGGCATTTCCCTTTTTTATCTCATTCGATAGCCATATCATTTTGTCTTTATTTTCCTTTTCTCATGTTCTTTTAAATTTCTTTATAGCGAAAAGCAATCATTGAGGTAAGATATTTCCATTTCCATAGCTCGTTTTCTTCCAAAATAAATTCATCTCTCCTTAGCATTCTGTTCTCCTCTCTTTTGTTTCCCTTCTTGCTCCTTTACTCTTTATCCTAGTTTCCGTGTGTTTTCTTTTCCTTGCTCATAGTTAACCTGAACAGTTCTGTCAAGACAATATAATTGTTCCCCAGCTCTCCTCCATATTATCTGACACCTCTTCATCTTCTTATATGTTCAGTCTGACAGTTGAGAATTTCAGGTTTCCTCCAGGGATGAGTTCAGCTGGGACTTTAAGCAGTTACGGGTGGCAGAGACCTGCATGCTGCTCTCCTTTCTGTGCTGCACCTGGGTGCACATTGTCTCATTCCCCGTTTGACAAGGGGTGTTAGACTCATTATCCCAGCTCAGGGTAAAACCAAGGAAACTTCATTCAGAAAGACTAAGGTGCCTATTCCTCTGTTTCACCTTCCTCTAGCCAGCAGTGGATCCCACTCTCCTCCCAGCAGACAGAGGCTGAAGATGTGCATTCTGCCACATTAACATCCTACTAGGGACTAACAACTGAACTCTCCATGTACCACTTCCTGTAGGCCCTTACCTCCATCACTCACTCTACTGTGTCCTTTGTCCTCCACTCCGCTAAATCACCAATTAGTACTGAGCATAATTTGCTCTGGGTAATTATAGTCACACTTTATTCCCTCTCAGCTTTCTTTCCACCTAGTCAGTTTTATAAAGGTTAGCCTGGATTTTTTTTTGGTCCTCTGATGAGACACCGAGGGCATAGGGGGAGCTTTCCAAATCCTTCCCCAGGGCTGCCTGATATGCAACAGATTGCTTCTCTCTAAATCAAGGAGGAATGGGAGACTTCTTAGATTTTGTCTACTCACACTCTCCTGCCCCCTCCCCTGCCTCAGTAGAGCAGAATGTAAGAGATTGGAATTAGGAGTCATGGAGGTTCCTGGAGTCTTACACTTCTTTCTCTGGCTGCTACATAGCATGGGGCTGTACCGCTGCCATTATTTGATGGCTGCCAGCATACTTTTTGCTGGGTTTTAAATTTATTCTGTCTTTGAGCATGTCATTGGGTTTTGGGAGAGGGAGATTTTGTGATTTGGCTTCACTTCATCTTCTTCTCCTGGAAGTGGTTTTAAGGTAAGGACTGTACTCCCAGAAGCAGCTCTAAGTAAGTTTTGCTCTTCAATAGTGAAAACATCAGAGTATCAATTCAGTCTGAGAGAAAAGAGAAAAGACTTCACACACACACACACACACACACACACACACACACACATTCTGAGGTAACAGATCCACTAACATGCATGGATGTGTGTGCATGCTTGCATAAGTAAATGGGAAAGCCAAATAGAAAACTGGCCACATTTAACTGGGTAAGCTTTGTTTATTTTTAAAAATGCCAAGATAACATCTGTCTTAGTATCATCAGGGATTTAAAGGAGGGCCAACATCAACAATATTCTCAATGGCTCAATTCTGAAAAAGGAGTCAAAATCGTCCATTTCTCACTTTTTTGGTATTTACTGTCATTCCAATTTCATTGGAAATGCCAAGGTCTATGTACTTTAACCCGGTCACACTTAATGGTAAATATTATCACCTCAACAACCTCAAAAGCACATTGTAAAACAGGATGTTTCAGAAAATACTAGTAGGAAGCAAAAAATAGTCAATAATTCTTTCCAGATTTCCTAGGAGTTCTAGTAAATATTTTTCTTAGTGAAGGGAATTATTAAAAAGCAATTTTTTGTGTTTGCGGCCCTCAGAATGAACAAAAAAACTTGTTTTTCATTGTGTCATGCTGAGTTGAAATGATCTATATTACTTCATGTGCCAATAGCAAGGTAATACAACAATGAAAACTTCCCTGAAATCATGTGACAAACTTAGCCTGATATTTTTTAAAGGCTCTAAAAATATTGTTTTGAGCAATTAATATACTCGGGCCCCAAGGTCAAACCATAACAACCTTATGAACAAATTACTGAAACTAGCAAAATCTGAAGAACATACATCATATTCTACAGAGAAACAGTGACCTGGCATTCACATAGCTGCTTTTACTAATTAACATCAAGTACACATTTTGAATTCAATATGTAGAATTTTACTTTGTTCCAGACAAAACTAACACTTTTTTCTAGAAACTGATTACCCAGTGGTATTCATCCCGGGACAGAAGCAGAGTTCTATCCTAGGCACAGGCAGGTGACTCAGGACATGTGAACTATGGTCTCCACCTTTACTTTTAGCTGTCCTTAGAATAAAAGGTGGGGATGAATTCTAAATGCAACCTTTTTTTCTTAAGTACAGAAGCACCAGACTCCATTCCAAAGTAAAATCAAAACAAGAGCAATGGCAACAAAAATATCCAATTTGTAATCATAGAAATCTAGTAAAAGACTAATTACTGTGTGTAAGTATGTGTATGTGTGTGTTTCATTCTCTACGCCAGAGAGAATTTTATCAGAGAATTCATAAAAATTCTATTACCTTGTCAATTACAGGCACACACCACACACACACACACACACACACACACACACACACAGAGTGATGAGAACAAAAAGCTACCCAGATACACATTCTTTTTCCTTTATTCCTTTAGACTCTTTTAAGAGTTGTTATACCAATATATACTCACTATTGTGCTACTATCAAAAATCATGTTCAGCAAAGCCTCAGCCCAAATCCCCAACTCATATATACAAAATTCTGACCCCAACTTTCAAACATTGTCAGTAGTAGCTCCATCCAACCCTAAGCACATTGCCCCCATGCCACAGTGCATATACTACACTCCTGTAACACATAAGGCCCCATGCTCTTTCCTTAGATCCGCTTATCTTCAGTAGTGAACATTGTCTGGATGCCTCCTAGCACCCATTACACTCCTCTCCCACTGAGTACCGGCCATGAATCTTGAGTTAGACTGACCCTTCCTCCAGTCCTAGTGATGCTGACTGGCTTAAGTTGATCAGAATGGTACCATCTCCTTTACCACAATTACTAATACCCCAAAGATAAGTCAGTAAGTGTATGGTATTATCTTGGCCGTAATGATTAATTCCGGTATAGACATGTGACTTAAAATTGTTCCAGTTGAAATTAAACCCTCTTTAATCACTGGTTGAAGAACAAGAAGTTTTCTGTGCCCTTGAGTGTTAACAGAAACACGTCTAACCCAAGTATATTGTTAACTTATAGAGGAAGGCAGATGGAAGGAATTATAGACAAAAAGCATCACAAACTTGAAAGTATTCTAAGCCACTGGATCAAATCACCTCCAAAGCCTGTCTACGTCTAGAATTTTCAGTTTCATCAGCCAACAGATGTCTTTTTTGTTTTGACCATTCTGAATTGAGTTTCTGTTAGTTGCAACACAAAGACACTTGACTGAAACATCTTCCTCCTGCTTCCCAACTATATTAGAATACAGTTTTAATTACTGTAACAAAGATCCATGTCTGCTCCATGGTGTTGGGAGCAAGGTTCTTTCCATCTTGTTGCCCTGTCACACCCAGGATGTGTTGTCATCTGTATGGTTGAAGGTGGTTCATCACCAAACCCTTGTTCTTGGCTAAAGGATGAGAGAAAGGAAAAAGAAAGGAAAGAACATACCCTTTTCTTTTCAGGGAACAATTCAGAAGTAGCATACATCACTTGTAGTCATAGTCTATTGACCAGAGGATGGTTATATGGCCATATTTAACTAAATAGGAGGCTGAGATATGTCATTTTTATCTAGGTATCCAAATGTCTAGCAAAAAAGTTTTTCCACTACAGGAGAAGAAAAGAATAGATACTGGAGGAAACCTAGCAGCTTATGTACCTTGAACTTTACACAGATTGTTTGATTTGGGTGCAATAATCTATCTTCTATGATCTACCAAGTCATTTCCATGTGTTCTTCTAAACCTATTTAATATCCACCCCAATTTAGCAGAATCCCATCTGCTGAGTTCTACATGAAAATAATTCCACATTGTGTGTATGTTTGTGTGCATACCAGCTGAAGTTCAAACTCTGGCTAATTTCAATATTCTGTGACTAATTTTAATCTTTGATAGGACAAAACTGGAATTTGTCCAAACTGTTTTTACTTGATGACATTAAAGATTTAAAAAAAATAGTAGCATAACAAGTGTGAGCAATCATTCTCTAAGACCAGCTAATGAGGAGATACTTTGGTTTTTTTAACAATTTCAAAATAACTAGATTAATGTTAAATACTAATGTGGGCAATGGCAACACTAGCCAGAATTCTGAACTTTTTTTAATACATAAAATCTAACTGGGCCGGGTGCAGTGGTTCATGCCTGTAATCCTAACACTGCAGGAGGCCGAGGCAGGAGGATCACTTGAGCCCAGGAGTTCAAGACCAGCCTGGGCAAAATAGTGAGATCCCATCTCTATTTATAAAAGTAAAAATTAAAAATTAAAAATCAAAATATCTATCCGTATTATCTGCTAGTGTTCATCTACATATTTATTGTGAACAAGTTGCCGGTGCCAAGGAAGCTGCATTCACCTCTAGAGTTTTAAAACAAACATCTCATTAAGAAGTTCATTAAAAGATAAGGGGCAAACCTTGACATTGATATTTGGTACATATGTAGCACATCAGTATCTAGACTGACAGATTTAGATGTATATACATGTAATTGTTGCTGATTAATGTCACAGAAGACGAATTTTAGACATTTTCTCATCTCAATGCCCCAGTAAAACCTCTCCTCAGAAATGTAATACGTTTTGGGGATGAGGAAATGGCCAGAATTGGGCTTTATATTAAATATAATAATTGAAATAATCTACATTATCCAAAAATTATGTATTAATCACCAACTATGTCCCAAGTACCATGGGAGGTACTAGGGAAGATAAAAAAGAATGAGGTAAGGTCTCTGCCCCTGTGAAACACAGTCACATGTCCCATAAAGACGTTTTGGTCAACTATGAACCAAATATACAGCAGTGGTCCCATAAGATTATAATACCATGTTTTTAACTGTACCATTTCTATACTTAGATACACAAATACTTATCAGTATTTTATGACTGCCTACAGTATTCAATACAGTAACATGCTATACAGGTTTGTGGCCTAGGAGCAATAGGCTATGTCATATAGCCTAGGTATGTAGCGAACTATACCATCTAGGTTTGGGTAAGTATACTCTATGATGCTCACATGATGACAAAATTGCCTAATGACCTAATCTCAGAACGTAGCCCCGTGCTTAATGCATGACTGCATTTAGTCTTGTGTTATAAGCTATGTATCAATATAGCACTGTTCATATCATTTTTTGTTGTTATTTAAAACCTTCAGTGACTCCACTGCCTGCAGGAAAATACCCCTACTTCTTTGCAAGAATATAGGACTTTGATAATATATTGGCTCTTGTTTACTTACACTTTCCTGTAACACTCTATACCCTTTTACATCAATACTTGTAGTTGCATGAACATTCTATGCTGTCTCACACCTTCATAGCTTTACATAAACTCCTACCTCACTTTGGAATTATTCATCTCCTCCTGGTCTAATGAACTCATTCTTCAAAATTCAACTCAGATTTCACCTCTATTGTGAAGACAGTTTACCCCAACCTCTGTAAACAGTAGAGGTACTCCTTCCAATTTTCTCCAAAGAAATTATTCTCTGGTTGCATTCATCATGTTATTTCCACCTGTTAATTTACTGATCTCTTTCACCAACTAGATTGTGGGCCCCTGAAGGCGGCGATTTTATCCTGTCTATCTTCATATCCACAGTGCCTAAAATAGTGCCTCACACAAAGTAGGGGTTCAATAAAAGTTTGTTGAGTTAATCAATAAAAGATCAGGTATGTTAAGGTTATATATGAACTCAATTGCAAATTATTATAATCTATGAATAACTTAGTCAAATTCCAAGTGGATCACATGAATTTTCAGAACTTTTCCTTCCATCATTGTTGGAATTAATATAAGCTCTTTGCTTCCATGGATGATTCCTTTGGAAGATTTATTATTTATTTTCTATGAAGCAGTTTGAGCTTCTTATTCTATGTAATAAACTATTGCTAAATGCAAAACAAATCTTCGTCACCACCACTGTACACCATTTTTGAGCAACTTCTATAAGCACAGAGAGTATGGGATAATAATATGGGAAAAATTCCTTTGTCCAACAACAATCTTGGTTTCCCTAATTCCAGTGGGTTATGTGTATTGCAAATGCAACCTATGCCAATTAAAAGATCAGCTTTGAAAGGAGTCAAAGTGGGGAACCAGTGGATTCTGATTCTGAAAAGGCACTGCAATATCTAGCAGTCTTCTGTCCTGTAAAGCTATATAGAAAGCTTTCTCTTTAGTTATTCAAAAGTCCATTGTGCAATCAGTAACCAGAACCTACTATTTAGTAAAAAGAATACTCCAGGGATGCTTCTCAGCATAGTCAAAGAGGTAGCTACCTACATGGCAGGACATTGGTGATATACCAAAACATCTGAATGCCACTAAATATCTGCCCTTGTGACTGGACTCACAGTCTGAAATTCTCATTATTAGAATTATTTCTTTGGTTTAAAGCATTATTTACTCATTCCTTATAAAGAAGTAGAAGTACCAGAGTCATATTAAAGATAAAATTCTGCTGGTTTCATTATTTTGCCTAGCGTCATCTTTGTTAACACTATTGAGGAATAGTGTTTATAGTGTTTGAAAGGCTAAAATCCAACTTGTCTTCATAGCATAAGAAATGTTGACCCAGTGATGCCAACATTTTAAAAGACTTTTAGTCAAATACGAGTTTAGTTAGTAACACTGCCATTGGTCCTTTATAATATCACTTGAGGGGCTTAATGGATTTTATTTTGTGATTTTAGCAGATATAGATTCATAAAAAATTATCCATTTTAACAGAAAGAGCAGAGTCATGATTCTTAGCATCCTCTTATCCTGGGCAAATGGATATAACACCCCTTATTCCAGAGATATACTGTACTATGTTTTTCAAGCAATTGATGTGTCTGAATTTTTCAAAAAATGTGTTAATTCATTTCTCTCCAATGAGGTCAAGTGAATTATGACTTGGCTATACAAACAAGTACAATATTATTCTAAGATTTGGAGGTATATGCCTCAGAGTTCAGATATAGCTCACCACTGACTAATTGCATGAATTTGGGCAAGTTATATCAGCTTATAACTTAATACAAGTTATATCAGCTTGTATATTAATTTCCTATTGCTACTATAACTGTAACAAATTATCACAGATTTAGTGGCTTAAACAACACAAATTTATTACCTTACAGTTATGGAATTCAAAAGGTCCTAAAATCAAGGGGTTAGTAGCATGGGTTCTTTAGGAGGCTCTAAGAGAAAAAGTAGCTGCCTACATTCCTTGGCTTGTGCCCCATTCTCCATCTTCAAAGCCAGCATCATAACATCTCCCAATCTCTCTCTCTCTCTCTGATTAGGATCTCTGCTTCCATGGTCACATCCTCTTACCTGACTCTGATCTTCCTGCCTGCCTCATCTAAGGACTCTTGTGATTACATTGGGCCCGCCTGGATAATCTCAACATTTTAATATTCTTAGCTTAATCACTTCTGCAAAATCTCTTTTGCCATATAATGTAAAATATTAACGGGTTTCAGGGATTAGGACATGGATATCATTTGGTGACAGCAGGGGTGGGGGTGGGGAGACATTATTCTGTTTACCACAGTGTTGAAGTTAATAAATTTACAGATAAAAATTTATTTCAAGTATTAGTGACTTAAAAAGTGACTCAAACTATTAAAATGATATAGGATTCTTAGCACTCCCATAACAGTTAGTGATTTGCTAAGATCTCTTGAAAAACAATTGCCAGATTTTTCAAGCAATCATGTCTGAATTTTTCTAAAAGTGTATTAATTCATTTCTCTACAATTAGGTCAAGTGAATTATGACTTGGTTTCACAAACAAGTGTAGTATTATTTTAAACACGTGATTCGCTACATGCAAGTTAGGGTATTACCTCGTGATTTGAGATGAAAGAAAAGGATTTAAAATTCTTTAAAAGGACATTCAGAAAAAAGGCTAAGGATAGTACACTTAGTCTGAATAAAAACAAAATACCTTATAGAATGAGAATAAACTGGCAAGCCATACTCATCAAATTCCACTCATCACCATAACCATGTAGGATGGAATTCTGCTTCTTAACAAGTGGAAAGCTTCAGGAGAACATCACTCTCCTTTTAACATTGAGGCAAATGTGGATAATCTACAAAATCATCAATTTTCTCAGGGCCATCAGAGAGTTGAGGTAATAAGGCAGCCAAGAGAACTGAATTTCAAAGTCAAAAGCCCTCCCTAGAGAGATGGGACACATGAATTCTTTCACCTTTAATAGAGCATGGAAGAAAGAGACAGCCACCATAATATGATAAATCAAATTTAAATGTGGGCTAATGCATAATTTTAGAATAACTGGGTACCCCAGACACATGGAGAGTTCACATTCTTCTCCATGGATTCTCATTTGGTGCTCACAAGAAATATTTGGAAAAGGGCAGGAGAGCAGAGTGTCCTTTGGTGGCATAGGCATTCAGGTCGTGACCAGGTGCCGGGAGGCAAACAAAAAATACTGCCCACTTTGACAGACTCTTCTCTCCTAGGAAAAAAAGCTGTAAGTCACTGGGCTGGGGTTGGCTGGGGGAGAGGATTCCGTACTTTTCAAGAGCTTCCAGAGACACAAGGCAGAGTTTGACAGACAAAGAGGTAGAGGTGCATGAACACTGAAAAAGACTTCCCTTTAAGATCTAGACACAGAGAACTCACCTAAAACTAAAGCTAGATGGGGAGAATTCCTATCTCCACCCCCATAAGCCTGGCAAAAAGTAATAAGCAAAATTAATTTACTGGTGAAAGATGGGCAAGGAAAGAGAACCCCTCCGTGGCACAGATATACAGAGCCTGCTGGAAGCTGAGAGTGAGGCAGGAAAATTGAGAAAAGCCTTCTGGCATTATATGACCACAGAAGCAGAAGGTAACAGTAACCCATTGTGAGAGGAATTTGAAGCCTGTGAGGCAATGAAGGTAACTCTAGAAACAAAATCCCAGCCTAATTCAACCAGACACTGACTCAAACCCCCACCCTAACAGCCTTACATAAGATTAGGGGTATGCTCATTTCTGGGCATAAATGCTATTTGCCTCTTTCTCTATTATTTTTTGATGTTTGGCATTTATTCAAAACTAAAAGGAAACACAAAAATACATCTTTTTGTTGTTGTTGTTTTTGTTTTTGTTTTGAGTCAGAGTCTCACTCTGTCCCCCAGGCTGGAGGGCAGTGGCACGATCTCGGCTCACTGCAAGCTCTGCCTCCAGGGTTCACACCATTCTCCTGCCTCAGCTTCCTGAGTAGCTGGGACTACAGGCGCCCACCACCACGCCTGGCTAACTTCTTACATTTTTAGTAGAGACAGGGTTTCACCGTGTTAGCCAGGATGGTCTCGATTTCCTGACCTCGTGATCTGCCCACCTCAGCCTCCCAAAGTGCTGGGATTACAGGCGTGAGCCACCACACCGGGCCAAAAATACATCTTAAAATAATTATTTAAACAGAGAACATTGTCAAGAGATAAAGCAATCAGTAGAATCAAACTCAGAGGTGACACAGATGTCAGAAATATCATACAGAGAGATTAAAATAACTACGATTAATATAATAAAAGATCTAGAAGAAAATATAAAAGATTAATGAACAGAAAGGAAATTTCACCAGAGGAGTAAAAAATTTTTTTAATATTCTAATGTAAATGCTGGAAATAAAAGATGTAAAAAAAAAAGTCCTTCAAAAAGCTCATCAGCTTACTGGACACAACTGAGGAAAGAATCAGTGAACTAAAAGATAAATAACTAGAAATTGTCCAAGCTGAACACATAGAAAAAGAATGGGGGAGGAAAAAACAAAACACAGCATCCAAGCTCTCTGGGACAACATCAAACAGGTAACATACATGTAATTAGAATCTCAGAAATACAAGGTAGAGCAAAAATAAGGCAGAAAATATTTTAAATGATAACGGCTGAGAACTTTCCAAAATTAATCAAGACAAAAAATCACTGATTCAAGAACCCTAGGAGACTCCAAGCAGGTAAAACAATTTTTTTAAACCAATATGTCTAGATACACCATAGTCAGTCTGCTGAGAACTAAAGACATAGACAAAATCTTCAAGACAAGGAAAAAGAATCATTACAGACAGGGGAGGAAAGATAAGAACTATAACAGCCTTCTTATCAGAAACTATGCAAGCCAGAAGACAACAGAATAGCATATTTAACATACTGAAAGAAAAAAATAGTTAACTGTCAATATAAAATTCTATACTCAGTGAAAACATATCTCAAAAATAATGGCATAATAAAGCCATCATTTCAGACAAACTATAGCAAGGAGAATCACTATCAGCAGCTAGGCAATGGGAGAAAAGTTATAGACAGTTCTGCAGGAAGAAGATAAATTATGAAATTTCATATATATGTAACTACAGATAACTGGCTGAAGGAACAATAGCAAGACTGTATTCTCAACAAAAGCACAAAAGATATGAAGGAGGAATGGAAGTATACTCTTATAAGATTATAACGCTATACATGAGAGATATATTATTAGAAGATGGACTATGATAAGTTAAAGTCTTCTATACTTAGAGAAAATTCCACAATTTTCAGTTCTTCCTGTACTGTTCCATGTAAAAATCTGTGTTCGTGGGTAACACAGGAAAAAAGTATCCCAGTCAAATACGTTTGGGGTCAAACAAAATTCATCACACTTCTCAGACATATTAATATGTCTTTCCACCTTATTAATTACTCCCCAAGTATATTTCAGTATGGAAATATCTCATCTCAGTTGTGTTCCATTTAATGTGATAGAGGAAATTGTGAACATTGTGTACACCTGAAGGTTTTGAAGCAACTGGTAGAGTTACTAATGTTAACTAAAACCTGTGTAAAATGAGCTAATTTTTCTCTTTGGCTCTATTTACTTATTAGTAAAAATAAAGTCATAAAAATGTAATTGAAACCTAGATAAAAAGAACTGTGACTTCTTCAGAGGAAGGGGCTGGAACATTGCTATTCAAACTGTGATCTGTGGTCCAGCAGCACCAGCATCAGCTGGGAGCTTGCCTGACACGCAGAATTTCAGGTTAAGCCAAAGACTTCCTGAATCATAATCTATACTGTACTAGAAAAATACATGGCACTAGGCTACAACAGACTGATATGACTTTCTTTGTATCATTAAACAGTGGGGGGATGTGATTTTAATTTATAGTGTATCTGATCTGAGCTGTTAGAGTATCTGAATTTCCATTAACTTGAATGATTATTAGAAAACAACCTTTAATCCAAATTTTGGCCATTAATACACATTATTCACAATTAATATTTAGATGTGATTTTATATGAGATGGCATTTGGAATTTAGTAGTGTATTTAGAATTTCTATATTTAGCAGTTAAGATTTTCTTTAGTTACCATTTGCAATATTCAAGCAGCCACAGCAAAGGAAGCTTCTCAGATAGCTCAAGAATTTTACCACTGGGGAAGCATCACAGGTTTTATTTTCCCGATCTCTGACTATAACCTAAACCAAAATCTCACTTGCTAAAATGGCAACTAATTTTAATTGTAAACAAATATTTTTCTTTAATCAGAATGATGTCACAATCTTACTAAGCCAGAGCCAGGCCAGGTACCAGCCTTTTGCCTGTCTAAAGGTAACAATAAAATGTAAATACCTCCTAGAAGAGATGACTTTTACAAAGAGGAGAAATAGAGAATTTACAGGTGACATTTAATTTTCTCAGCTTTCACTGAAAAAAAAAAACCCTACACAACAATCCACCATCCTCTTGGTGAAACTGATTTAAAAAAGTCATTTGCCATTTGCACTGGGATAAGCACACAGGCCATGCAGAAAACCGCTGTCTATCTAAATGAAATCAAAAGGACAGGATGTCTCCTATTCTTATGTGACTAAACACAGCTAGAAAAAGTACACCTGTAATCAGAGTCCCTGGAGCTTTGATTAGACAGGGAGAGTTGGTTCCGTACACAACACCGAGCTGCGTATGACTTGCCCTGACTCTCACGGAGGTCACAATTGAACAAATGCCTTTACAAGCTAAGAATTCAATCCAGATGTGAAAAGTTTCCACACGCTTAAGTAAGTTTTCATCCTTCAGGAGGGGAACTAGTATCTCGGGGAATGAATGACCTACTTCCCTCAAAAGCCAAGTCTCCACAGTCAAAGCAAAGAATTAGGGCAACTATCCAGATAATTCAGGCCACCCAAATCTACTCTGGCCTGAATTATTCAAGTTAAATACAACCTTCTTTGCAGGGTCTTGTCTCCCATATAATTCAGAGGGGTGTGAGATCTCCCAGAATTTTCCTACCTGGGAAATCAGCATCATTTACTGCCTCAGAGAAGACAAGAGGTAAAAGTATTAATGTGACCCACTTCTATTCATCATCCAGCTCTTTCTGCCTGGATACGTTACACTTTGCTTTTCATTCTAAACAGCACTTTCCTTTCCTGAGCTGCGCTACCTGTGACCTGAGGAAAAACAGCAGCAAATAGCAAATGAGGCAGTATGCAGGTAGGTGGTTTAGGCCTCTCAACTTGAAGATTCAGAAACCTGAGGCCACAGTATCCTATACTTAATTGTCTAAATGTGATTTAGGGTTTTATTTATTTATTTATGTTTACACTTTTAATTTTAGAACAGGTTTGGTTTACATAAAAGTTGTGGAAATTGTACAAAGCATTCCCACATGCTGTACGTCAGTTTCCTCTCTTGTTAACATCTTACATGGTCTATTTGTTACAATTAATAGATCAGTATTGATATATTATTATGAACTGAAGTCTATACTTTATTCATATCTCCTTAGTTTTTACCTAATGTTCTTTCTGTCTTCCAGGATCCCATCCAGGACACCCCATTACATTTAATTGTCATGTCTCCTTAGGCTTCTCTTGGCTATGACAGTTTCTCCAACTGTCCTTGTTTTTTATAAGCTTAACAGTTTTGAGAAGTACTGGTCAGGTATATTGTAGAATGTCCCTCAATTAGGATTTGTATTGTGTTTTTTTCCTCATCATTAGACTGGGGATGTACATATGGGGGATGAATACCATAGAGGCCAGTGCCATTCTCACCATATGGTGACACTGACATGACATCGCTGGTGATATTAACCTTGGTCACCTGAGGTAGTGTTCTCCTGGTGCCTTCACTGCAACATTACTGATAGAAACCCTTAATGCCACAGTGATTGTAAATCTATATTCATATTTGAATCTATCGATATTTTTAAAATATATTTTTAAAACTTGGCTCATAATTTATTTTAAATAGAATTATAGAATACTCACCCATTTGGTGACTCCTAGAGTCCGAAAAAGTCACTGAGGGCATGAAAGATTGTTCACATCCTGGGTTCACAAAGTATGTTGATAAATGGTTGGTACGGGTGACAGTCATCAGAATTATTACAAAAAGCAATTAAAAACTAGAAAGCCAGCCTCTGGCAAAACTGCATGGGAAGTAAATTTGCTGCTGGGAATGCAGTAGTTTTTTGGGTGCCAAGGGAATACAAAATGCTTTAGTGGTCCTGATCATGAGGAAAGGTGAATTGGTCAAGTGACTACTATTTTGGCATGAATTAGCCTATTTAGCTTAGTGCTTAATGTTGAATGAAAGACATTATGGTATTTAGGTTAAAGTGAGAATTTTGCAGATGGTGACTTTCACAGTGACCTACCCTCTTCCCCAAGCAGGTCACAGATCTTAAGTAATGTCTTCACAAAGAGAAGGCAAAGGAATTATTCACATGGGGTGATATTCAAACACACCAAACACATTCCCGTCTTGAGGACTTTGCACTTCTTCCAGCTACCTGGAATGCTCTTCACCAAAGTATTGGTGTGGCTCAATGCTTTCCTTCATTCAGGTCTCTCTTCAAAAGCTCCTTCCACAAGGAGGCCTTCCTTAATCACTCCATCTAAAATAGCATCCCCAAATCCTAGTTTCTACCTCCTTATTCTGGTTGTTTTGATACTTTTCACAGTCTGACATTGTTTATTATACTCTTCCATCCCCACCAGAATGTGAACTCCATAATAGGGACCTTTCCTTCTTCACTGCTCTACCATTGAATTCTGAAACAGTTTCTGACACAGAATTCAGGTTCACAGGCTTAACAGGGGAAGAGAGAGTTGTGACCAGCCTGGAGCACCTGAGAACCTAGCTATGTCTGGCCAGGTCTCTGCCCCTGAATATTCTGATTGGAACTGAACCACTGACATGGCAGCCCACTTGTCCAAGGCCCTTATTTATATCAAAGAATTAAACATTAGGAGCATGTAACAGCTTAAAACATTCAAATTAATAATTACACACATAAAACAAATCTTTTTCTGAAAGGCTTGTATAGTATCATAAACCTTGATTGTTCCACAGAAGTTTGACCTAAAAATATTGTCAAAAAAGTTTCTTTCATGAAAGTCTTTATTATCCATCAGCTAGATTTTCCAGATAACTTCTGATTTTTATAATTTAAAGAAAATATTATAAATTTTACATTATTAGGTTCTTTCCCAAATTACATCAATGAAGTTCCAAAAAGGGAAGAGCACAAACCAAAGGTAAAGAAAGACTGCCTTTCATTTTGTTTACTGAATTCAATCCTATTTGAAGGACTTTCACAAAATTGGGACCAGAGGATGTCTCTTATGAATGATATGAATTGCAAACATAAATAATTATATGGCTGGGCACTGTGGCTCATGCTTGTAATCCCCCCACTTTGGGAGGCTGAGGTGGGCGGATCACGAGCTCAAGAGATAGAGACCATCCTGGCCAACATGGTGAAACCCTGCCTCTACTAAAAATACAAAAATTAGCTGGGCATGGTGGTGCGTGCCTGTAGTCCCAGCTACTTGGGAGGCTGAGGCAGGAGAATCACTCGAACCTGGGAGGCGGAGGGTATAGTGAGCTGAGATTGTGCCACTGCACTCCAGCCTGGTGACAGGGTGAGACTCCTTCTCAAAAAATAATAATAATAATAATTATTATTATATATATTTGACTTAATACAATTGTGAATAAAATCCCATTAAATTATATTTCTTTTGCTTCTCATTGTCATACATCTTTCTCAATTGTGATGTGCAGAAATATCACTGGTTTATTTTATTTCTAAAAGTTTGACTATAATGCAGCAGAAAAAAACATAAATTAGAATATATTTTCATATTTTACCTTTCAAACCTACATTTTTTTAACTTTTATTTTAAGGTCTGGGGTACATATGCAGGTTTGTTATATAGGTAAACTTGTGTCATGGGGGTTTATAGTAAAGATTATTTCATCATGCAGGTATTAAACCTAGTACCTATTAGTCATTTTTCCTGATCTCTCTCTCCTCCCACCCTCCACCTTTGGGTAAGCCCCACTGTCTGTTGTTCCCCTCCATGTGTCCATGTGTTCTCATCATTTGGCTCTTACTTATAAGTGAGAACATGTAGTATTTGGTTTTCTGTTCCTGCATCAGTTTTCTAAGGATAACAGCCTCCAGCTCCATCCATGTTCCTGCAAAGGACAGGATCTCATTCTTTATTTATAGCTGCATAGTATTCCATGGTGTATATGTACTTCATCTTCTTTATCCAGTCTACCATTAATGGGCAATTAGGTTGGTTCCTTGTCTTTGCTATTGCAAATAGTAAAACAACATTTTTAAATGGAATTTTAAGTCTCAGATTTGGCTGCGCCCTCAAAAGGCTGAGAACAAAAAAGTAGACTAGCACTTCCATATTCCGAAGGAAATGGGAAAACCAATTTTGTAACTCTTTACCTCTAACTCATTCAATGTGATAAAAGTGTTAAAGTTGGAGAGGCTGAGAGAGTGAAAGGAACTGAAAGGTATTTTTCAATGAAGAAAGGTGTCAGTATGACTTTCAAGTCAAATTAGAGGGCTTTCTAGGAAGCATGGTGGGTGGTGACAGTGAGGTGGCATGTGGCTGCAGAGTGAAGAGCTGAATTTGTAAAGTAAATGCATTCTACCTACTATAGCCAAAGGAAAGTTGACCCAGGGTCGAATTAGATGCAATTCTATAGGTCGGTCTAGAACTGCTAGAAGACTTCAGCAAAATGAGGCAGGATATGAAAATCCACTAGAGATGTAAAGGAACTGCAGAGGAAAGCTCTTTAGGGATGGGTGTAATCTACAAAGAATCCATAATGCCCCACAAAAGATTCAAACATCTGCCTCACTCAGAGGAATTCAACAGCCTTTCACATCAGTGCCATTCAAGGGAAACCTTTCTGGACTTTCCTCTCCCGATGACCACCTCAACTCTGGAAGGTCACAGGCTGCTTCTAGGACATGGCAGAGTTAACATAAAAGATGACTGGCTCCTCTTTTCCACTGAGGTTTCCCACAAGGAGTAACCCTGAGTCATAAGAGGGAAAAGCTTTAACTTTAGATGGAACTGGGATGGAGTTTACAAGGGATATAATATTTTAACTGGAAAATGTAACTGTTTTTGCCACTTGAGGTAGGCAGAGGACATTTTCCAAGAATGACCAGACAAGTTATGGAACTTATTCCAGCATTCATCCAAAAAGAAGGAAAAACTAGTTCCACAAAGTGGATGAGAAAGCACTGAGGATAAAAATAAAATTGTTTTCATTTAAACCCTGTGGGTCCTGTTCTTTCAATATACTCTAAAGTACAAAATATACATAAAGTATACAAAAGATAAAAATTCAGGACCCTCTAAATTTATTAAGCCAAGCGAGTCATACAGGATGTTTGCAATTGTGCTTCTTAGATTATAAATTATCTCTCTTCCTCATTGTTCTTATTCTGTAAATGATTAGGAAAGACCAGAGACCAGGTCTTCTCCCTTCCAATCATGGATCTTTGTTATAGATTAACTGCTTACCTTATTGTTCTGTACTTAACTCAGACCAGATAATGCCCCAAACCCCATAACTGTTACATCTTCAGTGTGGAATGTGAAACATACATTTCCTAAAGAAAAAGACCACCTTGACAAATCAGACTGTTGTAACTATGCATTAAGTCTTACATAGAAAGATGCTGAAAGTCTATTAAGATTCCCTTAACTTTGTCTTTATAAATAATCCCAAACTGCTACACTTTGGAATGCTGATTTCCATTCTTTGGAATCTGTGCTTCCCAGTGGGCTCATCCTCAAACTTTGCACTTGAATAAGCTCTCTTTAAACTAGATTCTGACCCTTTTGATTATTTATGTTGACAAGCACATTATTAATTGGTTATTACTTTTGTGAAAGTTGCAGATACCAAGATGAACTCACTTTTGTCAGACCCAGACAAAACAGGGCTAGGAACTCTGAAGAAGAGGAGGCTTACGTTTACAAGGCTGCAGTAAGAACTGTATATGGATCTGTGTCCCCACCCAAGTCTCATGTCAAATTGTAATCCTTAATGTTGGCAGTGGGGCTTGGTGGGAGGTGATTAGATCCTGGGGGTGGATTTCTCATAAATAGATTAGCAGCATCTTCATGATGCTGTCCTCACAATAGTAAATGAGTTCTCATGCAACCTGGTCATTTAAAAGTGTGTGGCACCTCCCCCTACTTTCTCTCTTGCTCCTGCTCCCACCATGTGAGAGGACTTGCTTCCCCTTTGCCTTCCTCAATGATTGCAGACTTCCTGAGGGCTCCCCAGAAGCCAAGCAGATACCAGCATCATGCTTCCTGTATAGCCTGCAAAACCATTAGCGAATTAAACCTCTTTTATTTATTAATTAACCAGTCTTAGGTATTTCTTTAAAGCAATTTGAGAACGGGCTAACAAAAACTGTTTCCAAGGATTTTCTAAAAACACTTTTGCATCCTTCACTTATCTTTTGCTTTGATAAGGCTTATCACTAGACTGTCTGTAAGACTGTCATAAGTCAGATAAAATGCTCTGAGAAGAACACTTGTCCCATAACAACATCTCCACAAATGAACTGATAACAACTCTAGCTTTGAACCTCTGGAACCAATGAAGTCTGTTTCTAAGACTTGTATATCCTATGTAAATCTCTTTTTGCTAATAAAAGCTCCCCTTTCTCTTCCCTCACTGATCACACTGGTGGCTTGCCATTCCATGCATCCTAGATTATGATTCTTATTTCTTTATAAACTCAATATATTTAGAGACAATTCTTTCTAGTGTCATTTTTTTTTTTAGATTGACAATCTATAGTATTCCTCTCTATAAGTATGTTGGAATTTCCCAACATTTCACACCAGGGACTCAGGCTCAGCAAATACTTTCTTATGCTAATATCACTGAGACAAGGCAAAAGGCCATAATTATACAAATTAATGGCTCAGTGAAATATAAAGGTAAATAGAAGGCTAATTAATCTGCTAACTGTCTTTCCTTGTTGTAAGCATGAACTTTCAGAATTTAGCTTTAATGTATCCATTGGACAGGAAATAAGAGAGTCCCAAAGGCATTTGGAAGTCTAGTCACAGGACTTTTCATGTGAAAGTCTCCTACCTTGGGCCCACACGTGCAAAGCAGCTGAACAAAGGCTGAGGACTTCATGAATACCTAAGACACAACAGAACCCCCAGATGCCCTAGTGAGGTAGTAAGAGTGTTTCAGGCCGATTTTTGTGCTTTTTTTATATTTAAAAAAATTGGTCTCTGTTCAAGGATTTTGAAGGGAAAACTTCTGAAATAAGCACTTTTAAATTTCCTCTCAAAGTTTTTAAAAAATTCCCAGCTGCATTCAATCATCTTTCAACAAATATTTAGAGTACCCACTACGTTCCTAGCCCTGTGCTACCTGCAAGAGAAAGAAAAGACTCATTTTGGGAGATGATTTTCCCTGGGTCTCTTGCAATTCCATATATCTTATGGAAAGGTATTGACTGCTTTGATCTGGACTATCTTTTTGAGAATGTTTGTATAGCAACAGCCTTGGAAGGTAGAGAGAGTGTCTCCTTTCCAGGCAAAAGGCAGGTTTGTTTCCCAATCTGGATATGATAATGTTTCTCTCTGAAGCAAAGGTTGATCAGGTTCACTAGTACCCTCTTAGAAGATGGGAGGTTTTCCTAAGCTTAGGGTTCCTTGGCTGTGACACAAACTTGCTGTGTGTGCAGCGTCCATGTGGGCTGCTCTATTGCCTGCATATTATTTGGGGGTTAAGACACTGATGCAAACATGAAGTACATATGCCTACTGTAGAAGTAATAGAGTTCTCTGTTTCTGATTCAGGAGTCTTGTGTCTTCTACCAGCATCCATGAAACTATGGTGGGCTAATTGTTAGCTTGCAGGAAGGGTAAAATCTAAGACTCTTCACATTTTGGGCATTCACTTCTCCACATCAAGGAGCTCATGGCCTTTTGGGAGACTAAAAGCGATAAACAACTATAAAAAGATGTGATGCCTGGAGTGATAAAAATATGCTTAGGGTGTATGGGAATATTGTGACATCGGTGGGGAGGAACACTCAAGGAAAGTTACCAGGAAGTGATGATATCTGAACAGAATCTTCAATATTCATAGGAGTCAGCGAGGTGAAGAGGACAAGGACAAGTACAGCCATGGCAGCAAGACAATATGTTGCGTGTAGAGAACTAAACAAGTCCCTGATGCTGAAGCATCGAGTGTGAACCTGGGATTGACCCCAAACATAGTTGGAGCAGTAGGTAGAGGCCAGATCCTAGAGACCCTTTATTACAGGACCCTGGATTGTAGCTGCAGCCCAGTTTTCTCCAAAGAGAAGCAAACAAAGCAATCTATTGTGGTGCAGGAAGAAATATACTGGAACTTCTATATATGTGTAAGTCTTATTGAAAATAATTGTTAATATCAAATATATGGATTGGCACAGACTCTCTCACTTGATCTATATTTTTGATGCTCAAGGATTCCCAGGGGAAGGGTGAACCTCCTCAATCATTGGTGAACTTTTAGTATATTGTAAAATTGCAGTCTATGGATACTCAGTAGGAATGTTTGCAGACTGTATCACTGAGTTGTATTAGTCTGTCACAAATGGGCAAGTGGCTTAAAAAGATTCCCAGCAAAGAAACTATAGGTTGATGATAGCCCTGATGATGCAAACACAAGCAAATGACCCCAAAATGAACTGACACTTCTAGTCTGATCATTTCATCAGCCACATTACAAGCTAAAATCAATGACAATTTAATCAGATCTGACCACAGAAATTAGTTTTCTTGTTAATTGAAATATAGATCTATATCTACTGCTGATAAATGTGCACTGCATTGTAAGTACGTATCAATTCTTGAAATATCAGCTAATAATGGTGTCAGGTCATCACAACTAGCAAGGCATTTAAAAACTGGATATCCTAAACAGGAAATCAAACATTACAGTTTTTTCAGGGCTGCTTAAAGTTCTATATGCCTTGATGCAGCAAATATTGTTGGAAGATGCATTTAAAAATATCACCGCATATTTGGAAAGACTCATATTAGTATAAGTTATACAATGTGGGAGGTTTGCTACACAGTTAAGAGACAACACTGGAGTTTCAACATGTCTCCACTTATGGTATTTGCTAGTATCTGTTTTAGTGATAAAATATCCAAAGAGCTACATTACGTGAACAACTGAAGCAGCGGTTCTCAACCCTAACTGCACACATAAGCATTAACTGGGTACGTTTAAAAAATGCTCATAGCCAGACTAATTCCTTCCCAGACTAATTAAGTCAGAATCACTGTAAATACTTCTTTAGTTAGGAAGGAGGAAAGGAGGGAAGGTTAGTGCCTTCCCTCACTGTGAAATAGCATTCACTGAATAGCACCTCACTGTGCTATTCAGACTGAGGTGTGATAGCACCTCACTGTGAAACCCATTCACTGAATCTTCAGAAGCAAACCATTGCTACAAAGAAGTTAAAGCCAAGAGCCAGGATTGCACAAACAGCTGCTGGAGGTCCTCAATGTGCAGTCAGTTCTGCTATCAAATAACATATGCATTCCTAAAAATCACCACACCACCCTAAGCAAAATTACCATTAAAATCACAGGGCATTTTAGGGGAAAATGAGGGTAAAAGACATAACATTCAAAAACTTCATAAGTGATGGAATTTTTTTAAAAAGGTAGAAATTTCATAAAAACAGAAGCAGTTTTCCATGTGTTAAATGGTTAAGAAATACATAAATATATAATAAACTTGGCACTGTACCTTGAAAAAGGTCTGAAGGCTTGTGAAAATAAGTATTAAAAGTGTTGCAGCTTGTAGGTTATTATGTAATGGTGAAGGAGGGTTATCTGAAATTGTATGAAAAGTTCACTAGATGTGAACAAGCATGGTTCATAACACATGCAAATATAACATGGTAAATTGAAGTAGCTGGTAGATATTTGATGGGTATGTGTGTGCATGTGTGCCTTGTGTATTCCCATGTTGGTCAATTCAGCTATTTTCTCCATTCACCTAGTTTCACTGAGTGTTTCTCATGTATGAAAGTGTGCATAAGCAAACACAAAATTTGTGTTATGCTAAAACTATTCCCTAGTATATCAAATGCATTGGAATGAACACACATTCTCAAACAAGCTTTATAGCAGAACTTATTGCACTTAAAAGTACAAAAACAACACACTGAAATATAGCACAATCTTTCAATAATTTGCAACGAAATGGAGAGTGGTCAAGAAAATCTTCTGTATCTTATCAAGTTTTGCTGATTATCTCACTGCAAAGTAAATAAAAGAATTGCTGAACTTTGAGTTACTACCTATTTTTCTTTTACAAAAAAAGACAAGTAACCTAAATATGCTGACTTCTCCTAGAATAAAAACAAATGCCTCTGTAATATGCTACTGAGTAGATATTTAAATAAAAATAAACACATGCACACTCTCCCTTCATTGTAAAGGTGGCATTTCAACCAACAGGGACAAAGTAAGGGCTTTCTAAAAGAAACTTGAGTTGTGGAAGGAACATTTTGAAAATGAACAGTTGGAAATGATTTCATTATTAGATAATTTTTTCTGATGTGTGTCATATATAAAAACTCTCATATCTGCACACATTAAATTGGAAACTGAATTTTCTAATCCATCTAAAAATCTTCCACGAGAAGTTTCTGTGAGTTTTGAAGCCAATTGTTAAATGTATTAAAAGCATCACTCCCAATTAGTTTGTGGGGAAAGTCATCAAGGGAAATAAAGTTTACTGGCCAAATTCAATTAAAAAAATACTTTTGTATTATTGATGGATGGGATTGAAAGATGACTATGTAGACTTGATAAGTTCAACCAATCATCTACTTATTCCATTTGAATACGTGTATCTTTGTAAGACCGCTTTTTAAAATTTGACTGCCAATAAAACCAAGCATAGAGCTAAACTAGCCTAAGAGACAGACTTTCAGATCATTCTACCACAAAGTGTAATTCCGGAAAAAAGAGTGTGATTTGAAAAAGAAATTCAAAGTACATTGAATCACATTCACATTGCTCTATTTTCCTCAGTACTGAGAGTAAAAAAAGATTCTATATCAGTAATAAATAGAATAAAATACAAAATTAGTTTTAATGTGTTTTATTTTTATTACTTTTTTCTCTATTTCCAAGATATTATTAGAACATGTGGATAGTTTATAAATAAATAAAATACAAATGAATGTATATAAATATGATGTGTTCAATTTTTTTTTACTGATAGACGTCATGATCAAAAAAGTTTTAGAGACCATCGCTGGAATTGATGAGGAGATAAAACAATTGGAACTGCATTCAACTGCATGTTATCAGAAACACTTTAGAGAGTTAAATTTTCTCATGAAAAAGATGCCTAGGAGTAGGCAGTCCCAGGCAGGGACTCCTGTGAAGCCCAGAGTCCTGCCTTTCCACAAAGCCTTATTTGACTTATAGATTTGCTCTCATGCACACAAAATGGTTGCTGTACCCTCAGATATCATGTCCACATTCTAGGCTGGCAGAAGAGAGAAAAGTGAGGGAAAGAAGGCAGAACACACACATTAGCAGAAAAATACCCCAGGTCTAGGCACCTGGGGAATAAGATCCAGCATGGTCAAGAGCAGGAAGGCTCTTACTGGATTTATATCACGGCAGACGCTGAAAGTTGGACATCCACAAAAGTCACTGTAGTAAAGTGAGCAAAAAGCTCAATTGATAGATAGCTGATTGCATATTGGCAGTGAGGGCTGATGTCAACCATTTCCTAGACTGGAGTCAGGGCCGTTGTATAGTGGAGTCTGCTCTACATCCGAAAGCACAGGCTCTGAAGAGATCAAGCCAGCAGCTTCTCTGGAAAGGCAGACTATGAAAAGGAAAAGCTAAATGACATTCTTCCAAGTTCCATCACTCTCACATTTTTTAATCCATTAACTCATTTTTGCAAACAATAGTGTATCTGGTCATCTATGGCTTCAACAAAACAGATTGGTGCCAACTTCAACATACTCTTTGAGAAAACCCTGATTAAAAATGCTGAAAGTTAATCTTCAAATGATCTCATTCATTCACTCATGTAAATCAACCTTCATGATTTTAGGCTACTACAAGCAACCCAAACAAGGAAATGTACACAGAATGTATAAATGTTCACAGCTGAGGAGGACAGCCAAATTCTCTCTGGGATAATTTTATCCTTATAAGGAAAAGTTACCCTGATTTATGTTCAGTGTGATTTTCTCATATATAATATTTTGGGCTTTTTGCTCTGCAGTAGTTAGAATCAGCTACTTTGTTAAAACAGCAGAAATAGTAGTAAAACTTAAAGCCAAGATTATATATTGTTCACAACAGTGTGTTCAAGCTATTTTATATTGCTCAAGACTCACAGTCTTGTGCATTATTCATTTACTCCAAACAGGGCATGTAATATATTACTGCTGAGATGCAATCACTTGGAAAAAGACAGCTCCTATTTACTCTGAAAAATGATTTCATTTCAGAAAGCTTTTTCTTTGAGTTACTATCATAGGCACTGATGACCATCCTAATCACGCCCTCCTGCACTGTGTAAAGCTCCATTCTGTAACTTGAAACAAAAATAGAATTTTCCCTCTTGGGTTTTATACTTGGAAGGTGATAGCACTGGAAGTGAAGCAGAGCATCTGAGGACCCACAGCACACAGTGCAAGTGTCCCTGTGCACAGGAGCCCTCCTTCTATCACTTCCTTGGAGCTATCACTTCACTGCTCATCCCCTTTCCCTCTCATGCTTAAATCTCTCCCAGACTTTAAAAATCTCCTCCTGAATCCCAAATCCCCCTACAGTTGCCATGGTCTCTCTAGTGCTTTCTCTTCACAAGATTCTCAGATGGTAATTTATGCTGTCCTCACCTCCTCAACTCCTACTTTCTCAGTCTGACCGAAAGCTCATTGCCTAATGACCCATTTCCACTGAGCCAGGCACTTCTGCAGAAGGTCTCCATGGGGAGCCTATCTTCTCTGTGCCCTCACAGGAACACAAAGGTGCCTGGCTCATCCCAGTTCTCCAACCTTTAGGCCTTCTCCTGTCCTGTTGGAGAACTGATTTCACACTCCTCCCTTCCCAACTCGGATCCTATGGTCTGCCTTTTCAATACCTGACCTCCCTTCCTAGAGTCCATTTCTCCTTCCCATATTACTGATTCCCATCCCTTGAAGGTCTCACTGGGCCCTTGTATATCTGCAACTGTCCCCAGTTGCCCAGTTAATCTGCTGTTTTCTCTGTAGTTTACTAGTTCCACCCTTCATGCCTTTGCTCAGGGTGTTATTCCTGCTAGCCAATCACAAATGCCAATCACTTGTACCACCTGCTCTTCGTCCAAGATATGAAGTGCCTTCATGCAGCCTTCCTGGATTAATCCCTACACCACATAGTTTATTCAACATCACCAAATACACAGAAACACAATTTCTCTCTCCCTAACACTTGAGTGTAGGATCCTTATGTCCTGTTTCTTTTATAATTATCTTTACTGCTACATGCATACTTTTAGAGACTAAAGTATGCACACACACACACACAAGCTTGCGTGCGTGCACACACACAGACACACACACACACTAGTTACTCAGGTGATTAATGAATGCTGATACAGACCTTTAGTAAAGAACAAAATAACAATTTCCCTGGAAGCCTCTGTCCACTCTCGCCCATCTCCACTTTGTCCATTTCTCTACCACTACAGTTGACCATATGGTAACAAGGCTAATTGCCTGCCTTCTCCAATCCTCGGAGAGCTCCTAGGAAACAAGAATGGAATCCTCTTTAGCTCTGTATCTCCAGCACTCACACAGCACCTGAGACACAGTAGGAGGCTTAATAAATATTTATTGCACATAGAAATGAGTTTTGAGATGGAGGATTCAAACCAGGAAATCAGGCTGTGATCAACATCCAAGATAAAATTAAGATGGGGTTCAGGGATGAGAAGTGGGGAGGATCATGCTATAAAATACCCAGTACTAGCGGGGCACAGTGGCTCATGCCTGTAATCCCAGCACTTTAGGAGGCCGAGGCTGGCGAATCACTTGAGTCCACGAGTTCAAGGTCAGCCTGGGCAACATGGCAAAATCCCACCTCTACAAAAAATACAATATTAGCTGGGTGTGGTGGCATGTGCCTGTGGTCCCAGCTACTCGGGAGGCTAAGGTGGGAGGATCACCTGAGCCTGAGAGGCGGAGGTTGCAGTGAGTCGAGATCGCGCCACTGTACTCCAGCCTGGGTGACAGAAAGAGACCGTGACTCAAAATCAATTAATTAATAAATAAAATACACAGTACCAATAAGGGTTGTTTTATGTACATCTTAAGGGCAAATCTAAGCATGACAAATAGTGCCTGGTGAACTTACAGAAGAATAAGAGAGGGAATCTTAAAAAACACTTAATGCAGCTTTTTTTTTTCCTACTTATTCAGGAAATTGTTACTAAGAGCCTATGTGTGACTGGCACCAAGCCAAACACTGGGGTTACGAGCGTGATGGTCCCTGTTCTCACAGGACCTCTTATAGTCTAGTGGGGGAAATAACATTAACTAATAGTAAGCAAAATGAAAATGTAATTGCAAACTGTGGTAAGTGCTATGAAGAAAAAATAAAGGATGCCATGAGCCTATCTACAGGAGGATCTGACCAAGACGATGCTTGATAGGGGGAAAACTGCATTTTTTAAAAAAGACACTAAACAAGACCAACCTGGATCAGCTTCTTCAAAAGTCATCAAGCAGCCCTATTGTCTCTTCCAATATCTGTCAAAACAGCCCTGCAGTCCATGATCCTGACAAAGGGGGTGTCCTGAAGAAGACACCCTTTATTTTTCTTCTTTGTAAAGACTGTCATGTAGCCCTCTTAATAAACATGCTTCGGTGTCCTCCACCACTTCTTTATTAATGGGAAATTGTTGATATACTAAAGCATCCATCTATCTACACATTACCTCCCTTTGATTTTTTTTTTTTTAAGAAAGATTTTGAAGAGCAAGTCTGCTGGATGAATAGTATAAACATTTCCACGACTCTTGGACCACCCTGCCACCCTAGTGTCCTGCCATGCATAATGTCGAAGTGCACCCATTTGTCCATAGCTTTGTTGTCAGCACATTGCGTTTTCTCTATTTTTGCTAGTTAAATAGATATAAACCAGTGCTTAACACTTGTTTCCTTACCGTGAGATCAAATAGTTTTCTTTTTTTCTTCAACTTTTATTTTAGGTTCAGGAGTACATGTGCAGGTTTGTTACACGAGTAAATTGTGTGTCACTGGGGTTTGGTGTATAAATGGTTTTGTCATCCAGGTAGTGAGCATAGTACTTGATAGGTAGTTTTTCAACCCTTACCCTCCTCCCACATTCCCCACTCAAGTAGGCCACAGTGTCTGTTGTTCCCATCTTTGTGTCCATGTGTATTCAATGTTTAGCTCCCATTTATAAGTAAGAAAATGCAGTATTTGGCTTTCTGTGTTAATTCACTTAGGATAATAGCCTCCAGCTGCATCCATGTTGCTGCAAAGGACATGATTTTGTTCTTTTTATGGCAGCATAGTATTCCATGATGTGTATGTACCTTATTTTCTTTACCCAGTCCATCATTGGTGGGCACAACCATTTCTCTGGAGGCCTCTGTCCACTCTCACCCATCTCCACTAGCACTTTGTCCATTTCTCTACCACTAGAAAGCTGACCACATGGTAAGAAGGCAAACTGCCTGCCTTCTCCAATCCCCAGGGGACTCCTAGGAAATAAGAATGGAATCCTCTTCAACTCTATATCTCCAGCACTCACACAGTGCCTGAGACAGAGTCAGAGGCTTAATATTTATTTCAATATTAATTCAAAATACTTATTTAATAAATATTTTTATTCAATCGAATATTTAAATTGATATTTTATTCAATCTAGATTGATTCCATGTCTTTGTCATCGCGAATAGTATGATGATGAACATATGAGTCCGTGTGTCTTTATGGTAGGAGGATTTATATTTCTTTGGGTATATACCCAGTAATGGGATTTCTGGACCAAAAGGTAGCTCTCTTTTAACTTATTTGAGAATTCTCCACACTCCTTTCCACAGTGGTGGACCTAATTTACATTCCCATTAGCAGTGTATAAGCATTTCCTTCTATCTGCAACCTCAGCGACATCTGCTATTTTTTGACTTTTTAATAATAACCATTCTGACTAGTGTGAGATTGTGTGCAGAACTGGTGGGTTGTTGGTCTTGCTGACTTCAACAATGAAGACGCGGACCTTCGCGGTGAGTGTTAAAGCTCTTAAAGGCAGCGCGTCTGGAATTGTCCGTTCCTTCCAGTGGGTTCGTGGTCTCCCTGGCTCAAAAGTGATGCTGCACACCTTCGCAGTGAGTGTTACAGTTCATAAAGGTGGCGCATCCCGAGTCGTTGGTTCTTCCCGTCCAGAGTTGTTCATCCCTCCCAGTGGATTTGTGGTCTCGCTGGCTTCAGAAGTGAAACTGCAGACCTTCACAGTGTGTGTTATAGCTCACAAAAGTGGCGCGGACCTGAAAGGTGAGCAGCAGCAAGATTTATTGTGAAGAGCGAAAGAACTAACCTTCCACATTATGGAAGGGGTTCCTAGGAGGTTGCAGTTGGGGCTCGGGTGGCGGGTCTTTATTCCCTTATCTGGCCCCACCCACATCCTGCTGATTGGTCCACTTTACAGAGAGCCGATTGGTCCATTTTACAGAGAGCTGATTGGTGCATCCACACCACCACCACCCCCCCCCCACCCCCCACCCCCCCCCCCCGGCCACAGCTAGACACAGAGTACAATCCTCCAGCTAGACATAAAAGTTCTCCAAGCCCCCACCCCCTCAACTCTGGAGCCTAGCTGGCTTCCTCTAGTGGCTCACCTGCCAGGGCCGTGGGTGGAGCTGCCCACCAGTTCTGCGCTGCGCGACCACTGTTGTCAGCCCTTGGGCGGTCGATGGGACCGGGCGCTGCGGAGCAGGGGACGGCGCCCGTCGGGGAGGCTGGGGGCTCCGGCATGGCGGGCTGCAGGTCCCGAACCCTGCCTTGTGGGGAGGCGGCTGAGGCCCAGCAAGAATTCGAGCACTGCGCGGGGAGGCCTACAGTGCTGGGGGACCCGGTGCATCCTACTCAGCTGCTGGCCCAGGTGCTAAGCCCCTCACTGCCTGGGCCGGTAGCGCCAGCCAGCCGCTCCGAGTGCGGGGCCCCTTGAGCCCGCGCCCACCCAGAACTCAGCCCTGGTTCCCGCCTGCGCCTCTCCCTCCACACCTCTCCGCAAGCAGAGGGAGCCGGCTCTGGCCTTGGCCAGCCCAGACAGGGGCTCTCACAGTGCAGCGGTGGGCTGAAGGGCTACTCAAGCATGGCCAGAGTGGACGCCAAGGCCGAGGAGGCGCCGAGAGCGAGTGAGGGGTGCTAGCAAGTTGTCACCTCTCAAGATGGCATCTCATTGTGGTTTTGATTTGCATTTCTCTGATGAGTGGTAATGTTAATTTTTTCATATGCTTGTTGGCCACATGTATGTCTTCTTTTGAGAAGTGTCTATTCATGTCCTTTGCCTACTTTTTAATGGGGTTTTTTTTTTTGCTTGTTGATTTGTTTATGCTTCTTAGAGATTCTGGATATTAGACCTTGTTAGACACATAGCTTGTGAATACTTTCTCCCATTCTGTAGGCTGTCTGCTTATTGATAGTTTTTTTTTTTTTTTTTTTTTTTGCTGTGCAGAAGCTTTTTACTTTAATTAGGTCCCACTTACCTATTTCTGTTTTTGTTGCAATTGCTTTTGGAGACTTTGTCATGAAATCTTGGTGAAGACATATGCCCAGAAGGGTATTTTCTTGGTTTTCTTCTAGGTTTTTATAGTTTTAGGTCTTACACTTAAGTCTTTAATTCATTTTGAGTTGATTTTTGCATATGGTGAAAGGAAGGGGTCGGTGCAGTTTCAGTCTTCTGCATACAGCCAACCAGTTATCCCAGCACCATTTATTGAATAGAGTGCTTTCCCCATTGCATGTTGTATTAGCAATTACCTCCCATGGAGTCCCTCACATGACATATGAGGATAATGGGAACTACAATTCAAGATAAGCTTTGAGTGGGGATATAGTCAAACTTTATCATATGCTATTGTCAACTTTGTCAAAGATCGGATGGTTGTATGTATGCAGCTTTATTTTAGGGTTCTCTAACATGTTCCATTAGTCTGTGTCTGTTTTTGTACCAATACTATGCTGTTTTGTTTACTGTAGTCTTGTAGTAGAGATTGAAGTTGGGTAGTGGGATGCCTCTGGCTTTGTTCTTTTTGCTTAAGAATGCTTTGGCTATTTGGGCTCTTTTTGGTTCCAAGTGAATTTCAGAACAGTTTTTTTTCTAATTCTGTGAAAAACGACATTGGTAGTTTGATAGAAATAGCACTGAATCTTTAAATTGCTTTGGGCAGTATAGCCATTTTAACAACATTGATTCTTCCTGTGCATGATCATGAAATGTTTTTCCATTTGTTTATGTCATCTCTGATTTCTTTTAACAGTGTTTTGCAGTTCTCACTGTAAAGATCTTTTACCTCCCTGGTTAGCTGTATTCCTAGGTATTTTATTCCTTTTGTGGATATTGTGAATGGGATTGCATTCTTGATTTGGCTCTCAGCTTGGATGTTGTTGGTCTACAGAAATGCTCCTGATTTTTGTACGTTGTTTCTAGTTTGTATCCTGAAACTTTACTAAAGTTGTTTATCAATTCTCCCAGCCTTTGGATACAGACTACAGGGTTTTCTAAGTATAGAATCATATAATCTGCAAAGACAGATAGTTTCACCTTCTCTCTCTTCCTATTTGGATGTATTTCTTTTTCTTGCCTGACTGCTCTGGGTAGGACTTCCAATAGTATGTTGAATAGGAATGAAGACAGTGGGCATCCTTGTCTCATTCTGGTTCCCAAGGGGAATGCTTCCAGCTTTTGCCTGTTCAGTATGATGTTGACTGTAGGTTTGTCATAGATGGCTCTTACTATCTTGAGGTATGATCTTTCGATGCCCAGTTTGTTGAGGGTTTTTAACATGAAGGGATGTTGAATTTTATTGAAAGCCTTTCTGCATCTATCGAGATGATTGTGTGGCTTTTCTTTTTAGTTCTGTTTACATGAGAAATCACATTTATTGATTTGCATATGTTGAACCAACCTTGCATCCCAGGAATAAAGCCTACTTCATCATAGTGGATTAGCTTTTTGATCTGCTCCTGGGTTTAATTTGCTAGTATTTTGTTGAGGATTTTTGTGTCTATGTTCAACAGGGATATTGGCCTGAGGTTTTCTTTATTCACTGTGTCTCTGACAGGTTTTTGTGTCAGATTAATGTTGGCCTCATAGAGTGAGTGAGGGAGGAGTTCCTTCTCAGTTTCTTGGAATAATTTCAGCAGGATTATTACCAACTCTTCTTTGTATGTCTGGTAGAATTTGGCTGTGAATCCATCTGGCCTGGGGCCTTTTCTGGTTGGTAGGTTTTTTATTGTTGATTCAGTTTTGAAACTTGTTATTGGTCTGTTCAGGATTTCAATTTCTTCCTGGTTCAGTCTTGGGAGGTTGTATGTTTCCAGAAATTTATCCATTTCTTCTAGGTTTTCTAGTTTGTGTACACAGAGGTGTTTGTAGTAGTCTCTGAGGGGTTTCTGTATTTCTGTGGGATTGGTAGTAATGTTGCTTTTGTCATTTCTGATATGTTTATTTGGATCTTCTCTCTTTTGTTCTTTATTAATCTGGCTAGCAATCTATCAACCTTGTTTAATATTTCAAAGAACAAACATGTAGTTTCACTGTTCTTTTATATGGATTTTCACATATCAGTTTCATTCAGTTCTGCTCTGACTTTGGTTATTTGTTTTCTTCTCCAAGCTTTGGGGTTGGTTTGCTCATGTTGTTCTAGTTCCTTCAGGTGTGATGTTAGCTTGTTAATTTTGAGATTTTTCCAACTTATTGATGTAGGCATTTAGTGCTATAAACTTTCCTCTTAACATTGCTTTAGCTGTATCCCAGAGATTCTGGTAAGTTTGTACCTTTGTTTTCATTAGTTTTTTTAATTTTTGCCTTGATCTCATTCTTTACCCCAAAGTCATTCAGGAGCAGGTTGTTTAATTTCGATGTAATTGTATGGCTCTGAGTGATCTTGGTATTTCTATTTTTATTCTGCTGTGGTCCAAGAGTATGGTTGGTATAATTTGGGTTTTTTTTTTTTTAACTTGTTGAAAATTGCTTTACGGCCAAGGGTGTGGTCCATCTTAGAGTATGTGCTGTGTGTTGATGAGAAGAATGTATATTCTGTTGCTGTTGGGTGGAGTATTCTGTAGATGTCTATTACGTCCATTTGGTCAAGTGTCGTGTTTAGGTCCCAAATATCTTTGTTATTTTTCTACCTCAGTGATCTGTCTAACACTGTTGTCACTGGAGAGTTGAAGACTCCCACCATTATTGTGTAGTTATCTAATTCTCTGCATAGATCTCTAAGAACCTGTCTTATGAATCTAGATGCTCCAATGTTGGGTGCATACACATTTAAGAGAGTTAAGTCTTCTTGTTGGGTTGGGCCCTTTGTCATTATGTAATGTCCTTCCTTGTCCCCTTTTTTTTTTAAATCATCATTGGTTTAAAGACTGTTTTGTCAGAAATAAGAACAGAAACCCCTGCTCTTTCTCGTTTCCCTTTTGCTTGACAGATCTTTCTCCATCCTTTTACTTTGAGCCTATGGGTGTCACTGCATGTGTTTTTGTGGTGGTAGATATCAGTCTTTCATTTCCATGTTTAGCACTCCCTTAAGGACCTCTTACAAGGCAGTTGTGTAGTAATAAATTCCCTTAGCATTTCTATTTCACTTATGAAGCTTAGTCTGGTTGGAAAAAATTCTTGGTTGGAATTTCTTTTCCTTAAGGATGCTGAATATAGGCCCCCCATCTCTTCCGGCTTACAAAGTTTCTCCTGAAAAGTCCACTGTTAGCCTGATGAAGTCCCCTTTGCACATGGCCTGCCCCTTCTCTCTAGCTGCCTTTGAGGGTTTTTCTTTCACATTTACTTTGGAAAATCTGATGACTGTGTGTCTTGGGGATGGTTGTCTTATATAATATTTCACAGGGGTTCTCTGAATTTACACGTCAACCTCTCTAGCAAGGTTGGGGAAATTTTGGTGGACAATATCCTCAACTATGTTTCTCAAGTTGCTTGCTCTCTCTCCATCTCTTTCAGGAAGACCAATGAGTTGCAAGCTTGGTATCTTTACACGATCCAGTATTTCTCAGAGATTTTGTTCATTTTGTTATTAAATAGTTTTCAAATGCCAATTTACTGAGTTTTCTTTCTTGTATGTCATTTTAAACCAATTACCTCCTCTAAGCTTAAGTTTCCTCATATGTCAAACATACCCACCTCTGCAGTGTTATTTAAGAATCAATGAAATAATGTTCTTAAAACGCTGAACCCAATACCTGGATGTAGTAAAGATTCAATAGATGATAACTATGATATCTACTTATCCATTGTCAATTTAGTGTTCTTTCAGATTTGTAAGTACTCCTATTAAGTTTTATGTATTCTAATAAACATAAACTTGATGAAATGATTGAAAATATTTTCTCTCATTCTACCATGTTCTTCATTATCTTAATTTTGCTTGTTCTTACTGTATGGATGGCTTTATAAAATAAATATTTGTGAAAGAGGGTCTGTGGACCTTTGCTAATACTGTAGCTTTATTTTCTGAATTCTGTGATAATGATTTTGGTGGTTAAAATGTGTAGAGGGTGGAGAGTTCACTCTTTGATTCACAATCATTTCCTAAAATTGCCCAAAAAGTGATCTTCAGAAAAGTAAGATGTTACATAGTGTTTACCCTGCAAATGTTTGTATTCATGTGACTCTAGAAATCTGATTTACAGGAAAATACTCCCCTTGCTTCCCTTTGGCCAAGCAACACCTGAAGAAAAATGTGGTGACAGCTCCCATGCTGGAGCCCTTCACTTTTATTCAAGAGGTCGCTGGGGTTTTTTCCCAAATAGTTTTAGGTACTGCAGCCACAAAAAGGGTTGACAACTAGTTTAAAAAGCTACTACAATGCATTTTACTTTTTAATATCTTATTTGCCAACTAAGAAATCTAGATCTCCAATTTCAAGGTGTCATTAAAGTTAATATTCTCATTGGATGAATCTTGAGAGCATTATGCTAAGTGAAACAAGTCAGGCAAAGAAAGACAAATATGGCATGACTTCACTTATATGTAGAATCTTAAAAAGCTGAACTCATAGAAGCAGAGAGTAGAATGGTGGTTGTCAGGGGCTGGGGGAGCGAGGAAATGGAGAGATGCTGGTCAAAGGGTAAAAACTTTCAGTTACAAGATAAATAAGTTCTGGAAATCTAATGTAAAGCATAGTGACTCCAGTTAATAATACTATAGCGTACACGTGAAATTAACTTGTTCTAGAGAGCTGTCCTGTGCATTGTAGAATCTTTACCAACATCCCTAGCCTCTACCGACTAGGTGCCAATAGCACCCGAGTCATGTCTATTAAAAATGTCTCCAGACATTGACAAATTTCCCCTGGGAAGAAAAACTGCTTCCCCAACCCCAGCTGAGAACCTTAGCTCACCATCTTGTATCTGACCTCTGGGTTACCTGGTCTATGGCCTTTGTTTACCAGCCCCAATATGGTTTAGGCAACAACTGTTCTGCTGCTTCTCCCAGCCCTTTCCTGCAGGCTGAGGTACACAGGAAAATGCTCTGATTCAGGGAAAGTTGCTATAAAATAGTTTTAAAAATAGTTACAATGTGTTTTCTGTTTTGTCAAAGTTTTATCAGCCTGAGGGGAAGCTGCCTGTGGTGTAGC
Organism: Homo sapiens; assembly: GCF_000001405.40. Taxonomy (NCBI): domain Eukaryota; kingdom Metazoa; phylum Chordata; class Mammalia; order Primates; family Hominidae; genus Homo; species Homo sapiens. The sequence continues at coordinate 59,825,529 of NC_000014.9, forward strand.
CAGCAGCATGAGAGGAAGGCGGCTGTGTCCTGGCTTTCTGGACTTCCAGCTGGCCACAGCAGGGCCTTCTCCCAGAAGCACCCCTGCTGGAAGGCCAGCCTAGTGCCACATCAAACCACGGAGTCCACACAAAGCACGGTGGCCAAGGAATAGTGTTACTGTGTGCTCTTAGAGTTACACAGAATTTTACAGTCTACCTTCCTCAGTGCCCCATCTTACTCTCCATTTTAGAGAAAATAAAACATAGACCTCGGGTATGCCATAGAAACTAAATGGCATTACCCAAGGTCTCAAAGTTACTTAGTGACTGAACTCAGACCAGGAGCCTATAACCTCGTTACAGGCCACTCACTCCAGGAATGGTGTGAGGAGGGACCTAACAGTTTGTGGTACCCATTCCCAGTACCCTAGTTCAGACATTTCATTCATTAGCATTGGCTTTCCTATTTGCACTTGTGTGTTTTGCACTATTAAATATATCATAGAATACTTACATTTCCCCAACACCTGGATCAAAAAGAGCAGTCCATGGGAAAGCAAGAAACCACAATATCAGGAGTTTAGAAAAGCACCAACAAGAAAAAAGAGAGAGAGAGAAGAAACAGTTGTTGAGCACAAACTATACTAAGCACAAACTAAACACTTCAGACTAATGATCTCAGTACTTTTCAGCATGATCCTATGAAGTGCATTTGTAGACCAGCTGTACCACTAAACTAGATAACCTTTGGAAAGTGAAACTCTCTGTGCCTATTTCCTCATCAATAAAATGGGTTAAGTGATAGACTATATCTCATTATGTAGTTGTGGAGCTTAAATGACACTGTATATAAAACACTCAGCAGAATACTTGGCACATTGTAAGCACTCCATACCTGTTAATGAGTATTGTCCTGGATTCCAGTGAGCTATGTCTATGTCACCTCCATATTCAGACTGCCATATTTCCAGTCCCAGTCTGGTTATGTGACTGTCATTTACAGAAGCTCATTGGAAGCCCCAGAATTCCTCCCCCTGACTTTGCATTGACTAATGGCTCCTGTGAACAAGCTATGAGAAAGACAAAGATCGCAAAGATAATCTCACTGCTTCACAAAGGCCCACTTTTGCTAAACAAATGTTTTTAGCCAGAAATTCAAACTTTAAATATGAAGAAAATATAGTGTTTCTACCCAGGCAGCACACAGGTTTTCATCTAGCAAATGTTTATTGAGTACCTACTCTGTGCCAGGCTCTATATCAGTCTCTAGGATATCATGGAAAAAAGACAGGGCCCTGCTTTCATGGTTATTACATTCTAGTGTAGGGAAGACAATGAAAAATAACTAAAATATAATATCAGCAGTGATGAGTGCAGAAAAAAAATGAAATAAAATAGACTTGACTGCTAGAGAGAGATGGAAGGTGGGAGCAGAGTATTTAGAATGGGTATCCAGGGAGGCAGCATTTGGGCTGGTAGCTGGATGACAAGAAGCATCCAGCCAGGTGACAGTTTGAGGACACCAAATGCATCAACAAGGACATGTGTATATGTGTTTTGTTGTTGTTGTTGTTGTTGTTGTTGTTTTGAGACAGAGTCTCGCTCTGTCACCCAGGCTGGAGTACAGTGGCGTGATCTCGGCTCACTGCGAGCTCTGTCTCCCGGGTTCACGCCATTCTCCTGCCTCAACCTCCCGAGTAGCTGTGACTACAGGCGCCCGCCACCACGCCTGGCTAAGTTTTTATATTTTTAGTAGAGATGGGGTTTCACCGTGTTAGCCAAGATGGTCTCAATCTCCTGACCTCGTGATCCGCCGGCCTCGGCCTCCCAAAGTGCTGAGATTACAGGAGTGAGCCACCGCGCCCCGCTGTATGTGGTTCTTACTGCAGTTTTTTTCTTTGCATCGCTTGGGTTCATTTTCTCACTGGGTTTGCCCTCCTGTTGGCTGCCATAACAACGTGGGCAGATCATTTTATTTTGCCCACCCAGTCACTCCTCAGCTCACACTCTGCTCATACCCAATCCTAGCAACTAGTCATGGAAACATTATTTAGAAAACAATAGAGTCCATAACTCTGCATCAGCTCCAAGAACTATTCAGCTGTAACTGATAATAAATCAGGAAGCCCTGTCCCAGGAGAAATCCTCAGTCATTGCCTATCCCTCACAAATAATTAGCTCGGCCTCCTCAAGCCAGTTTCTATCTTGCTTGCAAGAAAAGGCTCAGGTCAGCCAACCCAAGTCACTTATAATAGCCCTGTCTGACACCAGATGATATTCTTATCTACCCTTTGTAGTCAAACTCTCCTATTTTCACTCTGGATATATCTGCATTCAGGGCAAGTCTTTTGATTTCAAATATTTCTGTAAAATATACTCCCAGAAGCTGCAGCCTATGTACAGTTTGTTTCTACTCATCTTTGGTATCTAATTTAAGTTCTCCCGTACAAGAGGACAAGCAGAATGTTTCTGTGTTTAATGAGCTATGTAAGACCAAAATAAGTTGCCACCCTATCTAGCTCCCAGGAAATGAGTTCAGGTGAGGCTTGTTTACTTTTATTCACCTTATATTGGAATGTGGCTTAGCAAGCGCCAATCTTACATCTTGAATGATAATTCAGAATCATTTCTCCTGACACTGACATTCCCTCGTGTATCTTTGAAATCATCTTCTGAAGACCTTCAAACATTTGTCCTCAGTTTTTATTCTCAAAGGAAAGCTAAAGAATTAAAATATGATCACAACTACTCCATGATCTAATCATTCTCTCAATATTGAAGTATTGGGTTAACTATACATCATTAGAATGGAGAGAGGAAGAGAGAGCCTGAGACCGTGTGTAAATCCTGAACAGAAGCCAGGGATTTACAATGTTCAGTCCCTAGAGTGCTGTGCTCATTTCTGGGCTGGACAAAGCCCACCTTAAGAGGATTGTGGAGAATGCTGGCTAGAGTACAGAGGGAAGACTGGACAGAGATCTGAAAGAAGAAATCGGTGGGGATGAGCTGGTATTATGGGGCCCAGAGGGAAGGTTGCAGACTTCTATTTACATACCAGCAGCACAGGAAAAATGGGCAGCCCCAAAACCAGATGTCAGTGGTCCAACTGTTTTCCAGTTTTTGTCTCAGGGAATAGCCCACTACAGAGGTCCTTACAAAAGTGTCCCCATCATAAAACACCTGGCCACAGGGGAACATGCACTGCTGACTTCAACTTCAATTGGGGTATGATTTTTCTCCCAAAGGTAGATGGCTACGAAAATCTCATAGTGGGGGAAAGGGAAGTAACATGATTTCAGAATGAAAATCTTAACTCAAAAGATACATATACTCATAGATAAATTTTCCAAGGCACTGAAAGTCTATAGTTTGGCAAATAAGGAATGTGGCCTGTAAATGCAAGGTAGAAATAATTCTATGCCTAATGGAATCTCTCTCTCTGCCTGCCACACTTCTGCCAAATATTATTATTATTATTCAACCTCCCAGGCTTCCACTATATCCTTGGATGATCCCACTGCTCAATACTGAAGCAGCTGAATAATGATGGACTTTAGGACACTTAACCCCTCTAAGTCTCCAGATGAGCTGCTTACTTCCCATCATTTATACTTAAAAGGCAACTACACAGCAATACACCGTTCATTAATTAACATTTTAAAGTGCCTTCTACAACAATGTTTTGGGAGGGATTTAAGGATGAATAAGATGTACTCTCTTAGGGAGCCTGTGATCTGGCAGATGAGCAATAAAAATATACATGAGTATAATACAGGGAAAAACATGCTGTTGCACAAAAGTGGGGGGAATCAAAATGTGATGGGTGTTTGGAGGAGTTTCATGCCCCTGTAATTAAGGTATGCATTAAAAAACACCTCTATTAGTCAAAATAGAATAGTTAATGCTGAGGTGACCCCAAAATCTCAGTGACTTAAATATTTTATAGTTATGTAAGTAACACCCATGGGGGAAGTACTGAAGAAGGCTATATGGGATTTTTCTCTATTATTTTTGCAACTTCCTGTAAATCTATACTTACTGCACATTAAAAATATAAATAGATGGCAGACAGCTAGACATAGGTGGAGGGCAGGGCACCAAACAACATTTCATTTCCTGCTCATGCTCCCTGTCCAGGCAGGTTGGCTTGGGGACTCTGCTCTCCACAGTCCTCACACAGGGAGCAGGCAGAGGGAGGCCCCACTCCTGTGCTTCCACAAAGCAAGAGGAAGGAAATGTGGTGAAGCACATACTCACTCTTAAAACTTTTACCCTGAAGAGGCACACAACATTTCCACTCCTGTTTCATTAGCCAAACCAAATCATATGGCCATACCTAACTTCCAGGGGACAGGAATGTACCCAGAGAGAAACCAAAAATATTTCTCAAATAGCATTCATGAATATTGTACCCAAGGACACAAACTGTATGCTGAGTCATTGGGGTTTGAGAGTTTTTTATTTTAAAAAAATAGCATGTATTTTTGGGTTTAGTCTTGTGTGACTTTCTTGTAACGACAAGGTATACTCTGAAATGCATTTAATCTAGAACACAGTCACCCAAACTGGTTAGTTGTGGAATAACTACGTGGCCTTCTCCCCATTGTTTAGCCCTCTGCCCACCAGCAGCACCCTGCTGTTACAATTCCTTCCTGGAGGCATTACACAGAATATGAATCATTGTGGATAATGCTGGTTGGAAAGCAATCCTAACTACATCGGATATGAATCTGAATTTTAAAGTGGCCAAAGATCTTCAGTGCCAACATTAAAGATGTTTTGTGCTGACTCTTCAAGTGCTTTCTGTAAGATTATCGAACAGCAAGCCACAGTTAAACCAGTGCTCTCACTCACAAAGTCTGCAACACTAGCATCCTTTCATAACGTCAAGGAAGCTTAGGGAAGTCTCTATCTGGGTAGCAATAGGGAAAGTGATGAATAAGGACTGAGGAGCCCAAAAGTAAGGTGACTATAAGTCAGGGCAGCATCATGAGAAAGAACCAGATGCCTACTAGAGAGGTGCCTCCTACAGGTTGTGTGACTCCGAGCAAACAGTTTACCTTTTCCAAGCCTTCTTTCCTTCATCTTTAAAATCAGGAGATTACCTCAGGTCATCCCTTAGGCCTTTTCAAATTAAGAGCCAGATCATTTGCGCTTGAATAACAGCTCTGTCCCTAATTAGCAATGTGACCTTCAGTAAGTACTTAACATCTCTGTGCCTTAATTTTCTGATCTGCAAAATGAGGATGGTAATGGATTTAGTTCATAGGGTGGTTTTAAGGAGTAAATGAGTTAACATATGTAAAGCCTTGATAACAGTGCCTAGCATGTGACAAAGGCTAAATAATTATTATCTATATTATCATTTTTGTTATTACTATTATTAATCTAAGAGGAAGACAGAGAAGCAATGCTCCAAATTCTCAGCTCTGTGTCCTGGACCAGTTCATGAAAAGATGTAAGTATGTTTTAGATCAGTTTCCCAATGAGAATGAGTTTAAAGATAAAAGTTAAAGGTATCAGTTATGAGTCAAAAGAAAAAAATTTAAATTATTACTTTGCTAGCTTCTGGACATTAGAAAAATCCAATTCTCTTCATCTACACTTGAAAGAAGGACATACCTCTTCAACCCACCTGTGGTGGTGAATTTTATGTGTCAACCTGACTGGGCCAGTGGGTGCCCAGATACTTGCTCAGACATTATTCTTGGTGTTTTTATGAAGATGTTTTCGGATGTGATTAACATTTAAATCAGTAGACTGGGTAAAGCAGATTGCCCTCCCTAATGTGGTGGGCCTCATTCAATCAGTTGAAGGCCTGAACAGAACAAAGAGGCTAACCCTCCCTCAAGTAAGAAAGGATTTCTTTTGCCTAACTGCCTTTAACCTGAGACACTGGCTTTTTCATGCCTGTGGACACAAACTGAAACATTGGCTCTCTTGGGGGCTCAAGCTGGCCAACCTTCAGACTGGAACTACATCATCAGGTCTTCAGGTTTTGCCGACTCATCCTGCAGATCTTGGGACTTGTCAGCCTCCATAACTGTGTGTGAGCTACTTCCTTATAATAAATCAATCTTTCTCTCTCTCTCCATATGTATGTGTGTGTATGTATAATATGGATTTCAAGAAAATACTTTAAGAAAAAAGAAAGTGCCCTACATCTCTTTTTCATTCTATCTATTGCTCTCTTGGCAGTCCCAGAATATGGCAGTAGGGCAGGACATATATATATATTCCATATATATAATCCATATATATATATACATCCTATTGGTTCTGTCTCTCTGGAGAACACTCACGAACTTACCAGCTGACACTCTGCCTTGTTCCCCCCTCACTCTCTGTGGCACAGAAGACGACCCTCCTAGTCAAGGCAGCTTGAGGCAACATGTCTCTAGCATCACACTGATGATCTCTCCACACTCTGGTAAAACTGACTTAGACTGGAGACAATGGGCTTCGGAGAGTCACAATACATGCCAAGCTCCAGAAGGGCAGAGATGGAACAAATTATAATCTGAATTTAGGGTTACAAGGATCTTAAAAGGGTCATTAAACACCTCCCCCAACTCTGAGTTTGGTTATGTAGTCCCTGAGGGGTTATACCACCAAAATTAAATGGATATGGACCAAAAAAATGAAGGCCCAGTGTAAGGAAGTACACATTGTCTTCAGATCCTTGTACCTGTGGGAATGAGCTAGAGTATGATAAACAAATAACCAACACTCTTTTCCATATTGAAGAACAATTTGGTTGCATGAGCTCCAATATTTTAAGAAAAAATAAAGTTCCCTACATCTTTTTTTTTTCGTTCTTTCTATTACTCCCTTTGCAGTCCTAGAATATGGCTGTGGTGCAGGATCCATGGTCCAAGCCCAAGTGGCTCCCACCTACCCATTCACAGGGTGCAGGGGTGCCAGGGAATACTCCTCAGAAGGGGCTTCCACTTGCACCTGTCAGCAATTCTCCCTTACAGCAGGCCAGAGGCCTGATGTTCCAGAGGACAATGCATTTGTTTATTTATTTTTCCTCATCATCTGTAAGAAAGCCAACATCTTTCTAAAGCTTGGAGGAAATGTCTTGAGGACATTCCCCAGAATACACAGTGGAGGTGCCTCACCACTACACTGGGCATAATAGCACAGTTCTGCCAAGGCCTGCTCTCCTCATTTAGATTGGGGGCAGGGGATGCTTTTCCCATTTACATTAACCTCTTGTGCTAACATACACAGAGATGCTATGGTGTCATTACTCTTTACCAAACCTTTAATGCATCCTTATTCTGTGAAGGCTCTACAGTGACCTCTGCCTTAGACAGGTTCCGGAGATTTATGATCTTGTTGTTGGTCATGGAAACTCCCTCCTCTCCTCACTGCTCCAGCATGTTGCAAACACCCCTATCATCCCTCAGTGCCCTGTATTATAATTACTGTTTCCTCCTTGTGGAGTCCATGTGCTCTTCCAGCATGAAGATTGTGCCTTATTTATTTATGAATTCCCAGAGGCGATAAATGGTCATTGAATCCATTTCCTTTTCTCCTCCTTTCCTTACAGTGTAGGGTGTCAAGAAAATAACTCAAATCAAGAAAGCACTCTAAAATGATTACACATCAGGAAGCATCTTTATAACTGAGGCACACCAGCATGTCTGGAAAGTAATATGACAATGCAGCCTCAGGAGAAAAAATAGTGATAAGATACATCTGGGTTAACTGTCAAACTGAAGCCTGAATAAATACTTTCCAAGAAGCAGAACTTACAAGCTTAGAGAAACAGCTCATAACTCAGAGATATATGTCTGAAAATGGGACATTTATATCCAAATGAATTCCTATGGGCGATATAAGTCTAAGAGGGACAGAAATAATGAAAAACAAAAAATAAATTTTGACTGTCTCATGGTGATTGACAAATATTCAATATAGTAATATATAAAACTCAATTATAGGAAAATATTAAATAATTGTGAAAAAGTGACATGGTTTACACACTAATTTTATTTGAAAAAAATTTTTTTTCTTTCCAACTTTTATTTTATATTCAGGGGGTACATGTACAGGTTTCTTACATGGGTAAATTGTGTGTCCTGGGAGTTTGGTGTACATATAACTTTGTCCCCCAGGTAATGGGCATAGTACCCAATAGGTAGTTTTTCAATCCTCACCCTCCTCCCGCCCTCCACCCTCAAGTAGGCCCTGGTGTCTATTGTTCCCTTCTTTGTGTACACTAATTTTAGAGAATATGCAGGCTCTAGTAAATGATATGGCAATTTCCATTTATTCAGTGCACAAACAATAAGAAAGGTCACACAGTCATTTTACTCCCCAAAGCAAATGCTATCTCTGAAACATTGCAAGATTCTTCTAAACAACCAATAATTCAGAATTTTCCCTTGATTCAAAAATCATTTCCTTAAGAAAAACCAAGTTGGAGGGCTATTAATACCTAATTTCAAAACTTATAAAGCTACAGTTCTCAAGAGCATATGGTGTTTGCCTAAAGATAGATAGAAAGATCAATGGAACAGAGAGTTCATAATTGGACTCGAACATAAATGGACAACTGATTTTCAATAAAGGCAATTCATTCGAGAAAAGATAGTCTTCCAAAATATGATGCTGGAAAAAATGAATATCCAAATGCAAAAAGGAAAAAAAAGATGAACTTATAACCATATCACACATCATATACAAAAATTAACTTAAAATATGGACCTATATATAAAACCTGAAACTATAAAATTTCTAGAAGAAAACACAGGAAAAAAATCTTTGTCACCTTTGGTTAGGCAAAGATTTCTTAGATACAACACCAAAAGCACATTCCATAAAAGAATGAACTGATAAATTGGACTTGATCAAAAATTAAAACTTGTCCTCTTTAAAAGAGACTGTTAAGAGAATGAAAAGACAAGCCACAGACTGGGAGAAATATTTGAAAATCATATACCTGATAAAGGACTTGTGTGCAGAATACAAGAAGCACTATTGAAACTCAATAATAAGAAAAAAATCTAATAGTGAAATGGGTAACAGTTTTGAACAGATACCTAATGAAAGAAGATATATGGCTAGCAAAGAAGATATATGGCATTTGTAGCACAGAAAAAGCAAGTGGCATAGAAAAATCTAATAGTGAAATGGGCAACAGTTTTGCACAGATATCTCATGAAAGAAGACATATAGCTAGCAAAGAAGATATACAGCATTTGTTGCATAGAAAAAGCAAGTAGCAAACAAAAAATTCAAAATGATGATCCATTAGGGAAAGTCAAGTTAAAACCACAGTGAAATGCCACTACATGCCTATTAGAATGGCCAAAATCAAAAGGACTGACAATAGCAAATCTTGGTAAGGATGTGAAGAAATTGAACTCTTGTATACTGGTGGGAATGTGAAATAGTACAGTCACTTTAGAAAACAGTTTTGCAGTTTCTTGGAAGGTTAAATGTATACCTACTTTATGATCCAGCCATTCTACTCCCAAGTATTAATCCAAGAAAATTGAAAGCAGATGTTAATACAAACACTGGTACATAATGTTGATAACAGCTTCATTTGTAATATCCCAAATTGGAAACAACCCCAATGACTATCATCAGGTGAATGAGTAAACGCATTGTGATGTATCCATACAATGCAGTACCCCTCAGCATTAAAAAGGAATGAAATGCTGATACACACAACAACATGAATGAATTTCAAAATAATTATGTGGAGTGAAAGAAGCTAGACAAAAAAAAAATAGCATATATGGTATGATTCCATTTCTATAAAAATCAAGGAAACTAATGAAAAGTGACAGAAAAGGGGCGGGGAGAGGGCAGGCCCAGTGAAACTTGTGGGTGATGGGTGTGTTCATTTCTTGATTGTGGTAATGATTTCACAGGTCTGTACACAGGTCAAAGTTATTGTACCCTTTAAATTTGTGTAGTTTATTTTATGTTGATTTTACTTCAATAAAACTTTTTTAAAAGACAATAATAATTTCATTCATTTATTCAGCAAAACTTTGTTCAGCAACTTCTCTGTTCCAGGCACTGTTGTAGGCACTAGCATTCAATAGTGATCAAACTGGACAAAATATAATAAAAATATTATCTGCATTTTATACATAAAATTATTTACTTAACCCCTGTAAGTCTCCAAATGAGACTTCTAACCATTGATTTTGGTTCTACCCCCTGAACCAACCAGAAAATTATTTAATTATGTTAAGGCTGTGATTATGTCCTAAGGCTTCTCTTTTCTAGGTTTCATAATAATTATGACCATGGTGATACAATTAATGATAACAGGTGTTATTATTTTTCTATTGCTGCTATAACAAATTACCACAAATGTAGGGGCTTAAAATAACACACATTTATTATCTTACAACTGTGTAGGTCCAAAGTCTGACATGGGTCTCACTGGGCTGAAATTAAGGTGTCGACAGGGTTGCATTCCTTCTGGAGGTTCTAGGGGAGAACTGCTTCCTTGCCTTTTTCCAGGTCCTTGGCTCTATTCTTCCCTCCCATCACTTCAATTCTGATTCCATCATCACATCTCCTCTCACTCTGACTCTGCTTCTTCCCTCTTAGAAGGACCCTCGTGATTGCACTGGGACCACCTGGATAATCGAGGCTAATCTTTTCAACTCAGGATCCTAAACTTAAGCACATCTTCAAAGTCCCTTTGCCAGATAAGGTAACATATTCACAGGTTCCAGGGATTAGACGTGGACACCTTTGGGAGCCATTATTCTGCCTACCACTGCAGTTAGCATTTTTGGATTCACATGTGCCAGGCATGCTGCCAAGGGCTTTACACGCATCATCCCACTGAATCATTCTGACAATCCTATGAGGTTGGTCCCATTGTCCCCATTATAGAGATGAGGACTCTCAGGCACAGAGAGATTAAGGAACTCCCCACATCACACAACTAATTTTTCCAGTTCTTACATCTTCTTTGTAAGTCATGCTTTTAAGAGGTTTTGGCTTTCTTGCTTTCATCTATGGATGGGCTAAAATTTGTTGCTATTAGAAAAAATTGATGAAACCAGGAGGGAGGACATCCCAGATTTTTAAAATCATATGAACAAAATAGTGGCAGCAGGAAAGCAAAAATGCATTTTTGAGGACCAGCAAGGAATCCAGAATGACAGGGCAAAGGGTGTGTTGGGGAGTAGTGAGAGAGAAGGCGGGAAACAGGGTCCTGAAGCCAGACTTCAACAGGCAAAGATGGGTCAAGGAGGAAGAAAGCCAATGCTGAGCGGGGTGACACATCGCAGGGGTGCTTAGACAAACCAATCCAAAAGGTTCTAGGTGAAAAGGAAGGGAGTGAAGAGGGAGAAATTACAGAACCTATGTTATAAAAGCTGTCAAACTCTTCTGAAAAACATAAAAAGACATGTTTTATGAATATATTGAGAGCTTATCATGCCCCTGAAATTTTAATCAAATGCTTTGCTGACTTTTTTTATTTGTAGCCTAAGAAAAATAATTTCCCACACAGAAGAATAAGGGGTAAGTATGGCCATATATATATAAAAGGAGAAATAGGACTACCTCATAATATAACATATCATCAAGCTACAATAATTAAAATAGTATACAATGAGTATAGTACTAAACAGATCAATGTAACAGAGTAGGAAGCTTAGAAACAGACTTAAACGAAAGCAAATATTTAGTAGATTGTAAAGGTAGTAATTCAAATTACAGGATAATAAATAATTAGTAAATGGTGTTGATGATTGGTTAATTTGAAAAAAACATGGGTTTCTACATTCATTAACCAAAACAAACTCAAAATTGATTAAATGATAAAATGTAAAAAAATAAAATATTTAAGAGAAATAGAAAAAATGTGAATTTGTTTAACCTCAAACTGAGGTTTTTAAATGTAAAACAAAAGGAAGAAACAGAAAGGAAATCAATAATACATTTGAACACACACCCACATACGATAATATTTCTAATATGTCAACACCATTAAAAACATCAAATAACAAACTGATAAATATACATAAATGTATATAACAAAAAAGTTAATATCCTTAAAATGTAAAGAACTTTTATCAAGAGAAACACTCCAATAGAAATCCAAGTAAGTGATCTGAACTAAGAATTCATAAGTAAATGCAAATAGCAATAAACATTAAAAAAAACTGGCTTCACATGTAATCAAATAATTAAATAATATGTTTTTGACCATCAAATTGATAAAAATTATTTTAATAATAATATCCATTTTTTTTAGGACAAACAGGCAATCTCATACAGTACTGCTGGAAATACATATCAGGTCAACCTTTTTTTTAACCTTAATTAAAAACACTTTATTGTTGAAAAAATGCTAATGATCACCGGAGTCTTCAGCAAGTCATAATCTTTTTGCTGGTGGATGGTCTTGCCTTGATTTGGGGGGTTTGGGGTCTTTTTAAAATAATTCCTATTTTTATTTTAGATTCAGGGGGTACATGTGCAGGTTTGTTACATGGGTATAATGCATGATACTGAGGTTTGGGGTACAAATGATCCCATCACTCAGGTAGTGAGCATAAGTACCCAATAGGTAGTTTTTCGGCCTTTGCCCCTATCCCTCTCTCTCCCCTCTAGTAGTCCTCAGTGTCAATTGTTCCTGTCTTTATGTCCATGTATACCCAATGGTTAGCTCCCACTTATAAGTGGGAACACGGAGTATTTGGTTTTCTGTTCCTGCATTAATTCTCAGGTTTAGGTAATCGCCTTCAGCCGCATCTATGCTACTGCAAAGGTCAGTTCAACCTTTCCGAAAGGACATTTGACAATTTGCATCAAAAGCCTGAAGAACATTCACATCTTTTGACCCAGAACTTCCACTTCCAGGAATTCACAGGAAATAACTAGAAAAGTGTACAAACAACCACGTATAGGAATGTTCAGTATCAGGGGGTATTATAATTTTTTTCAAATGGGAAAAATCTGAAGGCTCAGTAATATGAAACTTGATTATTGTAGTACATCTATAGGATGGAATACTAGGCAGACTTTAAAACCATGAAGAAGAAAAATAGTTAATGATGTCAGAAGATGTTGAAAATACCCAGAAAACTGAAAAAAATTAAGCCACTACACAGTACACAGAAGATGATCCCAAATGTTTTTGGCACACACGTATATATGTCTGTATATTAAGATATAAAGGACACATACCAAAATATCAATTTACTTCATCTACTGAAGTTCTCCAGGGTACATAACTGTAGGCAACACAACCATAAGAGTTAATACTACGTGAAAATTGAGAGGGCACAAAAAACCATATGTAATATTTTGGCCATTAAAGGCACACATAATTGAGAAGATTAAGATCATTGAAATATAGTTGTATTTCTGTCCTACAAAATGTCCTATGAATTTGTCTCTTCTTGTTTTAAATATTGCAATTTCCCTCCAGAATGGTCCAGTTTTATTTATTTCGCCCTTTCTGCTGACTCTCCAGTATAGTACATATTACAAAGTTTCATAAGGAAACAGCATCAGACCAAAAGAAAGAGACGCTTTCCAAAAACTATTTTACTAGCAAAATCTTCCAGAGTTCTCTCAAGTTGAAATTCTTCATTATGAATCAAAAAGAGAGGCTTCAAATGATCAATAGAATTAGATTATCAAGTGAATTCATTTGAATAGATAATCTTTAGGATATTTTTTTGCTTTCTACTATTTTTTCATGTTCCTAACAAATATATGCAGATGTAACTCAGTTTAAACTAGAAATCAAAGTTCTGTATTACTACAAAAATACTTTTTGATTACAGGAACCCTATCTTCCTTTAAAAACGTTTAAAACACTCATTAGCCTGTCTTTAGCTTCAGCTAATACAATACATAATGACTTTCATTTATTATTACTACTGTATAATCATTGTTATTTCAAAGTCATGCATGCCTATTGCAACCTGTCAAACAACCCAAAGGAATATTAAGCATTGATAATCTTCCTCCCTTCATCCAGATCCCACTCTCCTGAGGAACTCAGGTTAACTGTTTGACTATTATCCTTTGGCACCCTCTAATCTACTTGTTTTAGTTTGAGAAAAGCAAAAGTTATGCCCATTAGCAAAATTTATTCTGGTTTTGCAAAGTATTACTCTATATATGAAAAAATCTGTTGAAATAAATCAAAAGTAATTCAAAACCTTTAACCATTCCAATTCTGATGGAGGAAATCTTTTCCATAAATTTGGGCTAAAATTTAACCAACTCAAATTGACCCATAGAGATAACTCAGGTGTTTTTTTTTCTCTCTCTAATATATCTAATTCATTTTAGACAATGAATTTCCTTTGTAGAAATATCATTCATACAGTATGTTTTTAGTATTACACATACAGAAAAAAATCATTTAAATTGGTTCTTTTCTCTCATAAAATTAACCTGTCCTCTCTGTTCTAAGATTACCTCAATTCTTGGTGTTCCATAATTAACTTTTCTCTCCATCTTTTCCTTTTTTTTCCCTTGTCCCAAACTTTTCCAGACAGATTTCCAGACTCACTTTCTTACTCTTCCACTTCTGGCTTTCAGAGCCCATCATATGCTTTGCCCTTTATTCAATGCAGTTCTATTTCTGATTCTATTCCATTCTAGGATGGGCCTATCCTGGTTTAAAACACTCATTTTTTAGTGTTTAGTGTTAGTCCAGGAGACCTGGACTCAGCAGACTTTTATTGATAGTGAAGTTGGATGTTGGTGAGCTCACTAGCCACTGTCTCTTTTTTCCCATCCATAAAAACAAGAATCACATTTATCCACTCAGAAAGTTGTTGTGAGGCTTACATAAAATAGAGTCCAGAAGAGCTGTAAATGGAAAGCCACCCTGTCCTCTCCACCATCAATTTGTATAGTGGCTAAGAGCACATGCTTTCAAGTGACTAGCTCCTTCTTTTTTCAGTTGTGTGATCTTGGGCACAATCTTATATTCTCTGTGCCTCAATTTCCTCATCTGCAAGTTAGAGATAAAGAAGTATCTACCACGTATGGTTGTCGTAGGAGTAAATGCGATGTGGTCTGAAAAGCACTTAGTATATACTACATGATCAAGAAATGTTTGCTACCCTATATCTTATATCACTTCAGACTTTCACTTGTATAATAATTCCAAAACTAAAATATTCTCCCATCTCTCTTCTTTGAAACATTCAACATTTTCCCATTGTAATTCGTCTTTCATGGATGTGCCCTTTTGGGGAACCTTAGCAATAATATTTTCTCATAATTAAAGAAATTTTTCATGAGAAAGCAGCCAAACTGATAGGCTCTGAGATGCCAAACTCTTTCATTAGAGGTTTTTTATGATAACTTACGTGGAAATTTCACCAAGTCCTTAGCACAAATACTTTTTCATGCCATTCACAAAAGTAATTTGCACAAGCAATGACTATATGGAGAGAACCACTGAATTAAATATCGGGGTCATTTAAGTAATTAGCATTCTTCAAGTGGCATCTTTGCTCCATCCCTTTCCATATGTGACCTTCAGCAGCTTACCCTCTTTGGATCTCCATTTCCTCATCTATTTAAAAAGTCTGGATAATAATATATACCTCATAAGCAGAAGTGAAGATGAAAGAGTGAAAAGTGCTGAATATCAGCTCTGAGTAGAATTTGATAGGTTAAGGATGTTAGCCATGCAACAATCATTAAGAACAATAGCTAAAAAGACAATAGATGAAGTAAAATGGAGAGTAAAAAATGCTTTTATTAACTGAAAAGACAGAAGATGCAAGTAATGAAGGAATAAAACCTAGATGAGACAAATAAGAATGAAAAATGGTAGATTTAAGCTCAGTCATATCTATAATTACACAAATATAAATGTTTAAACACTCCAATTAAAAAGAAGAAATTGTCAGACTGGATAAAACTGCAAGACTCGCCAGGTGTGGTGGCTTACACCTATAATCCTAGAACTTTGGGAGGCCAAGGCAGGCGGATCACTCGAGGTCAGGAGTTCGAGACCAGCCTGGCCAACATGGTGAAACCCTGTCTCTACTAAAGAAAACACAAAAATACAAAAATTAGCCAGGCATGGTGGCATAAGCCTGTAATCCCAGCTACTTGGGAGGCTGAGGCAGGAGAATCACTTGAACCCAGGAGGCAGAGGATGCAGTGAGCCAAGATTGTGCCATTGCACTCCAGCCTGGGAGACAGAGCGAGACTCCATTAAAAAAAAAAACAAAAAAAAAAACAGCAGACTCTAGAAGACTGTTGATAAGAGACATGCTTTATAAATATTTACTTAGATAGCTAGAAAGTTAAAGAGTAGACAAAAATACACCTGCAAACAATAAGCATAAGAAAGCAAGGCCAGGGGCAGTGGCTTATGCCTATAATCCCAGCATTTTGGGAGGCCGAGGCGGGTAGATCACCTGAGGTCAGGAGTTCAAGACCAGCTGGCCAACATGGCAAAACCCCATCTCTACTAAAAATACAAAAATTAGCTGGGCATGGTGGTGCGTGCCTGTAGTCCCAGCTACTCAGGAAGCTGAGGCAAGAAAATCGCTTGAACCCGGGAGGTGGAGGTTGCAGTGAGCCGAGATCAGGCCACTGCACTCCAGCCTGGGTGAAAGAGCAAGACTCCATTCTTGAAAAAAATTTTAAAAAAGAAAAAAAAAAAAGAAAGCAAGTAGAGCAGGTACATGTCACAATAAGGAGTGTTAGCATAATTTTATAATCATGCAAGAGTCAATTTACCAGGAAGAACATTCATAAATGTGTATGCATCTAATAAAAAAACTAGAATTATTTGAAGGAAACCTAAGAAAACTAATGGAATAAATAGAAAAATGCACAATCATAATTGGATATTTAAAAATCCCTCTCTCAATAATAGACAAAATAAATAGACAAAAAACAAGAATCTAGAACAGCCTTCATGAACTGGATTTGTGGGAGAAATTTAAGCACTTGGAAAATAATTTGAATGACTTTTTTTTTCAATTTTCCCCAAAGATGGACATAGCTAGCACCATTCTAGATCCATACAATGCACATCTTAGGGCACTGGGGCTTAATTATCTGCAGGAGCCCAGTTGCAAAGGGTTGGTAGAGAAAATATGAAAACCACTATCTATTAACTTAACCTAATTGGCACTTATAGAACATTTATACCTAAAAATGGATTGGGGTGGTATGAATAGTTATGTGGTTTTAAACACTTTCACAAACACACCAAACTATACCCTTAAAATGAGTGCATTTTATTACATGTAAATTACATCTTGGAACACCTCATTGGTGGGGAGGATTGAGATTCCACTACACATCCACTAGAATGTCTGAAATTAGAGTCTGATCAGTTCTGGTGAGGATGGAAAACAACTAAAACTTTCATGTACTGTAAATAAGAATGCAAAATGGTATAGGCACTTTGGAAAACTGTTTAGGAGTTTCTAATAAAACTAAACATTAGCCTACCCTATAACCTCCAAGGTATACTCCTAGGTACATACTCAAGAGAAATGTTTCCACAGGTTCACAAAATATGTTCAAGAATGTTCATAGCAGTTGTATTCACAATAGCTTTAAAAAAGTCCCAAATATCCACCAACAAGTGAAGGGATAAACAAATTATGATATATTTCTATTGTAGAATATTGCACAGTAATTTTTAAAACTCTCAATATGCACAATAACATGAATGTTTAGCAAAGCATTATATTGAGCAAAAGAAGACAGACACAAAATTATTCCCTTTCTATGCTGTCCAAAGACAGGCAGAGCCACTCTGTGGTGATAGAAGCCAGAATAACGGTTGCCTCTGGGAATGGGAGATTGACTAGGAGAAGTGGTATGAATGAGGATCCCTACTGATAGAAGTGTTCTTTTTTGATCTGGCCTGATCTGGGTGGTTACAAGGTGTACATCCACCAAACTGTATAAGTGAGACTTGTTTCCTTTTCTGTATGTTAATTACATCTCAGCATTTTTAAAAGATTAAATGGTATAATTAAGTTAAATCACAGAATCAGTCTGACAGGTGGATGATGTTTAATACATTATAGCTATTATTGTTATTCAACTTATATACCTGTTACTAACATCTGCTAAGCACGTGTAACTGCACACACTTGGAAAAATAAGCTAAAAAAAGTTTAAAAAGGAACGCACACGTGATTTGAAAAGTGCATTTGTGAAAGAGTGGGAGAAATTTGAGCACAATTTATCTAAGGTAAGGCACTGGAAGAAACACAAAACTCATAAAGCCTGTGTCCTATAAATGTCTTGATGAACTTCAGAAAATGTTCATAAATTATACAGCCATTGGAGTTTTGTCACTAATGTCATTTGTTTTCAAAGCCTTCAATTTAGTAAGCAACAATTGTAGCATGGTGCTTTTTTATAAACATTTTAAAGGCACTAGGGGAAAAAAGAGATTTATATTAAGAAAATAAATGGGTTAAGATTTAGGTCAAAATCCCAAAATGATTTGTATTTGTCCTTAATTTGCTCCATGAAAAAGGCTGCTTTGAGAATCTCGGCATTCTCTTAGGATTCCCTTGCTCCCTGCCTCTTTGTGAGAATACAGGCTGGTTTAGCAATGGAGGAGTGAGTCCTTTCTGGGAAAAAGAACAAGAAAAGATTTTTCTTGTAGGCACAGGCCTTATAAACACAGCCTCGGGTATAGAAGGGAGACAAATGTGCTATGGTTTGAATGTACGCTCCCGAACTCACGTTGAAATTTAACTGTCATTGTGACTATACTAAGAAGCGGCACCTTAAAGAGGTGATTGCCCTTATGAACGAATGAATGTCCTTATCACAGGTGTGGGTTAGTTAGTGGGGAGTGGGCTTCTGATAAAAGGATGAGTTCAGCTAATTTTTTCTCACTGTCTCGAAAGCTTGCTTGCCAATGCACTCTGCTGTTTTAAAACCTTTAAAAGGTTACTCTGACAATATAGTTAGCTACATGTAAGCCAACACAGAACCAACAAGAGGTTCTAGAGAACCTTTATTATTCCCTTTTGCTTAAATAATGAGTTGTCCTAGAGTAGTCAAATTCATGAAGACATTAAGTAGAATGGTGGTTTGGTTGCCAGGCGCAGGAAGATAGGGAGAGATGCAGGGTTAATGTTTAATAGTTACAGAGTGAGTTCTAGAGATGGATGGTCACCATGGTTGCACAACAGCAAGTGTGTTGTTAACACCACAAACTATACACTTAAAAAATGGTTAAGATGGCACATATTATGTTATGTGCATTTTGCCACAATTAAAAATATTTTAAAAAAGATAACGACTTAGGGAAAACATATAAATAAATCTTCCATTGTTTTATTAATAAATTGTTAAATGAGTTAATAGATGATCAGGGGTCTTTCTAATACATCTTACTAGCTCTTGGCAAACTTTATTTTCTGCTGTAGTTAAGACTTTAAAATTTCACTTAATATTTACGGATGACAAATAATGAAATTATAAGAATGCAACTGTGCAATCAACTTATAGTCAACCAGTAGAACTAGTTAATGTTTCTCCATATCATAAAGTGCTAATAAAGTAAAATCTATAACCAAAGTAAAATTTAATCACTTTATAAATGAACTTCACATTGTAGATTTCCTGCAGCAATCGAAAATTTAAAATCTAAAGGGTTCATAGTTTGCATCTTTTGTACAGTGTTGCAAAAGCACTAGCTTTGTGATTCCTAATGGTTTCTCTATATCTGTTTAATCAATACTCTTTATAACCATTAAACCAAAAGGTAAGTTCAGTGAATATGATTTTAATATTAATACATTACATTTGCAATGGAGTGCTATTATCTTTGAAAGTGTTTTTACATTGATTTTCTCTTCCTGTATCCACATCTCACTTAACAACATCACTATCCACCCACATGTCTGAGCCGGAAACTTAAATAATTCTTAAGTCTTCTTCATCTCCAAGTTCTAATCACTGTATTTCCCAATCCCTCTTGCTCTCCACTGCCACAGTTTCGGCTCCACTGTGTCTCAATGTGGAAGTCTCCTTAACCTCCCATGCCTCACCGTATTCTACTCCTACCTTCCACATTGCTGGAGTGCTTTATAAACACAAATCTGAGAGGGCTTTTATATCACCAAAAATACCAAATTACTCTCTATTGTTAACAGAGAATAAAATCTAAAGTTCCTACTATGGCCTGTTCACCAACCCATTCTCAGCTACCCCTTCCCCAGGAAAATCTTGTCATGCATAGAACTACTACTTGTCCATATCTGATTATGCCAGCTTTACAAGTCTATTCCTTTGGACCCACTGAACCCTTTCCCTAGAAGAATCTCCCAAACCCCTACCACAATTTTCTGGCATATGACATCATTCAAGGCCCAGAAAAAGAAGCTATTTAGGCAGCTGCCATGGACAATTCTACATAGAACATGCTAGAGGAGAAAAAAAAAATCCTAAATTCCAGCATCATACATATCCGCACTATAGTAGATTAGGAACAGCAGAAGCTTGAACTCTAAACATACAGTTGATGAAGGCTCTGTATTTAAAAACCTGAGCTTGGAACAATTGCAGAAAAACAGTAATAACAACCCTGATGTCTGTAAGCAAACAGCCAGGGGTAGGTGGATCATTATAGGATGTCAACCAGGTAGGAATTGAAGACAAGGTCAACAATGTTACAGAATGAGGATGATGCAAGAAGAGAACCAGTACCACAGCTGTGACTTCTTCCTTACCCCACTGGTGCTTTTTTGTGGAAGAAGAAACAGAATGAACTGAGATGATAAATCCTGGCCCATCTGCTGCTTGTGTCCCTCCTCCTTGCTCACCTACAGCAGACATCACTCATTAATCCCGGCATTCTTTCCACAGCACTCTTCTCATCCCAGCACCCATATCTGTGCAGCCACAGCCCATGGATCAGAGTTGATGTATGCACACGTGTGTACACACACACGTGTGTACCACACACATCCACACTCATCTGTCACTTTGTTCCTGAGGTCTCAGTATTCACCTCAGAGTCCCTACCCAGACACCCTTCTGTTCAGTGTTTCTCAGTGGTTACCAAGTAAGCATAATGGAAAAAGAAGAGTAAGTGTGTATCCCAAGGGCCTTTGGGTGTAGCCTACACCCATGACACAGGGAGTTTATTTAAAGTTTCACATTTTAAAACTATGTGTGCTTTTACTCCTTGATGCATACATTTATTTGTAATAAAACAGTGTTTTGAATGGCTTACTACTGGAGAAAATGGACTTTGTGTAGTCTGGCTCCAAGTGCCCCTTGGTTCGTAGCCAGGTGTCCGCATACCTGTTTGAGATGCACAGTCTGTCCAACTCTGACAGCCATATGCACTCTCAGAGAAGCAGCCACTTTGATGAGACTGATTTTGCTTGAGAACCAGGAATAATCTGGAGGCTTAAAGATAAATGCAAATGAAGAGCTCTGTACCCCTTCATCACCATTCTAGAAACCTAGTGTCTGAGAGGAAAAACAAAATTCCTAATTGAAAAAGTCAAAAAGGGAGAAATAACAGTTTTAAGTGGTGCTGTCCCTCTCTGAATAGCCTTCCCTATGCTTCATCTTGCTAATTTCTCATGCTTTAAAACTCACTTCCAGAACCTTTTCCAGTAAAAAGCTTTTTCTGACTTTCTCATCTGCTTAGATGCTTGATGTAGATCATGTACATACTTCTATCGTATTTCTTCACATAAAATATCATTGTTTCTTTATCTCCTTCATTAGACTATAACTTTCTTAAACCTTTATATCCACAAACATGTAGCATAATAGTATCTGGCAGGTAAGTGTATAACAATGAAAAATAGTCCCTATCTCTTTAGTATTGTTCCCCATAAGCCCTACATTATACAATATTTTTATCTACCAATAGTATTTTAAAGTACATAATGATTAACCAATGTTTCCATTTGACTAATAAAAGATGTTTTATCTGAGCATGTCCATAAACATAATAAATGGAAAATCCTTTTAAGTGTTAAAATTACTTGTTAATTTAGATTGTTGCTGTTTTGTTTTGCTCATGTGGGCTCATACAAGTTTTAGCTAAAGGTGTAAAACCCCAATATTTAAAATGTGTGTCATTTTCTAGTCATTCACAGGACTTGGTGCAAAACAATTATCTGCTTTCTATCATAAAATCATGGAATCCTGACAAAAGGAATACAAAGAACATTTGAAGTGATCAAGTTCGACTTCCCACTTAAAAAATATGCCTCCTTCTAAACCTCCCTGGTAAGTGATCATGAAGTCTCTGCTTGGACCCTTCCAGTGATGGAGAACGCCCTGCTTCATGCTACATGCTTTTTGGAATAGCTCTAACACCTGAACCCACAGCCTTTCCTGCATATGAAGAGACTGCAGAGGAAGCTGGCACAGATTGCCCAGCCCAGCAGTCAGGAAGTGGGCTCAGGGCCCGAATTTGTTTACAAATCCCACGTGAAGACTTTTAGCCAGGCCACTCTGCTGGAGACCTGAAATAATTTTTCTCACCAGGCCCAAACCTGCTTCTAAGCCCCACTTCATTAGAGCCTCTTTCATCTTAGCAACCACTTTCATCTTTCATCTGAGTAATGGCTCAGATTTTGAAGGCCTAGAGTTGAAGAGACCATAAAGTCTTCCTCTCCACAAACTAATGAAACATCAATTCACCATTATTATGCCTTTTATCTACAGAAAAGTAGGATCTAACTTGTAATGGTCACCACCTGAATGTAGCATCCCCTTTTTGAGGGCAGAGCATGCAGGTGAACTGCTAGGTGCTAAGAAGGAAGGGTTGTTAATGGCAATTGTGTCAAATTAATCTCAGCACAAACTACTGCATTTTATTATATAAATTCTCAAGATAATTGAATGCTATATCAAGGACATTCATCCAATTAATTTTTAAAATGTTAACAGAATTCCTTTATCATCAGATAGTTTTAATCATAACTGTCAAGAATTGTTTTATTTTTTAAGTTAGCATGCTAGAGTTTTAAAAGAAATTCAAAGTGATATAACATATGAAGGTTTTTGCTGATTATTCTTATAACTCATATAAATAGGAGCAAGAATTTACACTGTAATTGATTTAAGATTGGCCATATGAGTCATACATAAAAGATCCAAATCCTGCTTCTAAAGGCTTTGAATAGTCATTGATTCTGTGAACTTTGAAAGTTTTTGAAAATGTGCTATGATCCCAATATGGTATTAAGACTATTTTATGTAACCAAAGAAAAAAATACACCACTAAATTATAAAACTCTGGTGCTTATATGCTTGGCTGTCTGCAAGGAATTATAGAGACTATTGGAGACACAACCTCTACCTCAAGGGAATTTCTGCCTAGACAAGGAAATCAAACATTAATTCACTTGATACAGTACGAAGTCCATGTACACAAATCGTCACTGATGAAAGGATAGGAAGGACTCCAAATCCTTAGCTATCTATTTCAATAGTCCCCACCCCCCCGGGAAGAATATGTGGTTTACTTTCCTGAAAATGCACATTTGTTACCAGCTATAACTTGAACCCCAATATCTCATCCCCCTCATCAACTTAGCAGGAAGTTGCTGGAAGACTCCTTTTCTATATGTAGTTTATGGCCTTGGTTGGAAACAATAGAATTATGCAAATTAGTTGTCACCCCTACTTAGATTAACCAAATCATAGTTCAATACCCTGCTATATATTCAATAGGCCATTAGATCATAAAGCTAATCTAAGAAGGTATATAAAGTGTTTATCACAGTACCTGCCTGCCTAGCACTAGGTGCTAAATACATGTCAACTTCTTTCTCTTTTATCTATTTCCTCTCTTTTCCTTAACTACTCCCTGTTCCCCAAAGTATAGAGTACATTTTCATATTTGAGCATGGTAAAAGAAAAACCAATTAACTCCCTGATATTGCTATCTAAACACTGCATTTGCAAATCTCCAGGCTAGTCATGCATAAGAGAAAAAGTATATAAATACACCCCTATATCTGAGGGAAAACCCTCAGCTAAATTCTTCTCCATTTAGATAAAGTTAATATGAGTCTTTTGGAAAATCCCCATACTGAGGAAGGAACATTTCAGCCCACAGGCCTGACTCAGCCCACTGATTGATTTCATTCAGCTGGGGGTGAGAAAGCTTTGGGTGGCCCTGTACAGAACCCCAAGAATGGCTCCTACTCCTGAGCCCCAGTGGCCTGCTGGAGTCACCCCACTTATAGAAGTTTCTCCTGGTTTAAGGATCTAAGCAATCATAAACATGTGAATTACAATTTCTAAGGGAAGTAAAGCCAAGAACTCCCACTCTCACTTACTCCAGGTTCTAGAATTTAGCCAAGTCTTCTTAACTACTTCTCTTTTCCTCTTCTTCATAAATCCATTCCTTTTTTTACTTTTGCTTCCTCAAAGGGCTTCCCCCTCTCTGTGTACTTCTCTGTTAACTCTCTTTCCTGTTTTCTGAATTCCTCCACTTCCTCTTCCTTTTTGTCTATTTGTGTCCATTCCAGGGGCCAAGCCTCTCCTTTCACCGCCACCTCTTCCCAGCCCCATTGCTCCTCTCTTCACCCTCACTTCTGCTTCTGGTGTCTCTTCTCCTGTCTCTTCAGTTGACACTCATTACTTTCTTCCTCTTTGCAAAGTAAAGCTGAATTCCATGTCCTGGCTTTGTTGTCTTGTAGGACACTTCTATTTTCCCTTATGTTATACAGGTGCTCCTCAACTTATAATGGGGTTACATCCTCATAAACCAGTCATAAATTAAAAATATCATATGTTGAAAACACAATGTATCTCAAACATTATAGCTTAGCCTCATCTATCTGAAATATGCTCAGAACATTTACATTAGTCTGCAGTTAGGAAAAATAATCTAACACAAAGCCTATTTTATAATAAAGTGTGGAAGACCTCATGTAATTTATTGAGTACTGTGCTGAAAGTGAAAGACAGAATGGTTGTATGGGTACACAAAGTACAGGTTCTACTGAATGCATATTGCTTTTGCACCATTGTAAAGTTAAAAATCTTAAGCTATTTTAAATTGAGGACCATATACATTTCGAAGACAGAAAGCCAGGGAGTATAATAAAGAGAGCATGAGACTCAGGTGTCAGAGATATGGCTTTGGCCTTGCTCAGATTCTACAAATGTAAAAATGGGGGTCACTCAATAAATGACGTCAGTGTTCCATCCATTCTAAACCACTTGAAGGAGGTTAGTGGTTATTATGCAAATAACAATAATTGATAGAGAATACAATAAAAATAGCAAATATTTATACAGTCCTTACTATGTCTCAAACACTGTTCCAAGCACTTCAAAGAAGCTCACTGAATCCTCAAACCATCACATGGGCACTAAGAATGTGCAAAGGGGGTGGGATCATGGGTAGGTTTTTTTCTCTTGCAAAAGTTTCTTTTATCACTGTTTTTACAATTTTAAAACAAGGCTGTGGAGTTGAGCATTTCCATTTCACTAAGAAAGTTGACTGAATTTTCAGTTTTATTTATATACAGTTGTCTACTGATTGTTTTCCCCCTGCAGTGCAGGGTCATTCATAGAAAAAACAAAAACAAAAAAACTCCAGGCTGTTGTGATCAACCTATGTACCAACTTTCCCTTTTCTAAACAGAAAATAATGCTTCCAAAGATTCATATTGACGTGATAATACATGGAGCATATCATTCAATATCTTTCAATAAACGTTGTGTGACATTTTCACACAAATGATCACAGTGGAAACATAATCATTATTGTTAGGAAACACAATCATTATGTGTTAAATAATACACTTAAAGGTTGACCTTGATGTCTTCTGTCTGGCAGAATGGCAGAGAATTTCATTTTAACAGATTGTTAAAGACTCCTTTTAGAAACCAATGCTCCTGGGAGTTATTATACCACATAGGGGTTAAATAAGCACAGAGCAGATTACTATACTTAAAAAATAAAAGCAACACAAAGAGCCTTAACAGCACATTCACTTTCAAAACAGGGGATGTCTGGGGCTTATTTCTCTAGAAAGTATATTACTTCTCTTCTTAAAAATATGATTTTTTTTTGTTCCTTAATGTTATTCATAAGAATAAACCAATTTGGCCAGGCGTGGTGGCTCACGCCTGTAATCCCAGCACTTTGGGAGGCCAAGGCGGACAGATCACAAGGTCAAAAGATCGAGACCATCCTCACCAACATGGTGAAACCCTGTCTTTACTAAATACAAAAAATTAGCTGGGTGTGGTGGCAAGCGCCTGTAGTCCCAGCTATTCGGGAGGCTGAGGCAAGGGAATCGCTTGAACCTGGGAGGTGGAGGTTGCAGTGAGCCAAGATTGTGCCACTGAACTCCAGCCTGGCAACAGAGCAAGACACAGTCTCAAAAAAAAAAAAAAAAAAGAATAAACCAATTCTTATTTCTGAGAATTGATATGCAAACATCCAAACTGTAAACAGAACTGCTCGGTTTTAAAATACTGTACAATTTCTAGAAAGCAGTATTAGGCATTTGCTCTTTCCAGACTTTTGGTAAAATAGGAACAGTTCTCTAACACCACGGATTCAATTTAAAATAAACTCACAGAAGTTCAATTCTGGTAATTCAAACATAATGGGCTGCAATTTACTCTTGTATTATCTATAATAAAAGGTTTGCTAAACAAATTGATAGTATAGTAAGTAGTGGCCACTCCAAATTTTCTACGTATAATGGCACATAGGGGCTACAATCTAGTTAGAGAAGTCAGTTGACTTATTTTGAAGCTGCATTTGCATGAGAAGCACTCTGATTTTACTTTGATGGTATGTTCATATATAAATAAAAGTAGAGCAGACTTTTTAAAATATCATATGCACACTTTACATAAAATTGAGAAAAAAACTGATTTTCCACATTGAAGAATACATATTTATTTAGGGTGGCATTAGATGACTGATGGAGATTTTTAGAGGGAGAATTAACATCATCTCCTAGTCCCACCCCCAAGCATTTCCTAATAATAATGGTAAAAGACTGTTGCCTAATCTACTTAAAATACCATTTGGTTCCAAAAACGTTGGCAGCGACTGAAGTGTACACAGACTCAGTAAATACACAAATGATGATGCATCACTTATCTGGGCAATGAAGATTCACATAGACCCATCATTAAGCCCTTCTCAGAGGCTGAGATTAGCTACTGTCTACTGGTAGAGCCATGACTGGAATCCAATATGGAATCTCCAAATCCTCTCTCTTTCTCTCATTTCTCCATAGCCAATCTGGAAAGAGTATGGCTTAGTAATCCTCTGAGAGCCACAAATTCAGTTAGAGTATATTCTTGAAATTAATACAACAAAATTTATGGAATGCAGATCTTTTGCCTGATTTAGACTGCTCTTCCTCATAGTCTGACCATATTGTTATTTTACTGAATTTATTTATATATTCTTAGTATGTATTTGTGTCATCTATCCAACTTCATACTTTGTGTCTGTGTACATATATATATTAAACGCTTAATAAATATTTGTTGAATAAAGGATGATTGAGTGAGATTTTATTGAACCATGAAACTATTGCCCCTGTGTAAACAGTGATCTCTATGAGAGTATCTGGAATCATTGATTTCTAAGAGTTAGAAAGTTATTTCATTTCCCCATCCATAAAAGACTTCTGAAAAATTCCAGAATTTGGGGGTGTTTGTACAGATTTTCCAGTGGGGGTCTGTGATCATGAAACGATTTTTTAAATTACTAATCTAATGTATCTCCTCTATTATAACCCCTCTGTCACAGGCATGATCAACCCAACTCTGCTACATATCTCCAGTAACAAAAAACTCACTACCATATGAGGAAGTCTAGGCTATTTTCATAGCTCTGATGAATACTGAGCTCTAATTCTCTCCCTGTAACTTCTGACTGACCACAGATCCATCCGCCAGTCACATAAACATGCCCAGACCCTATGCCACTTGACAACCCTTCATGTATTTTTAGACAGCTGTCATAACCCATCCTATCTTCTTTTAAGCAGTCTGTAAATCCTCAGCTCTTTCAACCAGAGTCAAGATTTCTACTATGACTTCTACCCCGGCATTCAGTGCACCCAGAACTCTGCCCAGACCTTCACATGTTCCAACCTTCCCATCTTAAGGGTTGAAACAAGTATTCCCAGCTCTCTCCTACTTGTTTTGGGCATCTCGAGTTAACGAGACTTAACAGTTATCATGTCAGGGACAGCTGCTTCACTCTACTGACTTAAAGTGAACTTAAAGTTAACAAAAAATCCCTGTTTTTTCTCTATTTATGTTGCAGTTCCACCATGCATGGCCCTCCCATTCTATCCATACAGTTAGTTTGGGGATTCTATTGCAGGGTTTTGCAATTATCCCTATTAAACTTTTACTTTTTTTTTTTTTTTTTTTGAGAGGGAGTCTTGCTCTGTCGCCCAGGCTGGAGTGCAGAAGTGTAATCTCGGCTCACTGCAACCTCCGCCTCCTGGGTTCAAGCCATTCTCCTGCTTCAGCCTCACAAGTAGCTGGGACTATAGGCATGAGCCACCACCTCCGGCTAATTTTTGTATTTTTAGTAGAGACGAGGTTTCCCTATGTTGGCTGGTCTTGAACTCCTGACCTCAGGTGATCCGCCCACCTCGGCCTCCCAAAGTGCAGGATTACAGGCGTGAGCCACCACACCCAGCCAAACTTTTTAACTTTTTAAATGCAATTAATTGTTGCTTTTGGCTGAGGTTCTTAAGGATTCTCAAGTTCTGTCAACTCAAGTTTTAGCCACCGTCTTCCCCATTCAGATTTATGCTCACTGTAGTTCAGATAGGTTTTCATGCAAGCTAATTCCTTATTTAATGTGCAAATTTTACTGCACAGATCATAAAATAGATGCTGTGGCCAGGCGCGGTGGCTCACACCTGTAATCCCAGCACTTTGGGAAGCCAAGGCGGGCAGATCATAAGGTCAGGAGATCAAGACCATCCTAGGCAACATGATGAAACCCCATCTCTACTAAAAACACAAAAATTAGCTGGGTGTGGTGGCACCTGCCTGTAATCCCAGCTACTCGGGAGGCTGAGGCATGAGAATCGCTTGAACCCAGGAGGTGGAGGCTGCAGTGAGCCGAGATCATGCCACTGCACTCCAGCCTGGAGACAGAGCAAGACTGCGTCTCAAAAAAAAAAAAAAAAAAAAAAAAATAGATGCTGCACAAGAAAAGCCTAAAATAGGCAACAGAGTGAAATAATTAAGAGCATGAACCCTAGATCCAGACTGCCAAGGTTCATCAAATCTGGATGCTTCACTTACTAGCTATATGATCATAGGTAAGTCACTCAATCTCTCTCTATCTCAGTTTGCTTACTTGTAAAATGGGGAAAATAACCATACCTACTTTATTGAGATTAAGGATAGGATTAAATGTAAACAGCCCAGAACACATTGTAAGTGTTATAGAAATGCTTGTTTCATAAGTAACTTAGCTTATGTGTGCATATAAGTACAGATCAGAAATCAGTAAGTACTGTAAATGTGGAAAACATCTCAACAACTAAAAGTAGTACTATATGGTTATTTTCCCTGAAGCCCCCATCTGGACCAATATGGCTTAGATTTTGTGCATTTAGCAAACATGAGGCAATATACCTGTCAGTCTGTTTTCACTGTACCCTATTAATATGAATACTCAATGAACATTTGAAAAAGGGAACATGTCGTCTAAACATTCCTGTGCTACAGAGAACAGGGATTTTATTATTTATCCCCTTTTATTTTCTGTTTTCTTTCTGTTGTTGAGATTGGTCATTTCTATTGTTTCTCTTCAAATTCACTAACATTTTCTTCTTTCCTCTTCACTCTGCTGTCGAGCCCACCTACTGAGGCTTTTATAAAAATTATCTCGATTACTGTGTTTCTTCTAAAATTTCCATTTAGTTCTTTATAGCTTTTATTTCTTTGGTGAGACTTTCTTTTTCTTTGCTGGGACTTTCTATTTCTTTGCTGGGGACTCTCTATTTTATTATTTATTTCAAGTGTGTTTGTAATTGTTTGTTGAATAATTTTTGTGATGGCTACATTAAAATCCTTCTCAGATAATTCTACCATCTGTGTTAATATGGTGTCGATTGTCTTTTGTCATTCAAGTTCATATCCTACTGGTTCTTGTAATTTTCCATTAAAATCTGGACAGTTTTGGTATTATGTCTTGAGACTATATATATTGCTTAAATAGAAGTCCAGGTTTTCCACTCAGTCTCATCACTGAGCAGTGATGAAACTCCTGACTCTCCTCTAGGCTTCCTCTAACACCACATTAGCTGGCAGGTGAATTAAGTGCCAAAGCCTTACTAGTGCTGGGTGTCTCTTACATCCTCAGAAAGGTGGAAGTCTAGGCTCCCTCCTTGGCTTTTGTGGTGGGCATGGAGGTGGGACCTCAGTTTATTTCATGGTGTTTGGCTGGATACAGTGATTACTGTCTAAAAGTTTTCTATCCTGCTAGGATGCCGTTTTCTGGTCCTTTCGCTAGAAACAGCAGGCTTTTTTTGTGGGTGTTTTTTGTCTGTGCCCATTGGCATTTCCTGCTTGTTGGCTTCTCCAGTATCCAGCCTGAGATATAGGATGAAAACAGAAAACCCCGAGAACTCACTGCTGTGTCCTTCCACAGGTCCCATGATCTCTAGTAAGACTGTCTTCTTCTCTTCATTCACCTTTCAGAGTCCCTTTCTATTTATTTTATATGCAATGTCCAGGATTTTTAGCTGTATTTAGCAGAAGGGATAGAGACTCCATCTTTCTAGAGCAATCATGTTTTTATATAAGACTTTAATCTACTGAGTTATAAGACTAGCCTGCAGATTCCCACAAGCCCACAGGGCCAGTTGATTTAGCCCTGTACTGGCGGGTAGCAGGAGCTAGCTTTCGCTGTGCTGCCTTCTCTGGTAAGAGAAGCAGCCTCTTCCAGACCAACTCCCACACATACCTGGGACAGCTTCCTAGGCTTATTGCCCTTCCACTGAATAGGAGAATCAGAATAGATTCCATCTGCTGTCCTCCCTCATTCCAGCTGGTCCCCACGGGCACACCTCAGCCCTGT
This sequence comes from Homo sapiens, assembly GCF_000001405.40. Classification (NCBI taxonomy): domain Eukaryota; kingdom Metazoa; phylum Chordata; class Mammalia; order Primates; family Hominidae; genus Homo; species Homo sapiens. The sequence continues at coordinate 59,856,557 of NC_000014.9, forward strand.
ACTCACAGATCACTCATCAGGACATGGGAAACGCAGCAGATCACCACTCCTACTGCCCTCCTCCAAAATGTCTTCCCATGTGGATTACCAAAACCGACTTCTCTCCACCCCCAATCCTTCCTTGCTCTCCTGAGCTTCCCCATTGCTATTTGGCTGAGGTCCAGCTTGGCACAGCAAGCATTTTATAGTAAAACATCTAAGGTTGAGGTTCATTCTCAATCTTCATTCTCTATGGCATCTGACGCTACTGACCAGGCTTCCTATTAATAGTACCTTATAGATACAGAGTTATCTGCCATTTCCATGCATCTTCTTGTGTTATCCCATTTTATCTTCACATAACCCTGTAAGATAGCCAGAACAGTACTGTGCTCATGCAATGTCATATATGAAGAAACTGATACATAAAGCAGTCATATGTCTTGCCCACATTGACATGATATTAGGTACCAAAGCCAAGACTAGATAAATCTGATCTCTCAGTCAGGGCTCATTCTGTACCACGTCATCTTGGCTTTTGTGATACTATAATAATAGGAGTACCTGTATTTACCATATGATTGCCAGGCACTCCACAAGACCTAATACCATATATACCTAACTATAGAATCTGAGGCTCAGGGAGCTTAAAGCTAAAGCTTTAAGCTTTTTTAATGAGGGGCAAGGAGTATTTGCTCTGTCCCTGGTCCTCTGTCCTTTCCATACTACATAATCTCTATGGCTTCTCTTCTAATTTTCTAAATCCATATCAACAATCCTGTTGTCACCTACAAAATCCATTTCTTTATCTACAGTTGCCAAGTAGAAATTTCCATTCAAATGGCTTGTCATTATTTCAAGCCTCATATGACTAAAAGTGAATTCATTATCCTCTCTCCTCTAGCCAGTTCCCCCTCCCACCCTCTATAGCATAACATTCTCCCAGCCATAGGGCACAAAACTGCAGCCATTTTTTATTTATTCCTCCCCTCGTCCCCAGATAATGTGTGTTAGTCACAAAGTCCTGTTGACTGTTCTTGTGAAGCCTCTCATCTTTCTTCCCATGTACCTCCCTCTTTATTCCCATGGTTACTTATTAGAGGCCCTGAAATTGATGTTACTGGGTTGGCTTTCTTCCAGCAAAACTCGCAGGTTTTAGAATTATCCTCATTGAATTCATCTTCTATTCTACTGTCAGACTAATCTTCCTTAACATAGCTCTGTGATATTACTTCCCTTACATATAAGCCTGCAAAGATCCCAGAATCCATAAGAAAGGAGACTAGAGTTCTGAGTAGCCCTCAAGCCCTCCAGAATCTTCCTTCTCCTCATCTGGATAAGCTATGAAACTAGGCTCATCATTGCTCACTTCCTTGTCATCATCCCCATACTCAGACTGCCTTTCTGCTCACTTCTGCCCCCTTCCAATTCTATCCATCCTTCAAGAGACCAGGTACATTGGAACCCATACAGTCATGAAATTCGTGTCACACATATAGCTTGTACCATCCATCCAAGCAACAAGCTGCATGCTGACCTGAGTTATTCATCTTTGCTTTGTGGGAGTTGGCCATATCTCCCAACTGGATGGTAATACGCCCAGGAGGAAATGGGGAAAGGGTACATGGCTCATGCTCCTCTATTCCCCACGTCTCCTACAAAATGCCAAGCATGAGCAGGAAAGCCAATAAATCAGTGCTTCTTACAGCTTTAACATGCACCTGGTAGGCTTGCTTCCCTAGGATGAGGTCTGTGGTCACTCCATGTGATGTTGGAGCAGGTAGTTTATAGACCATATTTTGAGAAGCCCTGATTTTTTCAGAGTGAGCTGAAAAATTCATGCCAAAGGCAGACATGACATTGTTTTCTATTCCTTTGCTTGTCAACTAGATCAGGAATCATTCAAATACACATAATTTTCTGTTGTTCAAGAGTAGTTTTTTTTTTTTTTAGAAAGCCAAAGATTTGCTATGCATAAAACAAAATTCTAGGAATTTTGGAGAATGTGAGCGTCAACAAATTTTCCAAACTCAGAAAGCAAGAATTTGGTCTATAACAGATTTTACAAAAAATCTCATGCAATAGATGAATTAGAAAAGGCATTTGGGGATTGGACACGGAAATTAGAATGGAGAATTCTTCCAGCTAAAAATTTAATTCATTAAGCAACCCAGGAAACATAGTTTTCCAATGAATAATCTTCCATAAATATACAGATAGTGAGGCAGAGAAAGAAGGAAAGGATCGTATGATGCTTTTAGCATTACAAAATTATTTAATGAATTTCCAAAACATTTTAAAATATGTTGAATATTTATGAAACTAGATTCAGTAAAAAATGAAGAAGATAATTCAGCAAAAAGAATAAAAGAGATACTTGCAGATAACATATTTTATATTTATGTTAATAATCCAAAACTGGATAAAATTATATAGTTCTTAAGAAGCAAATATGTCACATTATGGACTTTTCTTGACAAGGGAGAACTAGAGGAGGATTTTTAAAAGGCCACAAGTCTGTGAAGAGCACATTTTAAGTAGTCAATTTGGGGTAACTATGGTTTTTGTGATGCACACAGTTTCCAGTTTCATTAGTATGTGGTTTATTTTTTGAGAAATATGGAATAATTTTAAAATAATGATATGGCTTGACTGTGTCCCCACCCAAATCTCATCTTGAATTCCCACGTGTTGTGGGACAGACCCAGTGGGAGGTAATTGAATCATGGGGCAGGTCTTTCCCATCCTGTTCTCGTGATAGCGAGATCTGATGGTTTTATAAAAGGGAGTTTCCCTGCCCAATCTCTCTTTTTGCCTACTGCCATCCATGTAAGACATGACTTGCTCCTCCTTGCTTTCCACCATGATTGTGAGGCTTCTCCAGCCATATGGAACTGTAAGTCCATTAAACCTCTTTCTTTTGTAAATTGCCCAGTCTCAGGTATGTCTTTATCAGCATTATGAAAGCTGACTAATATAGTAAATTGATACCAGTAAAGTGGGGTGCTGCTGAAAAGATACTGGAAAACATGAAAAGATACTGAAAAGACACAACTTTGGAAGTGGGTAAGAGGCAGAGGTTGGAACAGTTTGGAGGACTCAGAAGAAGACAGAAAAATGTGGGAAAGTTTGGAACTGCCTAGAGACTTGTTAAACGGCTTTGACCAAAAGCCTGATAGCAATATGGACAATAAGGTCCAGAATGAGCTGGTCTCAGATGGAAATGAGGAACTTGCTGGGAACTGGAGCAAAGGTAACTCTTGTTATGCTTTAGCAAAGAGACGGCAACATTTTGCCCTTGCCCTAGAGATTTGTGGAACTTCAAACTTGAGAGAGATGATTTACGGTATCTGGCAGAAGAAACTTCTAAGCAGCAAAGCATTCAAGATGTGACTAGGGTGCTGTTAAAGGCAGTCAGTTTCATAAGGGAAACAGAGCATAAAAGTTCGGAAAATTTGTAGCCTAATAATGTGATAGAAAACCCAATTTTCTGAGGACAAATTCAAGTCAGCAGCAGAGATTTGCATAAGTAACAAGGAGCCAAATGTGAATCCCCAAGACAAAGGGGAAAATGTCTCCAGGGCATGTCAGAGGTCTTCACAGTAGCCCCTCCCATCACAGGCCCCAAGGCCTAGGAGAAAATTATTTCATGGGTGAGTCCAGGGTCCCGTGCTGTATGCAGCCTAGGGACTTGGTGCCCTGCTTCTCAGCCACTCCAGCCATGGCTGAAAGGGGACAAGCTGAAGCTCTGGCTTCAGAGGGTGCAAACCCCAAGCCTTGGCAGCTTCCACGTGGTATTGAGCCTTCAAGTTCACAGAAATCAAGAATTGAGGTTTGGGAACCTCCACCTAGATTTCAGAGGATGTATGCAAGCACCTGGATGTCCAGGCAGAAGTTTGCTGCAGGGGTGGGGCTCTCAGGGAGAATCTCTGCTAGGGCAGTGCAAAAGAGAAATGTAGGGTCAGAGCCCCACACAGACTCCCTACTGGTGTACCACATAGTGGAGCTGTGAGAAGAGGGCCACTGTCCTTCAGACCCCAGAACAGTAGATCCATCGACAGCTTGCACCATGTGCCTGGAAAAGCCACAGGCACTCAATGCCAGCCTATGAAAAGAGCCAGGAGGGAGGCTGTACCCTGAAAAGCCACAGGGGCAGAGCTTCCCAAGACCATGGGAACCCACCTCCTGCATCAGTGTGACCTGGTTGCCCAAGATCATGGGAACCCACCTCCTGCATCAGTGAGACACGGAGTCAAAGGAGATCATTTTGAAGCTTTAAGATTTGACTGCCCTGCTGGATTTCAGACATGCATGGGGACTGTAGCCCCTTTGTTTTGGCCAATTTCTCCCATTTAGAATGGCTATATTTACCCAATGCCTGTACCCCCACTGTATCTAGGAAGTAACTAAGTTGCTTTTGATTTTACAGGCTTATAGGCAGAAGAGACTTCCTTGTCTCAGATGAGACACTGGACTATAAAATTTTGAGTTAATACTGCAACGAGTTAAGACTTTGAGGGACTGTTGGGAAGGCATGATTGGTTTTGAAATGTAAGGACATGAGATTTGGGAGGGGCCAGGGGCAGAATGATATGGTTTGGCTGTGTCCCCACCCAAATTTCATCTTGAATTCCCACGTGTTATGTGAGGAACCCAGCGGGAGGTAATTGAATCATGGGGCAGGTCTTTTCCATGCTGTTCTCATGATAGTGAATAAGTCTCACAAGATCTGATGGTATTATAAGGGGGATTTTCCCTGCCCAATCTCTCTCTTTGCCTGCTGCCATCCATGTAAGACATGACTCGCTCCTCCTTGCCTTCTGCCATGATTGTGAGGCCTCTCCAACCATATGGAACTGTAAGTTGATTAAACCTTTTTCTTTGTAAATTGCCCAGTCTCGGGTATCTCTTAATCAGCAGTGTGAAAATGGACTAATACAAGTAATAATGTAACAATAACAATGTCAAGTTAGGGGCACTGTTGTCTTTTAGGAAGATATAAACATCTTAGTGTAACTAATGACTTCCTTTCTGCTTTCCCCACATTAAAATGGCAACCTGGCTTTTGCTTGAACATCACTAACTGGGAGAGAATCTGTCTTTTCTGATCAGTTCTAATTATTAGAACATTTTCTTTCATTCAGAAGAAATCTACTTCTCCACATCACTAGTCCTAATTTTGCTCTGTGAAATCAGCTGGGTCAAGTCTTCTTCCTTTGCTTCATGAAAGTTCTTCTAGTATTTAACATTCAGATCTTCATTCTTTTCTTTTGGATAAAAATTCTTAATTTCTTTAACTATCTCTCAAATGGCATGTTTTCCAAAAGCCTCCCAATTGCCCTGCTCTCACCGTATTATAGCTCGTCAATGTCTCTCAAAACATGGCACCTACCCTTTAGTATGAGAATCCAAATTTGGCCTGCCTAGAACAGAATCTAGGGGAGCTATTACCTCGTATAATGTGCACCTGAGACTTTCTATTAATACTATCTGAAATTACATAAGATATTTTAGTAATTTCACCATACCACTAGCTCATATTTAGCTAATTACAAAATTCCCAACCCCCACCATGAACTATTTTAAGTTGCATCTCCTACGTTCTATACATATTAAATAGAATTTTCAGAACTTATAGTCAACATTTTACATTTATAATGTTACAGGCCACTGTTCTTCCTTCCCCCTAAAAGCCCCTAGGCAGAATCCTAGGCCATTATGTCCCTTCCTAAAGATATCCATTAGCGTCTGGTTTACTGTAATTCCCAGGATCTGTCATGGTTCATTGTGATGTCAGTAATCATGTAGGTGACTGTTTCACTCCTATTTTCACCTTTCTTCTGGACTCCTCCAATGACCTTGTCATCCACTCCATCTCAGTTTTCCACTGCTTCTCAGTAATAGTACCCCTCCTACTATCTACCTCAAACACCCCAGCTACCAAATCATCATCTCTTATCCTTTCATCTCCCTTACTCTAGTACCATTACTCTAGCAACCCTGCCAGCATATACAATCCACTGCTTATGTCATCTTTTTACTATGCTTCATTCCTCCTCAGCAGATTCCAAGACCAAGCATCTATATACTGCCTTGCATATATCCTCAAATCCATTTCCCATCTGTTCCCACTGGGATCACTGGAAAACAAAAATCAATCCAACTAACCCTGCACTCTAAACCAAAAACAAGATAACATATACAGTGATTGGTCTCACTTTAAGCTCTAAGTGAGCCCCAAGGGCTACTCAGTGTTCCCTCAGTTTGCCCTAGTCCTTTCACTCTCTCATTTTCCCAAACGACAATTTTATACCTTCTCCCCTCTTCTCAAACTTTCAACAATTCCACTCCTGCCTTCACTCTGTTGACCCTGCTTCCTATTTCATTGATAAAATAGAAGCAGTTAATGGAAAACTTCCACCTGTTCTCAGCCCCATCTCCAACCACTCCCTGCAGGTGTGCCCTCTCCTCTGTCTTTCCTCCATTATAGCCATGAACTGTCCTCACCTTTATCCAATATCAGCCCTTGTCTGTGTGCTGGATCCATCCCTGCTTACTCATTCAGAGACACAGTTTCAGGAAATGCCCCCACCTCCCGCAACACCAATCTTTCCCTGACTACTGCATCATTTACATCATCTTGCAAATATGCCTTAATATTCTCCATAGCAAAAAAAAAATACTTTCCCTTCTTTTCATCTCACTCTCCATACAGTTACCTCTTATTCAGTTTCCTTTATAACAAAACTCCCCCAAAGAGTCAAGTCTACAAATACCATCTCTTATTTTCTCCCCTCTCATTTGCTCTAAAACCATTTCAACCGAGATGTTTTTCCCGGCACTTTGAATGACTTCCTCATTGTCAAATCCAGTGGCTGGCTCTCAGTCTCTATCTTAACCACAAGCAGCATTTGACGGAATCAATCATTCTATTCCTCTTGACATATATTTATCTTTTCTTCTGGAGTCTCTTTCAGTTTTCCTACTTCGTCGCCCACTTTTACTCAGTTTTCTTTGAAAGACCTCTGTATATTTGAGTGACCCAGGACTCCTTGACCTCATCACTGTCAACACTCACTCCCTTGGTGATCTCATCTCTACACCAACAACTCCCAATGTATATAAGCAGATCAGATCACTCCCCAGCCCCACTCTACACTGCTTACTTGACATCTCCACTTGGACACCAAACAGACATTCAAAAATTAACATGTGTAAAACCAAACTCCTGTTTTTTCCCTAAAACTTGCTCTTCCTAAAGTCTTCCCAACCCCAGCTAATAACAACTTCATTCTTGTGTTTACTCAGGCCAAAAATCATGGCATGTCCCTTGTGTTCTTTCTAACACATTACATACATTCAGAATATATCTAGAATCCAACCACTTTTCACCTCTTCCAATGCTGTTACTCTGGTGCAAGCCACCATGATTTCTTTCTCAGATTATTGCAATGGCCTACTAGTAGGTCACTCTTGCTCCACACCAACCACCACCACCCCCATGTTAGATTCTCAACGCAGTGACTAGAGTGAGTCATTAAACTTAAAACTGAACTCTAAATATGTTCCTTCTCTATTTAACACCTCTCCCATTCCTGTGGCTCTCATCACACTCAGAGTAATATTTAAAGCTGTTACAAGGGCCTATAGGACCTAATCTATCCACTCCTCTCTACCGCTGACCCTTTGCTCATCCCCTATCATTCTCCCCTTGCTTACTCCACCTCACTGCTCTTCCTGTGGTTCCTTCAATGTGCTAGGCACACTCCCACCCAGGGCCTTTGCAAAGGAAATTCCCTCTGCCCAAAATGTTCTTCTCTCAGACATCTGCAAGACTGTTGTGTCACTTCCTTCAAGTCTGTGCTTTAAAGATACCTTATCAAAGAGGTCTTCTTTGACTATCCCTCTCATTCCCATTACTCTGTTTTGACCTTTTTCACAATACTTAATCATCCCTTGATATAGATGTTCTGGTCTCTGTTGCCCTTCCTTACTCTCTCCCCTTGCCCCCACCAAGAAAAAAAAAGTATAGTTTATGGATGAGAGGCTTTTATCTGTCCTTTTCTGTACTATAATCCTCAGTGCTTAGACAAAGCCTGACATATAGCAAGAGTTCAATAAATAGTAGTATAATCATAAGTAATGCTCTCTTGCTAAAACTAATTACAATGGTTACCTCTGGAGAGGGGCAATGGATTGTTGAAAGGTAAGGTGTGAAGACTTCCTTTTCTCTACTTACCCTTTTGTACCTTTTAGATTTTAATACCATGTGTATGTATTTTCTACCCACCCCCAATTTTTAAATCGGGACAAAAATAATTTTAATAAACAGATTTATCTTGTTGCTTTTGAATAAACATTAAAATCAAGATTTTTTTCATCGCAATGCTACCCTGTAGCATATCAGCCATCCTTTGAAATTTTGTGCAGTTTATAAATTAAAGAGCATGCTTTCTATATCTTTATGTCAGTTGAGCGTTTTGCAGAGTTCCTAGACATAGGAAGGGCTACATACATGTTGGTAATTCAAAATCTGAAAAAGAGGGAAATAATGTTGTACAGGCATTATTTTTTAGTGAACTAGAGGGAATTTCTGAACAATATATTCATTCTTTTCTAAGGGTCTATGAATATTTAGCATAATAACACATTCTTAGATTCTACCAGCAGTCAGTGTCAAATATATTGGTTTATAAGTTTTAAGAATCCACCATTTTCCCCTTTTTGAAAATCACTTATCAATTTCAGCTTTTCTAGCCCTAGTCTTATTCTCCAAAGATACTGGGAATGAATTTAAAGCTGCTCAGCACACTCATTCAATTCCATGAGATGTAAAGTAGTTGGATGTGAAGAACTGATCTCATCAAAGTAGTAATACAAGATTTTACCTTCTGTTTACTTATCCTGGGATCCCAGTATCTCTTTCTGTATGTTTCAATTTTCCAACTTAAGAATCACTGTCCATTTTAAATTAGGGAGCTCAAATAAGAATTGAGAAGCCCTTCCCTCCCTTTTCTCATACCCTATCACTACAGCATCTTCCACAAACAGTGGGCCTCTCTGGCTCACACTCTTCTCACTGTTCTCTTTGCCCTCAAATATTATTTAACCAAACAAAACTGGTTGTCTTTCATTTTTGGACCATGTTCTTTACAATGACTTTAGCCTAGAGCATTCCTATGTAGATACGTTTGTCTCTTGAAATGTCTTTTATTTTCACTGCCCTCTAAATTTTCCAGCATCGTTTTCAAAACTCCCTTAGTCACCACTGAAATAATCTAATTGTTGAATAAAATCACAACTAACTAATCCAAAGATCTTGATGTAACATTTAGCCAGTTATTTCTTTGAAGATGTAGAGAATGAGATAGATGATAGAAATAAAGGGAGAGAAAGATTTTGTTTTTCACAGCTAGACAAAAAGACAGATTTTGTCTTTCACAGTCTGAGCAAGCTGTGCTCATATTTACTTATCCTGTGTTGATCTCAGAAAACTAACTCATACCCTTGTGCCCATGGGGTTAGATTATTATAATTCCCTTCTAGTCAAGCTTCCAGCAATAACTTGGGAATGAAGAAAATGAAAAATAACACAAAAGGAACTATTTGGCTAAATTAAATACTGTGAATCAGAAAGGTGCACATGTTTTAGGAAGTCATGACTGACCTGTGTTTAGCACAGATCCTTACACAAAGGAGGCATTTAACATAAGTCTACTAAGTTGAATTGAACCGCAATGGTTTCTCACTTTACAAAAGATAATAAAAGCTTTCTGTAATCCTTGCAATCCATGCTCCCAGGGATAGACAATAAAATGGGCAAGATAACCAATAATGCTTCTCTCAACCCTCAGAATCAGAAGTAAAAAAGAGATGGAGAGAGGAGAGCCTATGAGCAGGGCAATGAGCAGGGTGGTTTTCTTGGAACAGTAAGTTCATGAAGGGAAAGTTAACCTGAAAGCCTTTATAATATTTATCAATGTATTTTAAAAGTATGTAAGCATCCTAAATTTAATTTAACCTAATTTGAATTCCCTATATTAAAGAACATATATTGTACTTACTTCCAGAAATGGTATTGATTGTATCCAGAGGATATGCCCACAGAAATAAATTGCATTAGTTTTCCAAACTCTTTTATTCATCTTATATGTTTCTTTAAAGATAGTAATGGCACAGTGTAATGTTCCTTACCATTTCAATAGAACTGTAGCTTTCTCAAAAGAAAGAAGATGGAAATTTATACCTTCTGAAGGGGATTACCTGGAAATGACTCCAAATAAAAAATGTCTACACATCTGTCAAACACATCCAAAAGTGAAGACAGTTAATCTAGCCTCCAAATGGAATTTAGAAGATGTTTTTCCAATACAGCATCACATTTAGCATTTGAAAAATGAGGACATATAAACAATATGGTCCATGTAAAGTAAATTGGAAAATGCTTTTTGTAATTATCTTGAAATTTAAGTCAAATTATTTATAAATTGATATCACTGCAGCAAATCATATTGGACTGATTTTTCCTGACCATTCTCCATCATGTTCTTGATTTTGCTTTCCATATATTAAGCAGTCAATGAGTTAATTTCCAAAGCAGGCAATGAGTTAACCTCTATTTCATTTTGTTCAGATGTTCTATTTAAAATTCTTTCTTTAAACAAAGGACCATTCTTTTTTCCTTTTGTTATTGTATGCTCCTTTTGAATAGTTTCCAGTAATAAAATAACTGATCATGAAAAAACAGAACAGTTGCTCTTAACATTCTTTGTATAAAGTTATTAGATGATGGCACTTTTATGATTAACAACGCTAACATGTCGTAGCCTACCTACGGTGTATTAAATGTTCCCTTGTCAACACACATAATTTCACATGTCCATTATCAGTTTAGACATGAAGTTGTAACTTTAGAAGACAGTGTTATTTTGATGAGACTATTTCCACGCCACAAAAGGGACAGAAGCAATGAGAACACCTGAAAATAGAGGATTGATGGAGTTTTATGGTGCAGTTTTAATAATGTTTAAACTTATATTCATTCCAGGACACTGCTGAGACATATTTTTGGAAATGTTCCTGGGATAATTTTAATTACCATCAATGTATAAAAATAAATAACAGAATATCTGTCCAGATGGCATGATTGGTGATGTTTTTCAGAAAAACAGTTATTAAAACATCAATATCTGTCTTATATTTCCATCTAAAAAAGAAACAAAATCTGTTTACAGTGCATCACACTCAAAGTCTAAGTTACTTCTTAGTTTGAGTTGAGTCCCAAAAAAGCACCACTCTTTTAAAAAAATAAAGCACTCTTCTGCCATGTGGGGACACAGTGAAAAGACAGCTGTGTGTGGACCAGGAAGCAGACCCTGACCAGACACCAAATCTACCTTGATCTTAGATTTCTCAGCTTCTAGCACTGTGAGAAAATAAATTTCTGTTTATAAGCCAAAAAAAAGTAAATTAAGAAATACAGTGTAAAGTAGTGTGCTTAATAGGCATCTCTGATACAATTGAGGGCTCACCTGCTAACTTTGCTTATAGCAATAGAACTGCCAAAATAACAGACCAGGAAGCTGGACAAGATTTGTTTGGAATTTTAAGATCTAGTTATTTATTTATACAGCATTTCTGGCGTTTGAGTCTCTTATAGCAGCACATCCGGTCTACTTAATAAGAAACACAGAGATTTAAGACATTAACCAATCAACAACTATATCAGAAATTCCTTCTAGCCACAATCATAAACTAAAAAATTTCTATATAAATATGCAAAATATGTGCTCCTTCCATCTTTCTTCATTCTTCTCCCATCCAAACGTAGTATCATGTTTGATTTTATTACTATATTTGTTGCCTAGGATAGAAAACCCCAAACACATTCAATAAAGCAAGGTATTTCTATAATAATAATACTAAAAATGCAAAATGCATTGTTATTTACTACAGCCACCTTTCTGTAACAATGCACTGTACATTTTGAAATTGCTAAAAGAGTAAATTTTAAACGCTTTTACCACAAAAAAAAAGTACATGAGATGATGGATTTGTTAGCTAATCATTTGACAATGCAGACATATGTCAAAACATCACACTGTACCCCACAAATATATATTCTAAGCATTTCCTATATAATAACTTTTGTGGATATGTTACTGAGCATGGGGCACTTAGCTTCCTTTTTCTAGTTCACATAATCTTAGTGGCACTAATAGGAGGTGGGTAATGTTTCATAAAGAAACAATTTACTTTGATTACAGTGGATAAAGATTCTGAACTATGAGCAGTCTATCCTCAACAAAGAATGGTAAAGACAAAAACTACCTTCCTTTGTCTATTATCATTTGCCATCTTCTTTTGCAATTATAAAGAGTTTTGTTTTCACTTGGATGCAGAAGTTGAAAGAGAGACTGAGCAGCCATTCTTAGATTTAAATCCTCCCCCACTCCTAGGGATATAATAATTAATATATAACCTTTGGCGTTTGGCGTTGGGGCTTTTGAGTACTTTTCTTTCTTTCTTTTTCTTTTTTCTTATATAGGGTCTCCACTTTTTCTCTTCCTTTCAGGATATTGACAATTTTTATTCAACGCATTCTCCAAACCTCTTTTCCCCAGCTCAGATCTTCTGTACCAGGGCAGTTAATTACGATTACCTTAGACATTCCACATAACCCTTAAGAGAAGCTTACGAAAAGGGGTTTCTTTAAATCAACCACCAAGAGCACACACACCAGTCCCACTCCCCTTCCCCTCCTCTGGGAGCACCCCCCACCCCAGGCCTTCTAGCTCTACATTGCCAAAACTACACAACTCCCACTCCACCATAGCAAAGCTTTCTCAGGAAAGAGCACCACACAGCATCCCCTTTCCTCTCCCTGGAAACAGCGTTAACCAGGCCGGCAGCCTCAAAGCGCGCTTCCTGGATCCTTTGACCAGGATGCGCCAGGGGCCTGGGCTCCCGCTGGACACTGGCGCGCTCAGACTTTGAATAGGGCGTCAGGCGAAGAATGGCCAAACCCAGGGCAATTTCCGGGGTGGGGGGGGGGGGGCGCTTAGACTGCTGGTAAACTGTACCACGTCCACTCACCACCACCCAAGCCCTCCAACCCACAGCCAGGCCCGCCGCACTTAGGACTTGAAGTTTCAATGCTCCCTGCAAGGTGGGGCCATCCGGGCAGCGGCGAAATACAGGTTTTGGGCGGGGGCAGCCACAGCACCCAACCCTCTTGCAAAGCTGTGCCTCCCGAATTAGGGACAAACTCCCTGGGATTTGTTTTCTGCGGGAGAAAAGGCGGAGGGATGTGGGGGGAGTAAGGTGTGGTGGCGATTCGTGGAGGGCAAGGGTAAGGGGCAGTTACAGCCACATCTCTGCCCTGGACAGAGCCGGGTCCAGGGGCCGCGGGCCTGCCCGCCGCTCGGTTGTCAGCATCTCCTGTAGCCGGCGCGCACACTGCGCGCAAACACGCCCCCCAAAATCCCCACAACCTGTCAAACGGGCCCTACAGCTCGGAGCCTCCTGGCAGGAGGGAGAAACTTGTACCCAGACTCGCCAGCAGCCAGAATGCTGCTGTTTGCCTATGAGAACAATTTTTAAAGCGGAAATAATCATGATAATGAAATAAAAGGATCAAAAGCATCTTGACTTTTTCTGAGCCTTTGGGAAAAATAAAATTGTTGTTTTCTACCAGCCCGCGAATATTCCCAGTCGCCCGTGGCGACGCGGGGGTGGGGTCGGCGCTCAAGGCAGAAAGCGCGAGGCAGGTGCCCAGGAGAGCCGCGCAGAAGGGGACTGACTGGGGGGCCCTGGTCCCCGACGCCATTTGAGGGGCAGCGGCGCCCGCCTTACCTGTGGATGCAGTTTCCATGGCAACGGGCGACTGCCGGGCGGGGCCCGAGCCGGCTTCCCGCGACGCCGCTTCCCGGGCCCTGGCGCCCAACCCCGGGCTGGGCTCCCCAGCCTGCGGCGCCGGCGTGGCCCCTTTCGGCGTCACCGCTTCGTTCTCCCCCTCCCCCCGGTGCCTGAGCCACTGGGACCCGGGGCCGGCCAGCGGCAGCAGCTCGTCCTGCGGATCCCCCGGCGCGGCCATGGCTGGCGGTCCCCCGGCGCGGCGACGGCGGCTTGGCTGGGCAGAGGCTCGGTGGCTGCGCGGGCGCTCCCTGCTGCTGTCCCCGGAGGGACTCGGCGCTCAGGGAAGCTGCGGTGTCTCAGCGTCGCCGCCGCCTCTGCTGCAACTCCGCCGAGCCGCTGCCTGCCGCTCTTCCCGCTTCAGCTCCTCCTTCTCCCCCCTCCTCTTCCTCCGGCCCCGCCGCGGCCGCTGCCTGCGCTCCTCCTCCTACTCCACTCGCTGCTGCCGCCGCTGCTTCGCTATTCCCAATCCTGTTATTACGCAGGTGAAAATGGCCTGCTTGGTCCGGGTCCTCCTGGGCACGTCAGCCCCCAACCTGCAAATGGCAGGCCCCGGTTAGGGGATGTGCCAAATCCACTCGAATCTTCCTCTCGTTTGGGGAGGAAAAAAAAGGAAGAACCAGCAAGTAGCAGCAGCCACCAGCAGCGTCGCCTTCCCAACTGAGAAAGTTAAGCCCCGACTGGTGTCCTGGGTCCCGAGGCAAAGAGGGAAAGCTAGAGAACTCAGGGCCACAGTTCTGAGAGTGACCAGTATGAGTTGTGGAGGGGACACAGGTCTGAACGGGGAAGGGGTGGAGATGGGTTCTGATGGCAGATGGAGACCAGGGAAGCTGCAACCCCGCGGTTAAATCCTGCGTTTCCAGAATGGGCCTGAAAATAGTGGAGTAAAGAAATGAGTTATCAGGACAGCCTCCAAAAAAAGCTTAACAGATCTCACCCTGACCAGCCCTGAGGGCAAACAGGGTGTCAATAGGCAAGGACAAAAGCTGTACATTTGCTTTCAGAAACACTGAGCCAAGGCCATCCTAATCATAAGCTGTCTGTGCAGTCCGTTGTATTTCAGAATTTGGACATTCCATGAAGCTTGCATCTTTTTCTTTACAGTTCACTGTGATAAAATGGAAGATAGTCAGCAAATAAACCCAAACTCAGAGGAGGAAAGTGACTTGCCTTATCATATGTTGTGCCCATACGAAGACCCATCTTTTCAAATGTCTTGTGTTTTATTGGTTCCCAAGTTGTTTATATAATAAAATAATGTGCCTTTAAAAACTAAGATTCACCACAACACACAGGGTGAAGGAATAGGTTTTTCTGCTGTTTCTTCTCTAGGAAAGGTGGGCGCAGACGGTACCGCACACACTGTGAGACTGTGGGACTCTTGGCCACCATGCGCATCTTGAGGATTTCATACCTGTCCATTGGTATATTCAAAGGCCAACTTCAGGACCATTCAGGTGCTCCTCAATAATGCTAAAATGAAAAAGCCCAGAGTCTGCCTAATCTTTTGTTCTGCTAGTGCACTAATGTTCAAAAGATGACAATAAATTAGAGAAAAATCATTCACTAAACAATAAATATGGCCTCCTGAAGCCAGATATCCCTGGAAATCTGATGGTCACCAAAATTTTACATTTTTGACATACTCAAAATTATGTCTCATGATGGAAATATTCACTATCTAGATTGTGGTTATAGCTTCACAGGTGCAAACATATGTCAAAACTTATTGTTTACTGTAAATATGAACAATTTAATGTGTTGTCAGTTATAACTCAATAAATCTATAAAAATAATCTCATCCAAAAACAACAAAATAATTGGTTATCATGAATCATAATGATTTTTAAACATCTTTCCATGGGAAAACAAGAGTGTATTTAAAAAACCGTTAAGTTGAAAAGCTTATTCCACTGCTGTATTTCCATGGAGCTTAATCCTGTCTTGTAATTAGAGGGCACTTGTAAGTTTTTTCAAATCTATTACTTAGTATTCCCTAAAGCATCAGAAATACTAGATGGGAATTTCTCATGGTTTTATTACTGATAACAAGACAAGAACATAGACAATTCTAATGATATAACCTTAAAGTGGTTATTGATGAATACTAATATTTGAGAATTGCTATGCAAAGGAGTTACATACAAAATAATATGAAGTATATTCTTTTGTTTCTCTGAGAAACATGAATGAAAGTCATCATTAAAAAACTGGGAGACCTAAGCAAGCCTCTGTGTTTCCTTATGATTAATAGATAGGAAGTTTGGGGATATGATTCTAATTATTTGTCAATTTCTTTCATACTAATCAATACTCTCATTGAGAATGTGTGAAGGAAATAGCCAGTTAAATCTATTTAGAGTGTAGTTGTTAAAGGAAATTGAACATTATTGACAGTTCCATTTTGATAAAGTATTCTATTTTACACTGCTGAAAAGAGATGAGCACAAGATTTCAGTGTTAGCAATTTTCATTACTAACTTTCCTTATTAGACTCCACCTTTGGATGTATAAAAATTATCTATTTGGGGGAAGAAATTTTCAGGTTTATGCTATGACTTGAAATGATTCATGTTTATTAATATTATTTATTTTGCACCGCTCTGAACTGACAAAGCTTGACTAATTTGAAGATTTATGGGCAAAACACACAGTCGGCAATGGGATTCTGGGGCTTACATAGTTGCTCTAAGTTACGAATTACTCTAAAATGCTTTTCAGACACAGAGAAAATAGGATTGTCACTTTTAAAAGGTTCTTAGCAAGAAGAGTTGAGACAAAAGAACTGTCACGTTTTGTTTTCAGCTTTTGTTTTTTGGAAAAGAAGTTTTGTTCATCATTTGAAAAGAAGAAATGAGGAGCATTTATTTAGCACTAGCTTCTTAACTTAGTCCAAACCATATATCATGGGGAAACACGGTGTGGGGACATGCAGGAAGAGCGCCACAAGTAACAAGCTTTAACCAAGATGAAATTCTTTCCAGCCTCAATATTAAAGTTACCTAACATCTCTACAACCCAGGTTCCTCAACTGTAACCTGGAGATTTTTTTTAAAATTTTTGTGGGTGGGTACATAGTAGGTGTATATATTTATGGGGTATATGAGATATTTTAATACAGGCATACAATGAATAATAATCATATCATGGTAAATAAGGTATCCATCACCTCAAGCTTTTATCCTTTCTTTGTGTTACAAACAATCCGATTATAATCTTTTTGTTGTTTTGAAATATAAAATAAATTATTGTTGACTGTAGGTGCCCCATTGTGCCAGTGAATACTAGATCTTATTCACTCGTATCTAACTATATTTTTATATCTACCATTAACTGTCCCACCTCCATGCCCCTCAGGCCCCTGCCAGCCTCCCAGCACTACACTTCTTGGCCTCTGGGAAACCGTTCTACTCTCTATCTCCATGAATTCAACTGTTTTAATTTTAATTTACCACACATAAGTGAGAACATAAGAAGTTTGTCTTTCTGTGCTTGGCTTATATCACTTAACAGATGTCCTCCAGTTCCATCCATGTTGTGCAAATGACAGGATCTCATTCTTTTTTATGACTGAATAATAGTCCATTGTGTATATGTACCACATTTTCTTTATCCATTTGTCTCTTGATGAACACATGGGTTGCTTCCAAATTTTGGCTAGTGTGAATAATATAGTGCTGTGATAAACGTTGGAGTGCAGATATCTCTTCAATATACTTTTGCTTTCTTTTGGGTATATACCCAACAAACAAACAAAAACAAGAAAACATTGAAACACTGGGGAAACTCTCCAGGATATTGGTTTGGGCAAGCATTTCTAGAGTAATGCCCCATAAGCACAGGCAACCAAAGCAAAAATGGACAAATGGGATCACATCAAGTTAAAAATCTTCTGCACAGCAAAAGAAACAACTAAGTGAAGAGACAACCCACAGAATAAGAGAATAAAATTGCAAATTATCCATCTGACAAGGGATTAATAACCATAATATATAAAAAACTGGGATTGCTGGATCATATGGTAGCTCTAGTTTTTTTAATTGGAGTCAGATGACATCTCATTGTAGTTCTGATTTGCATTTCTCTAATGATCAATGATATTGAGCACCTTTTCATATGTCTGTTTGCTATTTATTTGTATGTCTTCTTTTGAGTAATGTCTATTTAGATATTTTGCCCATTTTTAATTGGATCATTATATTTTTTCTTAATAGAGCTATTTGAGCTCGTTATATATTATGGTTATTAATCCCTTGTCAGATGGATAATTTGCAATTTTTTTCTCTTATTCTGTGGGTTGTCTCTTCACTTAGTTGTTTCTTTTGCTGTGCAGAAGATTTTTAACTTGATGTGATCCCATTTGTCCATTTTTGCTTTGGTTGCCTGTGCTTATGGGGTATTACTCTAGAAATCTTTGCCCAGACCAATATCCTTGAGACTTTCCCCAATGTTTCAATGTTTTCTTGTTTTTGTTTGTTTGTTTGTTTGAGACTGAGTCTTGGTCTGTCACCCAGGGTGGAGTGCAGTGGCGTGATCTTGGCTCACTGCAACCTCCACCTCCCAGGCTCAAGCAAATCTCTTACCTCTGCCTCTCGAGTAGCTGGGATTACAGGTGCCTGCCACCATGCCTGGCTAATTTTTGTGTTTTTAGTAGAGACGAGGTTTCACTATGTTGGCCAGGCTGGTCTTGAACTCCTGACCTCAAGTGATCCGCCCATCTCCGCCTCCCAAAGTGCTGGGATTACAGGTATGAGCCACCACATCTATTTGGCCCCCAGTGTTTTCTTTTAATGGTTTCCTAGCTTGAGGTCTTCAGTATAAGTCTTTCATCTATTTTGATTTGATTTTTGTATACAACAAGAGTTAGGGGTCTAGTTTCATTCTTTTGCATATGAATGTAATGTTGTCCCAGAACTATTTTTATTAAAGAGACTGTCCTTTCCCCAGTGTGTGTTCTTGGCACCTTTTTCAAAAATGAATTCACTGCAGATTAATGGATTTGTTTCTGGCTTCTCTACTCTGTTCCATTGGTCTATTTTTTTTTATGCCAGTACCATGCTGGCATGGTTTTGGTTACTATAGCTCTGTAGTACAATTCGAAGTAGGTAATGTGATTCTTCCAGTTTTGTTCTTTTTGCTCAGGGTGGCTTTTGCTATTCTGGGTCTTTTATGGTTCCACATAAATTTTAGGATTATTTTTCCTATTTCTGTGATGAGTATCATTGGTATTTTGATAGATATTTGATTGAATCTATAGATTGCTTTTGGTAGTAGGGATGTTTTAACAATACTGACTCTTTCAATCCATGAACATGGAATATCCTTCCATTTTTGTGTGTCCTCTTCAATTTCTTTCAGCAATGTTTTATAGCTTTTATTGTAGAGATCTTTCACTTCTTTGATTAAGTTTATTCCTAGGTATTTTATTTTATTTGCAGTTATTGTAAATGGGATTACTTTCTTGATTTCTTTTTCAGATTGTTTGCTGTTTGCATATAGAAATGCTACTGATTTTGGGCCGGGTGCCGTGGCTCACACCTGTAATCCCAGCACTTTGGGAGGCCAAGGCAAGCAGATCATGAGGTCAGGAGATCAAGACCATCCTGGCTAACATGGTGAAACCCCATCTCTACTAAAAATACAAAAAATTAGCCGGGCGTGGTGGCGGGCACCTGTAGTCCCAGCTACTCGGGAGGCTGAGGCAGGAGAATGGTGTGAACCCAGGAAGTGGAGCTTGCAGTGAGCCGAGGTTGCGCCACTGCACTCCAGCCTGGGCAACAGAGAGAGACTCCATCTCAAAAAAAAAAAAAAAGAAACGAAAAGAAAAAAGAAATGCTGCTGATTTTGTATGCTGATATTGTATCCTGCAACGCTGTAACTTTACTGAATTTTTTATCAATTCTAAGAGTTTTCCAGTGGAGAATTTACACTTTTCTAAATATAAAATCATATCATCTGCAAAACAGGGATAATTTGACTTCTTCTGTTCCAATTTGGATGTCCTTTATTTCTTTCTTTTATCTGATTGCTCCAGCAAAGACTTCCAGTACTATGCTGAATAACAGTGGTGAAAGTGGGCATCCTTGTAATGTTTCAGATCTTGCAGAAAAGGCTTTCGGTTTTCAGAAAACCCAATTTAGAATGATACTAGTTTTGCATCTGTCATATATGGCTTTTATTGTGTTGAGGTATGTTCCTTCAATACCCAGTTTCTTGAGGGTTTTTACCACAAAGGGATGTTGAATTTTATCAAATGCTTTTTCAGCATCAACTGAAATGATCATATGGTATTTGCCCTTCATTCTGTTGATACAATGCGCTGCACTGATGGATTTGCATATGTTGAACCATCCTTGCATCTCTGAGATAAATCCCACTTGGTCATGATTAATGATCTTTTTAATGTGTTGTTGAATTCAGTTTGCTACTATTTTGTTTATGATTTTTACATCAATGTTCATCAGGGATATTGGCCTGTAGTTTTCTTGATTTGATATGTCTTTGTCTGGTTCTGATATCAGGGTAATACTAGCCAGGTAGAATGCGTTTGGAAGTATTCCATCCTGTTCTATTTTTTGTAATAGCTTGAGGTTTAGTATTAGTTCTTCTTTAAATGTTTGGTAAAATTCAGCAATGAACACATCAGGCTTTTCTTGCTTGGAGACTTTTATTACAACTTTGATCTCATTACTTGTTATTAGTTTATTCATGTTTAGATTTCTTTATGGTTCAGTCTTGGTAGGTTGTATGTGTCTATGAATTTATCCATTTCTTTTAGATTTTCGAATTAATTGGCATATAGTTGCTCATAGTAGTCTCTAATGTTCCTTTGCATTTCTGAGGTATCAATTATAATGTTTCCTTTTGCATCTCTGATTTATTTGGTCTTCTCTTTTTTTTACTAGTCTGTCTAAAGCTTTGTCAAGTTAATTTATCTTTTCAAAAAAAACAATTTTTCATTTCATTTATTTTTATTTGTTTGTTCCCATTTCATTTGTTTCTGCTCTGATATTTATTCTTTCTTTGTTTCTACTAACTTTGGGTTTGATTTGCTCTTGTTTTTCGAATTCTTTAAGATGCATTATTATGTTGCTCATTTGAAGTTTTTCTACTTTTTTGATGTAGGGCTTATTGCATAAACTTTCCTCTTAATACTGCTTTCAGTGTATTCCACAGGTATTGGTATATTGTGTTTCCATTTTCATGTAGTTCAAGACATTTTTTCATTCTTAATTTCAATGAAGAAATTAGAAGAAATCATTGACATGATTTCAATTTTTTTGAAATTTTAAAGACTTGTTTTGTGGCTTAACATATGGTCTATTCTTGAGAATGATCTATATGCTAAGAAGAAGAATGTATATTCTGCAGCCATTGGTTAAATAGTCTGTAAATACCTATTAGGTCTATTTGGTCTATAGATAAATTCTGATATTTCTTTTGTGATTATCTATCTATATGTTCTGTCCAGTGCTGAAAGTGGGGTGTTCATGTGTCCAGCTACTATTGTATTGGAGTTTGTCTCTCTCTTTAGCTCAATTAATATTTGCTATATATATTTGGGTGCAGTGTTGGGTGCATATATATTTATAATTGTTATATCCCCTTGACGAATTAACTCCTTTATCATTATATAATGATCTTCTTTGTCTCTTCTTATAGTTTTTGTATTTAAATCTATTTTATCGGGTATAAGTATAGTTCTGCTTTTGTTTCCATTCACATAAAATATCTTTTTCTGTCCCTTCATTTTCAGTCTATGTAGTTCTTTATAGGTGAAGTGTTTCTTGTAGGCAACAGATTATTTGGTCTTGTTTTTTAATCCATTCAACCACTGTATATCTTTTGATTGGAGAGTTTAGTTCATTTACATTCAGTGTTATTAGGGATAAGTAAGAACTTACTCCTGCATTTTATTTGTTTTCTGCTTGTTTTGTGGTCTTTTCTTCCTTCTTTCCTTTCTTCCTGTGTTCCACTTAGTGAAGGTGATTTTCTCAGGTGGTATGCCTTAAATTCTTGCTTTTGTTTGTGTGTATCGTATATTTTTAGATTTGAGGTTACCATGAGGCTTGTGAATACTATCTTATAACCCATTATTTTTAACCAATGAAAATCTAACACTGATTGCAAAAACAAACAAGCGAGGAGAAAACTAACAGAAACTATACTTTAACTTCATCCCCCCTGCTTTTTAACTTTTTGTTGTTTCTATTTATATTTTATTATACTATGTCTTGAAAAATTGTTGTAATTTTTTTTATTGGTTTATCTTTTAGTATCTGTACTCAATATATGAGTAGTTTACACACCACAATTATAGGGTTACAATACTCTGTGTTTTTCTGTGTACTTACTACTACCAGTGAGTTTTGTACCTTCAGATGACTTTTTTCAAATTAAAGTACTCCCTTTAGCATTTCTTCTAGGACACGTCTGGTGTTGATGAAATCCCTCAGCTTTTGTTTTTTCTGGGAACATTTGTATTTCACCTTTATGCTTGAAGGATATTTTTACTGGATATACTATTCTAGGATAAAGGCTGTTTTACCTTCAGCACTTTAAATATGTCTTGCCACTCTCTCCTAGCCTGTAAGATTTTCACTGAGAAGTCTAATGCCAGATGTATTGGAACTCTTTTGCATGTTATTTTTTTTTCTCTTGCTGCTTTTACGATCCTATATCCTTGACCTTTGGGAGTTTGGTTGTTAAATGTCTTGAGGCAGTCTTATTTGGGTCAAATCTGCTTGGTGTTCTATAATCTTCTTGTACTTGAATATTGATATCTTTCTCTAGATTTGGGAAGTTCTCTGCTATTATCTCTTTGAATAAATTTTCTACCCCTCTCTCTCTCTCTATCTCTCCTCCTTAAGGCCAATAACTCTTAGATTTGTCCTTTTGAGGCTATTTTCTAGATCTTGTAGGCATGTTTCATTCTTTTTATTATTTCTTCTTTTGTCTTCTCTGACTGTGTATTTTCAAATAGCCCATCTTCAGGCTCACTAATTGTTTCTTCTGCTTGATCAATTCTGCTGTTGAGAGACTCTGATGTACTCTTCGGTATGTCAATTATGTTTTTTGCTCCAGAATTTCTACTTTTTAAAGCTTATTTCAATGGCTTTTTAAACTTGTCTGATAGAATTCTGAATTCTTTCTCTGTGTTACTTTGAATTTTGTTGAGCTTCCGCAAAACAGCTATACTAAATTCTGTGTCTGAAAGGCCACACATCTCTGTCTCTCCAAGGTTGGTCACTGGTGACTTATTTAGTTCATCTCATGAGCTCATGGATTGTCCTGATGGTTGTGGATGTATGTTGTTGTCTTGAAATTGAAGGGTTAAATATTTATATTCACAGTCTGGGCTTGTTCGTACCCATCCTTCTTGGGAAGACTTTCCAGGTATTCAGAGGGAATTAGGCGTTGTAATCTGTCTTTGGTCACTGTAGCCATGTCTGCATTAGGAGGCACCCCAAGCCCAGTAATGCTATGGCTCTTGCAGACTCATAGAAGTACTGCCTTGCTGAACTTGGGTAAGATCTGAGAGAAGTCCCTGGATTACCAAGGAGATACTCTTATTGTCTTCCCTTACTTTACAGAGTCTCTCTCTCTCTCTCTGTGATGAGATGCCTGGAGCTGGGAGAGGGGTGACACAAGCACTCTGTGGTCATCACCACTGGGATTTTACCGGATCAGACTTGAAGTCAGCACAGTACTGTCTCTTGCCCAAGGCCCGCAGTTACCACCACTTGGCTACCACCAATGTTCACTCAAGGACCAATGGCTCTACAATCAGCAGGTGGCAAATCCAGCCAGGCTTGTGTCCTTCCCTTCAGGGCAGTGAGTTCCCCCAGCCCTGGGAAGGTCCAGAGATGTCATCTGAGAGCCAGGGCCTGGAGTTGGGATCCTTAGGAATCTACCCAGTGCTCTACTCTACTGCATATAAGATGGCTCCCAAGCTGCAAGAAAAAGCCCTTTCCACTCTTCCTTCGCCTTTCCTCAATCAGAGGTGACTCTCCCCATGGCCATCACCACCAGTGGCCCATAGCAAGTACTGCCTGGCTACTACCTATGTTCACTCAAGGCCCAAGAGCTCTTCGTTCAGTCTGAGGTGAATGCTGCCAGTACTGAGTCTGTCCCTTCAGGGAAGTGGGTGCTCCTGTGGCTTAGGGTAGTTCCCAAAGTACCATACAGAAAACAAGGCCTAGAGGCAGGAACCCCAGGAGATATTTGGTGCTCTACCCCACTGCGGTGAAGCTGCTACCCAAGCTGGTACCCAAGCTGCAAGACAAAGTCCCCTTTACTCTTCCCTCTTCTTTCCTCAAGCAGAAGCACTCTCTCCCTATGGCCACCACAGCTTGGAATATGCTGGATCACACCTGAAACCAGCATAGCTCTGAGTCTCACCCAAGGCCCATAGTGACTATTACCTGTATACCACTGGTGACTATTCAGGGAACAAAGGCATTTTAGTCAGCAAATGATAAATCCTGCCAGGATTGGGTTCTTCCCTTCAAGGCAGTAAGTTCCCTTCTGGCCCAAGGTGTGTCTAGAAATGTTGTTCAGGAGCTAGGACCTGGAACTGGGGCCTCAGGACTCTGCCTGATGCCTTATTTTACTGTTGCTGAGCTGGTATCCAAGTTGCAGAACAAAGTCCTCTTTACTCTCCATTTTCTCCTCAAGCAGAGGTAAGGAGTCTCTCCCAGAGCTGCAAGCTGTGCTGCCTAAGATTGGAGAAAGGGTGATGTAAGCCATCCCTTGGCCACCCTGGCTTGTGCCTCACTGGGTCACATGCACCCCAAGTTCTGAGCCCTGCACAGCACTAGGACTTGCCCAGGAACTGCAAGGCCTTGTGGCCTATGCTGCCTTTCAAATTTATTCAGGACCCCAGAGCTGTTTAGTGCATGGTGGCGGGGCTTACTAGACCTCAGGTTCTGACCACTGGGATGGATGATTCACCTCTGGCTAGGGCTGGCCTAAATACTTCCTCCATGGGCCCTGGCTAAATTTTGCCCCATGTTGCTTTCTGCTGTGACAGGGCAGCACCGAGTTCCAATGCAAAGTTCCACAATCACTTTGCTGTCTCTCCTAAATGCAAAGATTCTCTCTCTACGCCGTGTGGCCACTCCCAGGGAATTGGGGAGAGTTGGTGTAGGCAATTAAAGACTGTCATTCCTGCCCTCTTCAGAGCCTCTTTCCTTAATATCATGTTAAAGGCAGGTACTGTGGTCACTCACCTGATTTTTGGTTCTTATAAAGTTGCTTTTTTATGTGGATAGTTGTTCAATGTGGTGTTCCTGTGGGAGGTGCAACAATCGCTGGAGGCTTCTATTCAGCCATCTTGCTCTGCTTTTTCTCCCTGGAGATTTTATTTATTTATTTATTTATTTTGAGATGGAGTCTCGCTCTGTTGCCAAGGCTAGAGTGCAATGGCAGAATTGCACTGCAACTTCTGCCTCCCAGGTTCAGACGATTCTCCTGCCTCAGCCTCCTGAGCAGCTGGGATTACAGGCACGTGCCACCACACCTGGCTAATTTTTGTATTTTTGGTAGAGGTGGGAGTTCACCATGTTGGCCAGGCTGGTCTCGAACTACTGACTTCAGGTGATCCAACTGCCTCAGCCTCCCAAAGTGCTGGGATTACAGGCATGAGCCACCGCCCCCAGCCTCTCCCTGGAGATTTTAACAGTACATCCTGCAGGGGCTTTAGGAGAGTACTAAATGGGTTGACATATGTAAAGCATATTATTAATTAAGATGATAATAGCACATGCCAAATCATTTCTAGGAAATGGTTTATAATGCTGAAAGTTCTACTTGGGTATTTACATTTGTTACAGACCAAAGAGTCAATGATAACCACTTCAGGCACTTAAAGCAAATTAGATGAGGAATGTTCCCTATATTGAGTAACCACTGGACTGTTTCTACTTAAAATTCCTATATTCCAAAAGGTAAACCTTATATAAAGACAAATATACTTTTAAAGTTATTTTAAGTAGTTGAGTCAAAAATATATACAGATACATTTCAACTTTGAATAACCTATAACAGGAATGGCAAACAGGGTTCATTGACTAATTAGTAATGAATGCTGAGAGGGCTGTGTTAAGAAAGAATCTTGGACCATATTCAGATTCCATAGATGTGTCTAGAAGGATAAGTATTAGCTACATTCAGGTAAGTGAAGGAGTCAAGCAACAACACATGCCAAATATTTTCCTTCTCTGGCTTATATTTAAGCTTATCAGCATCCAAAATAAGGCCCTACTTTTGAACCTTTTAAGAGAGAATGCAACGGTGGAATCACTCCCACTGACTTAGCAAGATAAATGTTTGACTTAAGATGAGACTCATTCTGGTGCCTCAAATTTCTCTGAAATCAATCTATGTGGAGTTGCTTTAGGGCTTAATTTGTCTATGTAGCATCCAAATCATTTTGCAACATAGTTTTCACTTTCTACAGTGTGTGGAAGCTCTTGAATTTGATACAGAAAAGAGTTCTCCATCTCCCAGTGCAAGAAAAGAATATTTAGATTGACACTAATTTATAGAGGCTACAGGCTGGTGCATGAGACAGCTGTGTTTTCTCCAGGACATCACTACAGCACTCATAAATGCCACACAACACATTTGGAACACACCAGGCTCCTTCTGTCTATGGACAGTGGCTGCTGTTACTTAATTTGCCATTTGAGGGGATAAAGCATAGACGCTTCTAATGTCCTCCAGTAGGGGGTGGGAAGAAGAAAGTTGGCCACTTTTCATTGAACCTAGTTTCTTTTTTCTTTACTTAATTTGTACATTTCTGTACAACTGTAAATATTTTTTATTTCTTTGGGCAAAAAAATATTAATTAGGAAATCTGTAATTTGAATTATCCATGCTTTGGGCTCACAATAAAAATGTCTAAGATATTCTGAGCTTGAGAAGCAGAACCAAAATATATATGATAGAATTAAATTGCTTATGAATACTTCTTTGCAGTTTACAAAGTATACACACATATATATTTCATTTAACACACACACTTTTCATTTATAATTTGATGAGAGATATGGTGTCTGATGCTAATTTTAATTTTTATTTATTTAACGACCAATGAATTAGAAGCTTTTTCATGAGTTTCTTGTTAATTTGTATTTTTAATAACAGTATTATTGAGAGAACTTACATACAATTTAAAGCATATACTTTAATGATTTTTAGTATGTTCTCAGAGTTGTACAATCATCACCACCATTAATTTTAAAACATTTTCATCACTCCGAAAAGAAACTCATACCCATTAATAGTCATTCTCCAACCTCACAACCCCAAGTCCAGTCCTAGGCAATCACTAATCTACTCTCTGTCTCCATAGATGTGCCTATTGTGGACATTTCACATAAATGGAATCAGACAATTTATTTTTTCACTTATGATGTTTTCAAGGTTCATCCATGTTGTAACATGTATCAGTATTCCATTTCTTTTTATTGATGAATAATACTCCATTGTATGATTATACCACAATTTGTTTATTCAGTCATGAGTTGATGGACATTTAGGTTTTTCCACTTTTTGGATATTACAAACAATGCTGCTATGTATACATGAGTTTTTTGTGGCATGTTTTCATTTCTCTTGGGCATAAACCTAGGATAACAATTGCTGTGTTGTATGGAGACAGCGTGTTTAACCATTTGAGGAACTGCCAGACTGTTTTCCAAATCAATTGTACCATTTAAAAATCCCACTGTTAGTGTATGAAGGTTCTAATTATTCCACTTCCTTGCCAACACTTGCCATTTTCTGTCTTTTAAAAAAATAACTTAGTGGGGTGAAGTAGTATCTATTGTGGTTTTGATTTGCATTTCCCTGACTACTAATGATGTTGAGTATCTTTTCATGTGTTTTTTGGCCACTTGAATATTTTCTTTGGAGAAATGTCTATCAGGTACTTTGCCAATTTTTAAATTGACTTGTCTTTTTATTATTGAGTTATAAGAGCTTTTTTTATATATTCTGGATATAAATCCTTACCAGATATATGATTTGCAATTTCTTTCTCTCATTCTGTGGACTGTCTTTTCATTTTCTTGATGGTGTCCTTTGGAGCACAAGAGTCTTTAATTTTTTATGAAGTCTCATTTACCTATTTTCTCTTTTGTTGCTTATAGGCTTGGTGTCATATCTAAAAAAAATGCCTAATCTCACCAATGTTTAGGATTTACACTAACGTTTTCTTCTAAGAGTTTTGTAGTTTTAGATCTACATTTAGGCCTTTGATCCATTTTAAATTAATTTGTGTATATCATGTGGGTAATTTGTCTTTCTCTTTTTGCGAGTTGCCTTTTGTGTTCTGTGCTTATTGTCCCAAACAAGTGTTATTTTTCTCTTATATTTTAAAGGTTCTTTGTATTGAATATTGTCATTTATGTTGCAAATATTTTTCATCTTTTATTGCTCAGGGATAAGAAAACCTAGATTCTTATCAGAAAAATTCAGAGACTTCTCCAAAGTCACATGCTTAATATACCTGTTACTAAAGTCTAAGTCTTCTGGCTATGCCTCTTGATCCCCAATTTAAAAATCTTGAACTATTGTAATCACTTTTTCAGTTTTTATGCAGTATGCCGTTAACAAGAGTCTAGCTTAACAAAGCTCACAATAAACTAAAAAGATAGTCAAGATTTGTGATCACAGGCCATATCCAAAGTATGCAGAATTTAAAGCGAAACACCAGCATCAAGACCAGGGATAGAAACAATACCAGTGTCCTGTGTAGAAGTCAGAACCCCGGGCAGTTCTGAGTTAACATGGGAGAAAAAAACAATTTTCATCTAACTTTAAACTGCAATGGTTGAAACCTCAGACTGGTGGTTAAAATCTCATACTTTATGGGGTTAATCCCAATTTAAAGGGCTCTGACCTTATTTATAGGGCTCCAACCTCTCCTGGGGAAAATGCCATACCATCATCTAAGAGTTTGTAGTCTTTGTCAAGTGACATGGCCTCCCTCATCTTTGGGCCTAACAAATATGTTAGAAACTCCTGGGTCCCTAGAGCTTCTTGGGATTAAGCCAGTCCAAGGTGTAATTGTTTTCTTTCTCCTCTTTCTTGGATCCCTTTATCCATAAAGCTGCCTTTCCATCTGAATTTAGAGACTGGACTGTAAGTGGGAACCTGAAACAATACTTGGTTGAAGCTTAAGTTTAGAGTGCCAGTGAGAGTTGGGGTAAACACTGATATAAAAGGGCAGAGTCAAGATGTATTTATAATTCCATATGCACCATAATACATATGGAATATATTATAATTTGTCTACTGGTATCATAGAGCAGATAGGACCACTCAAACTCTGTGCTTGTATGCCCTTATGAGTTATACTGAATAGTTGGTCATCTGTCCCACAGTGGTCCTATCTGGTTACAGATATAAGACAGTAATAAATCAGGATAAGCCTATTACAAGTGGGGAAACAGCCTCTGTGAAAGTCCTGATGGTAGCAGAAAGTTCCAAACAAAAGTCTTTAGCATGAAGATAGTCCAGGAGACCTAGCACAGTCAGTAATAAGCAGAAACACTTTGAGTATGTTTCATTCAATTTGAAGAAATAAAAGGAAAGAGAACTTTGAACTTTGTCTCTTTGAAATGGGCATAGCATATTAGAACCTCAGTCCAGAGGCTAGCTCTCCATTTTGAAAGTGCTAGGCCAGCTATGTAGGGAAACAATTGATCTGCGAAACATCTAGATGACTCTCTGGAATAATATTGTTTTAAAACAGT
Source organism: Homo sapiens (assembly GCF_000001405.40). Classification (NCBI taxonomy): domain Eukaryota; kingdom Metazoa; phylum Chordata; class Mammalia; order Primates; family Hominidae; genus Homo; species Homo sapiens. Next base: position 59,886,214 of record NC_000014.9, read on the forward strand.
CATGGCTTCCATGTAACTTAATTTTGGGGACTTTAGAAGGATCTCCCTGCCAAATGTTGCTCCTACTCTAGCCTGTCATTTGTCATGGAAATTAACATTTTGACTGTATAGATTTGGTAAATTGGTACTGTTATAAATGGCAGGCTCCTCAGGAAAGGTAACTCAGCATTCGTAGTATTAATATCTCATAGTAAATTATCAGGCAGCTGTACTAAGCTGTGTTTAGATTTTGGTAAGGGGAGAAAGCTAGATCCAAAGCACTTCACACCATGCAAGGAAAACAGCCTGAGAAACTGTAATCACAAGCCCTTGAGAGCCAGAGGAAAATGTTTCAACTTCCTCAGGGCTGAATACATTTTGACAAACTGTAAACATGCTCAATAATCCTTGAAGACTGTAATAGGGTAACAGAAGTTATCTCTAGGGTTGTGAGTAAGTTTATTTTCTTTAAACTTTTTCTTCTTTCTTGAATTCTTGAAGAAAAAATAAATTACACTAAAGATGTCTTAATCAGCCAGCATTCTTTAAATATTAATACATTTTGCTGATAAATTATACCTGTAAGGTCATCTTAGACATCAAGAATCAATTCATGAAAGGAACACTGCAGTCTATCAGTAAGCCAATGACAATAGAGATTAGGCATTTGACTATGTCAAGAAAACACTATTTATACCTTTTAATGAGAAATGCAGCTCTAGTGCCTAAATTTAAATTCCACTACTTGAAAACAAAACATGAAACTACATATGTGATAGATTACCAAATGAATTTTTTAAGGCAACAGGTTTGTAAGATTTGTGGGAGGTATGTAATCAAATGGTAGACTACTTACAATCTGATGATATTGTTCTTTTGGGATGTTCAGATATGAAACTGTAACTTCCTAACAACTAGATCAAGTTTCTTGAACAGTTCCAGCAACACAATTTATTTAATAGTTATTATTGCCATTTGATCATATTCATGAATTTATTAGATACCTCCTCTGTTAGTCAGCTTAGGATAGGCTATGCTGCAGAAACATATTAACACTGAAATTTCAGTGGCTTAACATGACGGAATTTTTCACTTAGACCCACATCTAGTAAAGTTCAGGGGGAGCTCTGATCGACAGGGGCAATCAGGGACTCAGGCTTGTAGAAACTCCACCAACTTGTAGACAGGCCATCTGGAACACACAGTGTTGTAGAAGGGGAAGAGGGAAGAAAGAATGGAGAATTCTCCTTCATTTTAAAATACCTCAAACTGGAAGTGTTACACATAACTTTTATAAACTATTGGCCAAGGCTAATCATGTGCCCTGAATTGAACAGCAAGGAATGCTGGGGAATTAAATAAGTTGTGGAATATTTGGTGAGTCTTATCAACTTTGTTCAAATATTTATACCAGGCACTTTGGGAATACAAAAATGAATCAGAGTCTGAACCATTTTTCAAGATGTTTACAATGAAACCATGGAGATAAAATGTGTCTGTAAATAATTGAAATGCAAATTAAAGTCATAAGAATTAGGAAAAAGTCAGAGAAAAAGTGCAATGGCAGGTAAGAAACTATAGAGATTACTGCCACCTAAAGAGATCAAGAAAACCTTCATGGGATAAGAGGTAACAGATTAGGCTTTGAATGATGTAGGATTTGTACATAAGGAGTTGATGAACAGAGCTTACTCTGGTCTAAAGGAACAGCAAAGGCATGGGAGAGAGAAATTCTGAGGCATTTACAGAGAAGAGTAAGTCAGTCTATTATTTCTACAGCAAAGGGTATGCAAAGTGGGAAATAAAAATAGAAAAATCTGTTGGGTCAAATGTGAAGAACCTAGAATGCTAGATTAGGGTGTTTGACTTGTTTGTGGAGAAGAGTTTAAATGACAGATATAACAGATATTATTTGGAAATTGATAGAACCAAATAATTAAAATGGATTAAAGGAAAAGAAAACTAATAGTAGGGAGGCCAGCTAGCAGGCTACTTGAAGTTATTTTTGATGAAGTGCATTGGGAAAGAAGAAATAATAATCAAAAGGGGAGATAAATATTAGAAATACTTCAATCAGCACAACTTGGTACCCAATTGAATTCAGGAAGAGTAAAACTTGACCCAAAGGCCTAGAATTTAGGAGACTAGGAGTTCATAAATATTATTAACATAAATAAAAAAACATGAAGAGAAGCTGGTTTTAGAAAAATAATGAGTTTATGTTTATCCATGTAGAATATAATGCAGATGAGATGCTTAGGTGCAAGTGGCTAGCTGGCCACTAGAAATGTGAAAGGGAGATCAAGGTCAAAGCTGGTAATTCAGATTTAGGAGTCACCTGGGTAGAGAGAAGAATCCAAATCATAAAATTAGATGAGTCTGCCAGAGAAAAGACAGTACAGATAGAGCTGAGAAGCAGGCCAATAACATATCCTTATAAAAATACATATTTAAAAACCCAAAGAGAAAGGAGAAAGAAAACACACCCAAAGAAGCAGGAGAAGGGCACAACGAAGGGAGGAGTTTTAAAAGTGGGCATGTTCAACAATGTTTAATGCCACAAAGAGCCTCATGAGCATTATGACTGATCAAAACCATTGATTTTAGCCATTGGGGGTTGGGAGTATGGAGTGGGGAAAAGATGACATCTGCTTGAAGACATAAAGGGGTAAAGTGGGTTTTTGGAAAGGGAGAGGAAAGTGTATAACCTAAAGGAGTGGGGGGTGAGAATACATTGGAAAGGGGAAAACTGTAGATTCAAGAAAGAGAGGAGATAAATGATGAAGCCAGTGGATAAGAGTGGAGCAAGCACATGATTTTCCTCACCTGACATACTCATCACCAAAAAGAAGCAGATACCAATTCACTCCCTTTGTCCTTGCCTAGATCGTAAGCCATTTCATTTGAATAAACACTTTCTGATATGTTTCTGCCTTTCTTAGATCCTAGATTCTGACTCCTTCCCTGTAGCTTTGAAAGCTCTCTTGTGCAATAGATGCTTGATACTTGTCTCCAGTGATAACTTTGGTCTCCCTCTTGGTCCACACCTCACAGTAATCCTTTGAAATTTGGCAACTCCCATCTTAACTAGCAAAACTCCCTACCCCATCTAGTCTCACTGTGAGACCTCACACCTGGTACAAGCATTTGAGGGCAAAGATTAAATTTTGGATGTAGAAAATTTAATTCTTTTCCATAGATGGAAAAAAACACAAGGCAGATGAAGACTGAGAAAAATTCAAGCTGGAGATAAGGGAGGTTTGTGTCCTATGGCTTATAATTTTCAGTGAAGTATAAGGCAGAGTCATCTGCAAAGCATGAAGCTGGCAACGGTGGGGTTTCAGGAGAAGAAGAAAGGTTGCGTGTAAGTCTAATGTATGTAATTTGTATTGCTTTTTCCAATTGACTTCCATTATAACGTTACAGTACATTCTTACTCAGATCTTCTAGATTCTAAATCTTCAAATGGAGAATTCCAATATGATTAAAGAGCTTTCTGAATGCTCTTTATCCTAAGCATTCTAATGTGTTCTCTATAGAAGAAAATAATAATGAAATGAATAATCAACTTGAACATATACAAAACATTTTAAGATATTCTGTTTCTAAAAGTTCTCAGTGACTCCAGTGGAGTTTAATGTTTAAATGGCCACAGTAGTAATCCCACTACTTCTAGACCTTAGTACAAATCATTAACCAAAACAAACTGACAAAGAAAACCATGTGAGATTGACTTTCCAGATGTATCAGTATTGGATTGGTTAGGAATTCTGAAGTCAGGCAGGATTTGAAAACCTGTTGCACCACTTGCTAGAGAATAGTTTAGTAGAAGAGAATTGTGACAACCAGCTTCCTGGGTTCAGATTGTGACTATTCAACCTACTCAATGTAGGTAAATTAATCCGAAAAGCCTCAGTTTCTGATAAAATCTATAATAATAATATAGCTGGTTAAAGAGTAGTCACAATGTAGACCTTACAGTACTGTTGCGAAGGTCACATAAAATGAGCCGTAGCATAAATAAACCATAACACAGGGTTATGAGCATGAGCTCTGCAAACAGACTGCTTGGGGTTGAATACCAGCTCTACCACTGTCTAGCTGTGAGACCTTAGGTAAACTACTCTCTATACCTCAGTTTTCTCATCTGCAAGATCAGAGTAATAGCATGTTCTTCACAGGACTGTTGTGAAGGTTGAGTGAAATAATGGAAAGCACTTAATGTAGTGTCTGATATATAGTATTTAATAAATACTATGTATTATTAGTATGTAAAGTATTCAGCACAATGCCTGACACAGCACCCTCAATTAACAGTTCTAAATTTTTCTAAAAATAAAGTTTTTAGTGTCTCTTCAAGATGATTTTGATCCAGTATTAAATATTTGACTATCAAGCCTATTTGACAATGCCAGTATTTCAAACACCATTAACAAAAGGCATCTTTACATAGTTGTAGTAAGCTGGGCTTCTGAGAACTAAATTATCTTACAGCACCTGAGCAGAACACACATAAAGCACAAACGGCTGCAAGATTTTAAGTAGCTACTCTGACATGAACAAAAAAAAATGAAGTAATTGCAAGCTGAAGAAACTGCATAAAAATCAATGGATACACAGCCACAGGCAATGATGTGCAGTTTGGCTACAAAATGCTAAGAAAAAGCAGTGCTGGGCAGACCTGCTGGGCATGCTGCCAGGAGCACTACTGTGAAAGAGCATTGTGAAGACTGATACATGTTGATTAAGAGTTATTCTGGTCCTAGATGGATTCACAGCCGAATTCTACCAGAGGTACAAGGAGGAGCTGGTACCATTCCTTCTGAAACTATTCCAATCAACAGAAAAAAAGGGACTCCTCCCTAACTCATTTTATGAGGCCAGCATCATCCTGATACCAAAGTCTGGCAGAGACACAACAAAAAAAGAGAATTGTAGACCAATATCCCTGATGAACATCGATGCAAAAATCCTCAATAAAATACTGGCAATCTGAATCCAGCCGCACATCAAAAAGCTTATCCACCATGATCAAATGGGCTTCATCCCTGGGATGCAAGGCTGGTTCAACATATGCAAATCAATAAACGTAATCCAGCATATAAACAGAACCAACGACAAAAACCATATGATTATCTCAATAGATGCAGAAAAGGCCTTTGACAAAATTCAACAACCCTTCATGCTAAAAACTCTCAATAAATTAGGTATTGATGGGACGTATCTCAAAATAATAAGAGCTATCTATGACAAACCCACAGCCAATATCATACTGAATGGGCAAAAACTGGAAGCATTCCCTTGGAAAACTGGCACAAGACAGGGATGCCCTCTCTCACCACTCCTATTCAACATACTGTTGGAAGTTCTGGCCAGGGCAATCAGGCAGGAGAAGGAAATAAAGGGTATTCAATTAGGAAAAGAGGAAGTCAAACTGTCCGTGTTTGCAGATGACATGATTGTATATCTAGAAAACCCCATCATCTCAGCCCAAAATCTCCTTAAGGTAATAAGCAACTTCAGCAAAGTCTCAGGATACAAAATCAATGTGCAAAAATCACAAGCATTCTTATACACCAATAACAGAAAAACAGAGAGCCAAATCATGAGTGAACTCCCATTCACAATTACTTCAAAGAGAATAAAATACCTAGGAATCCAACTTACAAGGGATGTGAAGGACCTCTTCAAGGAGAACTACAAACCACTGCTCAATGAAATAAAAAAGGATACAAACAAATGGAAGAACATTCCATGCTCATGGGTAGGCAGAATCAATATTGTGAAAACGGCCATACTGCCCAAGGTAATTTATAGATTCAATGCCATCCCCATCAAGCTACCAATGACTTTCTTCACAGAATTGGAAAAAACTACTTTAAAGTTCGTATGGAACCAAAAAAGAGCCCCCATTGCCAAGTCAGTCCTAAGCCAAAAGAACAAAGCTGGAGGCATCATGCTACCTGACTTCAAACTATACTACAAGGCTACAGTAACCAAAACAGCATGGTACTGGTACCAAAACAGAGATACAGACAAATAGAACAGAACAGGCCCTCAGAAATAATGCCACATATCTACAACTATCTGATCTTTGACAAACCTGACAAAAACAAGAAATGGGGAAAGGATTCCCTATTTAATAAATGATGCTGGGAAAACTGGCTAGCCATATGGAGAAAGCTGAAACTGGATCCCTTCCTTACACCTTATACAAAAATTAATTCAAGATGGATTAAAAACTTACATGTTAGACATAAAACCATAAAAACCCTAGAAGAAAACCTAGGCAATACCATTCAGGACATAGGCATGGGTAAGGACTTCATGTCTAAAACACCAAAAGCAATGGCAACAAAAGCCAAAATTGACAAATGGGATCTAATTAAACTAAAGAGCTTCTGTACAGCAAAAGAAACTACCATCAGAGTGAACAGGCAACCTACAGAATGGGAGAAAATTTTTGCAATCTACTCATTTGACAAAGGACTAATGTCCAGAATCTACAATGAACTCAAACAAATTTACAAGAAAAAAACAAACAACACCATCAAAAAGTGGGCGAAGGATATGAACAGACACTTCTCAAAAGAAGACATTTATGCAGCCAACAGACACATGAAAAAATGCTCATCATCACTGGACATCAGAGAAATGCAAATCAAAACCACAATGAGATACCATCTCACACCAGTTAGAATGGCAATCATTAAAAAGTCAGGAAAAAACAGGTGCTGGAGAGGATGTGGAGAAATAGGAACACTTTTACACTGTTGGTGGGACTGTAAACTAGTTCAACCATTGTGGAAGTCAGTGTGGTGATTCCTCAGGGATCTAGAACTAGAAATACCATTTGACCCAGCCATCCCATTACTGGGTGTATACCCAAAGGAGTATAAATCATGCTGCTTTAAAGACACATGCACATGTATGTTTATTGTGGCACTATTCACAATAGCAAAGACTTGGAAGCAACCCAAATGTCCAACAATGATAGACTGGATTAAGAAAATGTGGCACATATACACCATGGAATACTATGCAGCCATAAAAAAGGATGAGTTCGTGTCCTTTGTAGGGACATGGAGGAGTCTGGAAACCATCATTCTCAGCAAACTATCACAAGGACAAAAAACCAAACACTGCATGTTCTCACTCATAGGTGGGAATTGAACAATGAGAACGCATGGACACAGGAAGGGGAACATCTCACACCAGGGTCTGTTGTGGGGTGGGGGGAGGGGGGAGGGATAGCATTAGGAAATATATCTAATGTTAAATGATGAGTTAATGGGTGCAGCACACCAACATGGCACATGTATATATATGTAACAAACCTGCACATTGTGCACATGTACCCTAAAACTGAAAGTATAATAAAAAAAAATAAAAAATAACAAAAAGAGTTATTCTGGTCCTGTACAAATGAACTTCTTCCTGTATGTTGTGTTAAACAGGGTATCACTGAGTTTTATCTCACTAATTTGCATGCATATTTATAAAGGTAACCGGCATATAGTAGATACTTAATATATGATGACTGAATAAATGAATGAAGTATGAGGAATTCCATAAGAAGACACACTGGGGATCCTTTAGACTAAGCAGGATCACAGAACCCTTAGCCTAACTCCTCCAAGGGCCACTGCTCCTCCTTTTGAGCCCTGGGATATCAGCCCAGGGTTTCCAGCGGGCACCTCTAGGTCTTGTGATATCCTGGGTCCTTTGACCCATATTTTCCTTCTGGAGATGGTGTGGCTTAGACTTTGGCTCCCTGTTTCTCCCTTAGATATGGCTTCCACCCTGATGACTTGGCCTTGCCTCATCAACCTCTTTTCACCTGCAAGTATTCTCCCCTGCTTCCCAGATAAGTCTGAGAGACTAGGTCTCCACTCCTAAGCTTTCTGCTCTCTACATTCATTACGTGCAGGATAGAGACTCTTGTACATTTGTGGCACCTGCAGGCTCTGAGATTAACCTCTCAGCCTGTCAGTCCATGCCTTCTCTACCCATTAACACCATTATGCACAGAGGAAAACAGCCCCCAGCCAAGGCCATGCAGGAGGATGGTCATAGCACTCTTAAATATTTTGAAAACTGATGTCTATCACATTCTTCTCTTGATTCTCTTATAATACTCAGCAATAACATACATAATAACGGCAATAGCACCTGTTAAATGCCAGCTCAGGGGTCTACATAATTATTCTCGGACTTAATGGCCTCCTTAGGGACCATCTTCCATTGATATGCTTATTTACAGTCACTACACCATTTACAAGCCCCAAGTGGAGAGGGGGAGCAGAAAAAAATCAGTTTTGGTCAATTTTGAGGTCCTTTGGTCAATTTTGAGGTCATTACCAAAGTCTGGCTCATCTTCGAGCCACCAGAACATGTATCTATCGCCCTACAGTTCCCCTAACACATTCTACCAACCTCAGCAGCCTCAAGAACTATAAACTTGGGCTGATAACCAATGACCATATACATTTCTACTCAATGTTTCTCCTAATGTTATCATATTAAAAATATTCCTTGACGCTCCATGCCCATTGCACTCTATGTGTATAATATCCCTAGGAATCAAACACAGCAGCAGCCTCTGTTGCTCCACTGGCATTGAAACCATTGGTAGCCAAACTTGAGAATAAACTACTTATGATAAATATTTAATTTCAGCAAAAGACTGTCACACTGAATGTATCATATATCCCACAATTTTCCTATAGGTCTCAGAATTTGTAGTCTGTCCCAGAGCTAGTATTTTGCTCGCCTAGTAAGGCCTGTGGGATTCCTGGACTCTACCCAGAAGCCAGCAGCCAAGCAAAGCCTTCCTGACATATGTGGGAAGTACCAATGCTCCCAGTACACTAGTAGTACCATAGACACTATCATCCTGGTGCTAAGAGCTGCATTTCTGATGGGATGTTTCCATCCATCCCAGAATAAGAGATCCAGGTACCCTGAGACTTCCTTCTAACCAATCTATGACAGTGCTCCAACTGAGGATATGCATCTTTTGATACATACTGAGTTGGAGTATGCATCATATTCCAGATGATTGCCTCACAACTTCAGGCACCTGACCTGCTCTCCCTTATAACCCTAAATTGCTGCTAGCAATGCTGGCTCTTTGCTGAGTTGAATAATTTAAAATATGAGATTGTAAAGGTCAATTCTGCAGAATAACCCCCGCTCAAGACATTCCATGATATGTGTGATTGGGCAGGCCACTGAGTTCCAACAGTCCTTAACATTTTTGGGGTATGTGGAATATTATGGGATAGACATGGAACATATATGTAGTTTCCACCATATTTCCCTAGCCTGCCTTCCAAGTTTACCAAACTGCTTAAGGAAAACAAGCCAAACATTCTAAAACACTCAAAAGGCATTAAAAAAAACACACAAAAATGATCTATCCTGTATTTATTCTAACACATCCTGATTTTCAGTGTCTTTGCTCCCCCAAGCATATTTCCTAAACACACAGTGGAGGGATGTCTCTCAAAGTATGGTCTGGGGACCAAACTACATCAGAATCACTTGAAGTTCTCGTTTAACATGATTACTCCTGGGCTCAACTCCAGAGCTACTGAATCAGATTCACTGGAGATGGGCTCAGGAACATGCAATTTAAATAAGCACCTCAAGTTATTTTTATATGCAGTAAAATTTGAAAACTGTAGCTGTGGCAGCATCCTTCCTAAACCAGCTCTGACTCAGCATTTTCACAAGCTTATTCTGCAAATTCACCACACTCTATCTCCTACCCCTACCCAATTACCCAGTCAGTTATATCATATGTGAGGGAAAGTTCTTGAACATTAAAGCATCACAAATCCTGAAAGCATTATTTGGAAGAGGGCCATGTTTCCAATAATGACAACAACAGGTTTTGCAACTGAGAGCAACATCCAATCACCCAAAGATTAAGCCAAATGTCCACTCATTGGTTCTAAGTCCCTCCTGGTGCCACATACAGTTAGGTAAGGCAGACAGAACTCTTTGTAGCTAGGAACCCAGAAAGACTGGCAGAGCTGGGAGTATTTAATACCAGCAGGCAGCTGGAGAAAATGTGATTGGGTATTTAGAGCAAGGAATGGTGTTAGAGGAGGTGAGACAGAGGAATGAAGAGACACTGAGGGCAGTTTAGGGCAGAAAGAAGGCACTGAATTCAAGGAACAGAAGAATTCAAAGAACAGGCTAACACAGAAAAAGAAGGCTATATTAACACACACATCAAGACACCATAATACAGGCAATTGTGTGACACTGATCAAGGCAGAGGAGTTTGTCATTTAGGCAGTCCTGTATTATAGCTTTTAACCCAGTGAGCTATAATGTCTCACTAAGTGAGGGAGTCTTCTGATAGTTAAAATGCCTGTAAGTATACACCATGATTTATATCTGCCTTCTATTCAAAGTACCCACTATATTAAGCCAGGCCAGAAACCAAATCCAAACTTCAGAAGAAAGAATTCATAAGCTCATGTCGCCAAAAGTTTCCTGGGCAGTCCTTGCTTCAGGTTCAGCAGGATTGAGATGCTCATCAGAGATAGGGATTTATACTCATCTCTCAGACAGACATTCTTCCTGTAGTGGATGAAATGACAGTTGGCAGATAACATCTATTCCACCGACTTAGTCCACCCAGAAGTAATAGAACCATCTTTGATGGCAGCTCTAAGACGAATGTCCTGGAGATCCTCTCCATCAGCCCAACTTGGGGCATATGTGCACTCATTTAGGGTAGCGGTGGTTATAGTGTAAGGCAGGGTGACAAGCTCATCCCAGTTTGCCTGGGATTTGTCCAGTTTTAAAACTGAAAGTCCAAGGTCCCAGGAAACCCCCTCAGTTCCAAGCAAACCAGGAAGACTGGTCACCCTAGGTGGAGTCAGCCTTACTTTTTTTGTCTGGAATGAGTTCTCCACAGGAAAGAGCACTTCTGTTACAAGATGAAGAGGTGAGACGGGCTGAAGCAGGGGGAGTATTCATTTCGCCCAGGCCAGATCTATGTGATGCCTGGGTAGATGTGTGGGAAAAGCCCCATCCTGCCCACTTCTTGACTGTCTTTTCGATCAGGCTAGGCCTATGTGACTAGCCAGGGCTACCACTTCCTAGTGCTTCACTCCTCATCAAGTTCACCCAGGGCCCGAGGTTTCTCTCTCAGGATTCTTTGTACCCCCTCCTGGACCTTACCTACTCCTGGTTCCTGGCCTTGATCTGACTCTCCCCTCTGTGACCTGGTAGCTTGCTCTTTGGCTTTCATTCCTGTGCTCACCCTGGTTTCTGGCTTCTGTGTCTCTTTACCTCATAGTTACTGTGATCTGTCTGGTCTTCTGATGCCACTGCTGCATCAAGCTTGGATTTGGCCTGATATTTTATTGTTATTTCTTTTTGAGACAGGGTCTTGCTCTGTCACCCAGGCTAGGGTGCAGTGGTACATCACAGCTCACTACAGCCTTGACCTTTCAGGCTCAAGCAATCCTCCTATCTTAGCCTACCTAGTAGCTGGAACCACAGGTGTGTGCCACAATGCCCAGTTAATATTTTTTTATTTTTTGCAGAGGCACAGTCTCGCTATGTTGCCCAGGCTGATCTTGAACTCCTGGACTTAAGGGATCCTCCTGCTTTGGCCTTCCAAAGTGATAGAATTAGAGGCATGAGCCACCACGTCCAGTGGCCTGATATTCTTTCACTAGGGTGTTTGCGGCTATTTGCAGCTAAGATTTGCCAATGCCTCCCTACTCACGCAGTTCACCACTGCCCCCACCTGTTTCTAGGTGGAATTCAATATTGGTGTCCATCAAAATCTGCGCTAAATGTTGAGGTGGGAGCTTAATCCTTATACTCACGGCTCCCCCATTTCCCTATCTTACAATTCTGCAAGGTCGGTACTTTAATTCCCATTTCACAAATGAGGACGCTGAAGCTTAGGGGAGTGAAGTAATTTGCCCAAGTTCACAAAACCAGTCAAATTGGAAGTTAGAACTCACACTCTTGAGCTCTTTCTACTGTACCATGATGACTTGATCAGGTAATATGATGGTAGTAACTAGTTCTAGTAGCAAGGTCACAAATGGTAACTTCTAAAGACTATTATTTTTTAAAGTTCTGCTCAATGTATATATATCCTCATATTTTTGCCACTCAATAATTTCAAATATGTGATGCTTTTTAGAATTTTTAAATTAATTTCTACTACAATTTAAACAGTAGATAAATTATTTTAAGACATATTTTTTAAACTATGTTCCAGTAACTAACACCTTCTAGCCCTATAGTTCTACATTGATTCAACTTCAGTTACGAATATTACACAATTTCCCCTCATGAACCAAATATTGTTCTAAATAAGTAGTCTTCAGTGTGTGGCTAGTGACTTTCAGGGTTTGTGAGCTGTTTTCACAATAATGTTGATGTTATTTGCTTTTTCACTCTCATTGTCTCACAAATGCACAGTGGAGGTTTCCAGAAGCTACACGATCTAAGATTTTGTAATGGATTGACTGCAAAAGGAGTATGGGAATCCTAAATGTCTTCCCTTAAGTCAGACATTGGTTTTTTAAAAAAATGTAAAACCATGTCGTGTTCCTTACTACAGTTTTGTTTCATAAGATACGATTATCTTTATAAAAACATGTTTTTGTGTTAACATGTAATGAGTTTATTATTATTTCAAAATTAATAAATGTTTTAAATTTCTGAATTTTAACTTTTAATATGATTAATACCAATTGTAACTCACACAAACAAAAACTCCTTGGGGTCCTCAATAATTTTTAAAAGTATGAAGGAAACCAAAAAGTTTGAGAATAGCTGTTTCTAATCAAAAGATCTTTGTGGTGAAATTCTAAATTAAAAGCTACCATTAAATATGCTTCGATATTATTATCTCCAAAAAAACCCAATAACTTGTAATGAGAAACACCTGTCAGTCACTCATGGCTGTTCATCAACATACATTGTAGCTCACACTTGACTCCCTGTATTCGTGGCTCAAGCAGCACTACTGATGCTTAGCAACTCATTTAAATTAGAGGTAGAAACCACCAATAGGAAGAAAATTAGTGAGCAAGGCAAAGAATGTTTAGGAAGTCTTGAAGAAATAAACCTTTATTTCATTAAATGGAACATCCAGTTGGAAAATTCTTAATGACAATCTGAAGAATTGAGGCATTCAAAACAAGGATTGCAGATGAATTAAATAATCAATTCAGTTGAATTAGGAATAAGTAAACATGACAAGTGAGGAATTAAAGATATAAAGTGCATCTGGGGGAATGAGAAACATCTACAACTGAAGAACACAAAGATCTCATGTGCAATCATCTCATTTGTTTTCTCCTCTCCATTCTCTGATCTACAACTTTAGAAGAGCCTAAAATCTTCTAAAGTCTACCTTCCCTTTGAACTCAGTCAAGGGGCTGCTGAAATAGTTTAAATGAGAATTGTAACCATGATTAAACTTGTTAAAAAAGAGTTTCGTGTGAGAAGGGCGACAGTAATTTCTTTAAAATCATTTTTGCTCAAGTATCTTTTGGAAGGAGCACTCCTGAGACCTGAGGCCCGGAGAAGACTGAGAGCGCGGCCCTGTAACTGGGAGCTGCCCAGTCTAGCGGAGAAGACAACGGTGAGGCTCAGACTGACAGAGTGAATCTTTCCCATTGATTTAATTGTATGCCATTTTACTTCCCCTTGTTGGTTTCTCTGCCTTCCCTTTCTCAAACAAACCAAAAAGCCCACAGTCTACGAAAGTGTTCATTTACTAAATTAAAACCAAATAAAAAGAGTTCATTTTGAAAATTTTACTACACCTGTTTAGTTTATAGAAGTCACTCTGAGATGCCATAAAACCTGAGCTGGAGGCTGGTCGCGGTGGCTCACGCCTGTAATCCCAGCACTTTGGGAGGCCGAGGCAGGCGGATCACCTGAGTTTGGGAGTTAGTGACCAGCCTGACCAACATAGAGAAACCCCATCTCTACTAAAAATACAAAATTAGCCGGGCGTGGTGGCGCATGCCTGTAATCCCAGCTACTCCAGAGGCTGAGGCAGGAGAATCGCTTGAATTCGGGAGGCAGAGGTTGTGGTGAGCCGAGATCGTGCCATTGCACTCCAGCCTGGGCAACAAGAGCGAAACTCCATCTCAAAAAGAAAAACAAAACAAAACAAACAAACAAAAAAAACACAAAAAACCTGAGCTGGAAAGCCATTTGCTTATCACCAGTCTTCAAGTCTCCACACAATTTAAGTAATTTTCTGAGGACAGTGATGATTTTTGTTGGACCAGAAATTAAGAAGATTGATTGAGGGAGGGAGAATGAGAGGACTTTTATTTCAACTGTTAGGATAGTGTTAGTCCAAACTGCACCATTTTGTAAGCCCCTTGCCATTTCGCAGACCTTGGTCAGAGTGAAACATTCCACGGGGATTTGGGCCATGAAAAACATCCTGCCTAACCAACTGACCACAAGGCAGAGGAACATCCTTATCATACCCTGCCAGGCAAAGGCCCAACTGAAGGAACATCCCTATCATACCCTGCTGAGAAAAGGTCCAAGGAACATCCTATCACATCCCACCAGAAAAAGGGCCAAACCACCTGATCATAGGAACATCTTACCAATATCCTGCTGGGCAGAAAGCCATACCACCCAGACCGCTGTCTCCCTACCCCAGACCTATAAATTACCCCAGCCTGTAAGCAGCAGTGAGCTCTGGCATTAAATGGGTCCCCCACCTCCATAGGTCTTGTGCTGGAAATAAAACCTGTGTGGCTGAAGAGCTAACAACTCTCTCTGTGTCTTTCTTTAACCCTTGCTTTTCCTTCAAAACATAACAGGTATATCTTGAGAGACAGAAAAACTGGCTTCCCCCACCTCTGCAGGTCTTGTGCTGGACAAAAAACCTGCATTACCGTAGAGCTGCCAACTCTCTCTCTCTTTCTTTAACCCTTCCCTTCCCTTCACAACCTAACAGATATATGTTGAGAGTGTAGAAAAACTGGCTTTGAAGAAAAGCAGGAAGAGTATAGCTTTGAGTTTTTTGTACCATCTTTAATAGTAACCCTTGGATATTTATTTGCCTTAGATTTCATAGCTTTAACATAGTAGTACATTTAATTAGAGATATTAAATATCTATTTATTCTAATGCTCTACTAAAGTTGTGTCTGGAAAACACAAAAAGCAATAAAATATAGGCCTTTGCCTTCTGGGCATTTGAAGATATTTAGGAAGGAAAAAAAGATACCTAACAAAATGGTTAAACAAAGCAATCCATCGAAAAAAAGAAAGAAAGAAAGAAAATAAATGGGGTCTACCCTCCGCTTAGCCAGTTGTTTCACCAGAAGATAGCTCCACATTTAGAAAAACTCTCAATTCAACAGTGTAACATTTTTGGACACATGGCAACACAAATTTTAAAACTAAGCATTTAAATGTTTGCATGTCTGAAGACAAAAAAGTCATGTCAGAAGATCTGGTTATAAACCAAGATTGAGGGGACCTTTCTTCTGTGGCAGAAATCCCTCTGAATAATTCCACAAGCATAGCTCCAGTCATCCTCATTATCATAGTTCTAAGGTCACATGGACTCTCTAGCTTGTGGAAATGTTAAATATCAGCAGATTCACCATAAACTAACACATTCATGTGTTAATTCTAAAGTGGGTATAACCCTAGAAATGCCTCATTTCACCTCCAAACAGTGACAGGTATATTTAAGGCAACCTCCTCAAAAATCGATCAAGTTTTCAGAGACCATATTGAAATAAGGACTACTAGTTTCCCCTTCATTATCCATTTCCATTTCTTCTGTAGTAATAAAACCCTCATTTTAAAAATGAATATAGGGCTGCCTTAAATTAACATTAAAATTTCCAGCCTCTCTTGCAGCTATCTGTGGATTTTTGACTAAGTTCTGGCTCACAGGACATACTTATATATGAAATTTCCTCCTTTCCTTTACCCCTCTTTGCTCGCTGGCTGAAATGCAGATGTGATGACTGGAGCTGGACCATAAGGTGACCTTTTTAACAGAGGCCACATATAGCAAAGCAATAAGAATTTTTTTTTTAAGTCTGAGTTCCTGACACCTTGCTAACCCAGACCACTACCTCCCAACTTTGTATAAGATATAAATAAACTTCTATCTTTATAAAGTCATGATTATTTCTGATTTTCTGTCACCAAATTAAAACCAAATATTAATTTAAATTCTAAATGAAAAAATTAAAAACAATCACCTAGAACTGCATACTTGAATATGGTAGCCACTATTCACATGTGTCTTTAGCACTTCAAATGTGGCTAGACTGAATTTAGGTGTGTTGTAAGTATAAAATATACACTGTATTTTGAGGGCTTAGTATGAAAAAAGACAAAAATAGCTAATTAATAGCTTTTTACATTTATTATGTGTTGAAATAATATTGTCTTATGTTGGGTCAAAATATTTGTTAAAATTAATCTCATCTATCTTTACTTTTATTGTGGCTAATAAAACATCTAGAATTACATGTAATAGTTCACATTTTATTTCTATTGAACATTGATCTAGAATATAAGCTTTTTAATATAGATATCAAGTCAGTAGTTGTCTTCACTGAAGATCAAAAAGGACAAAGAAGGCAGACACTATAGCATTTCAGATTTAGGTCAGGCATGGGGTGAATGTCATGCCAGCAGGTATTTTTTAAACAAGAATAGAAGATTGTTAATATATCTTCCAAAGAAAGTGTATCTTGGATGATTTTAACTGTAATTCTGTTTTAAGACAAAAATGAAATTAATGTACAATGTCTCCAAAACACAATTTTAAAACTATGATAACTAATACAAAACCCACTATATTAAGTAAAATTCTTATATGTATATATAAATACACATATACAAATGCAAATACATATGATACATTCTATTATACATATATAAAATAAGCTTTTATTGTATTTACTATTGTTTTCAAGGGCATTAATGGCATTATTTTTGATGTCATCGGTCTGATTTAAGAAGGTTATCTAAAGTTATTTGGAACTTAGTAGTCTGTTTGGCTAAGTTCCTCTTGTATTTGCACAATTAAATTCTATTTCTCAATGGCAGAATTTGCAGGTTGGCTCATTCTGGCATAGCTAGCAAAATGATCATTCTGGCATAGCTAGCAAAATGGGGCTGACCACACTAATAATTGTTTCAAAGCTCTCTATATTTAATAACAGTGATGCACCTCTTTCCCAAGACCTCTTGTCAAGTGCACACATATACAAATGAGCTATGGTTTGTAAAGCAACTGTTTCTATGTAGGCTGGCTCTAACTTCTACAGATACTGTCATTTTTATATACATATGACTAAGAAATGGGTGTGCAGTAAAGTATTGCAAACTTTTACTTTTTCCAAATGGAAAGGGAATTCTTTATTTTGACTAATGGAATATTCTGGTTTTTGGAAAGTCAATATGCATTTCAAGTTTCAACATTTGGATTATATAAAAATACAGTTAACTCAAGTACAGAGTCAGGCTTTAGAAAGCAAATAATAACCCCCTCCCCTCCTTTTTTCCCTCCAAGCTTGAAAGCAACTGGGAATAAGACATGAGGCAGATAAATTGAGATTTTTAAAAATCAGCTTTATTACTGAAAAAGCCATTGGGAAAATATGACTGTAAATCTGTAGAGAAAAGGGCTCACTAACATTCTCTACTCCCACTAGAACTTGCAACAACCCACAGGAGAGAAAGTCCGGGTTTGTGCAGGAGATTCACTCAGGCAAAATTGCTCCCTCCCACTACTAGTTCGGGGCACAAACAGATGAAAACAGAAGAAAATCCCCAGTATTTTTAGTCTTATAGTAGATTAGCTTCTCCAAGTCAAGAAATGTGGGCCAATGAAGTCTCACATTCACTCTGTTAATTTCTCAAATATTTTATAGTAAAATGCTACAGATAGAAAAAGGATGAGGATAAATCTCTACAAAGTCAAAGCAGTACTGGTTTAGGGGTCTGTGGGGTAATACCCTCCCTACACATTGTGATTTAAATAAGGTTGGCTACAGTGGACATCTGTTGTTTTTGCCTTCGTAGCACTCCACATTTCTGGTGAGAACACCTTAGTTCTCCTTCATGAAATTCACCCTCTTCCTCTTATAGTACATAGGAGTCTGATGGCACTGACCCCACCCCTCAGCCCAAGCCAATCAGAGCATTCTATTGAGTATCTGACCCACGTTAGACCAATCAGCCTGAATCCTAGAACTTGTTTTGAAACTACTGGGAAAAGGGCATCCTCTTTCCTTTAGGGTTTAAAAAAAGGCAGAATGTAATCCTGGAACTACCTGCAGATGTTCCTTTCCAAAAATAAAGCCAAAAAATAAATCAGAATGATGGAAACCTTCTGAGTCCCAATATTTCACTTGAATAAATCCTAGATCTACAGTTTTGTCCAAAGCCAATCCTACCCCTGGAAATTAACCTGTTGCTTATGAAAGCCAATGGATTTTTTAAAAATGTAAGCTTTTTTGAATTGGGTTTTCTTCACTTAACTTCAAAAAATCTAGATTAATAAATAAATTCTCTCTCTCTCTCTGTCTCTCCCTCTCTCTCTCACACACACACACACCCCTCATTCACAGATTTGTCACACAGCTGGAAATTGTGCCATAAGAGGACTCCTAGAAGTTACACATTGTCAATTAGGACATCTTAACTGTAAAGTCATTTACCAGCTTCGGGGGAAAAAAGAACAGTGGGAAAATGAACATTTTTATCAAGCATACTTGTATTTTTCTAAGTAAAGTTAAAGGATAAAGAGGCTAATTTCTTCTTCATTGAATCAGCTTCTAGTTAAAGGTTGATAATTAGCCAGGATATTTCAAATAGGACTGATTACTAAACGCATCTGGGGAATTTTTAAAACAGAAGCTTATAAACCTCTCTGTAAATCTACTAAATGATATTCTCTGGGTTATATTCTTAGAAACTTAAACAAATTTCTACAAGTTACAAGTGATTAAATAATCAGACAGGTTTGCAAAATGTTGGTCTAAACTGAGCTGATGATAATGCACCCTGATAGTATCCATTCACTTACTAATTCATTAAGGCATTACTTTTAGGTTTCTATTTTGCTAAATGCCACCGAAATGCAAGTATGAATAACACGTGGCCCTGACTCATTAAAGAGCTCACAGCCTGGTTCAAGAGACTGACCCTATGGGCTCTATGGAAGCATGAGTCAAGATCTGAGTGGACAAGTTGGGAAGGGAAAAAGGCTCACCCTGCTGGGATATATTGAGAGAAAGTTTTGAAAAAGAGGAGACAGTTGAAAACTAGTTATAGAGATAGGCTGGTGGAAAGGGAAAAAGAAAAGCATTGAGGCCTAGGGACTAGTGGATATGAAAGGATAGTGTGGTGAAAAGCCTTGGAATGCTCTGAAAATGATGAGTTTGGTGTGAATGAAGGAATTTCTGCAAAGTGGGATGTGGGAGATGAGGAAGTAAG
The DNA here is from genome assembly GCF_000001405.40 of Homo sapiens. Lineage (NCBI taxonomy): Eukaryota > Metazoa > Chordata > Mammalia > Primates > Hominidae > Homo > Homo sapiens. The sequence continues at coordinate 59,905,692 of NC_000014.9, forward strand.
AGGTAATTAGGCCTTTGACCTATGAAATGCTCAGAATTTGGGTTTTCTTGTGTGCCTCCTATAGTTTGTCTCCTCCTAATCTCATGTCAAAATTTGATCCTCAGTGTTGGAGGTGGGGCCTAATGTGAAGTGTTTGGGTCATGGGGTAGATCTTTCATGAATAGATTAATGCCTTCCCTGCATGGGGAAGGTAAGTGAGTTCTCTATTAGTTCCCATGAGAGCTGGTTGTTAAAAAAGAGCCTAGAACCCCCACGCTCCTTCTTGCTTCTCTCTCACCACATGGTCTCTGCACATGCCAGCTCCCCTGTGCTTTACACCATAAGCAGCCTGAGGCCCTCACCAAGAGTAGATGCAGACACCATGCTTCTCACACAGCCTGCAGAACCATGAGCCAAATAAACTTCTTTTCTTTATAAATTACCCAGCCTCAGGTATTGTTTTACAGCAACACTAAACAGACTAAAACACTGTCTCCACTGGTTATGTATCATCCACTGATCAACCCAGGTTACTCTCTTACTTTCCGCATGAAGTCACATTCCTTTCCAGCTTAAATTCCAAGGCCATTATTGACCTCCACATGGATACATCCTCAATACTTCTCCCCCTTTTTTACTTTGCTGCATACATTTGGTTAAATCCCATCCTTGGTTAAATCTAACTCTCCCAGTCCTCTGTACTAGGCATACACACAGCTAAAGGTGGATGGAGAAAAATCATAACCATACTGACTGATCTCACCTTACATTCCTGATCGTTAAACTCACTAGAGAGTAATGCAGCCAGGCAATCATATTCTATTTACCTAGTCCATTCACTCTCCCATTTTCCTGGACCATTAAATTATACTTTTTCTTCTGTCATGAAACCTCCACCTCCCTTCATATTCTTACTCTCAGATGACCTTGCTTTCTACTTCACTGAGAAAACTGAGGCCACAAGAGGGCTTCTACACACCACCACCACCACCACATATATCTACCTATCTGCTTCTGTGCCCATTGACTGCCCTCTCTCCTGCCCAAGCTCTGAGATAAAGCTAACCCTGTGACCTGTGCACACCCATCTTCTATCAATTCCTCAAGGACATTGCTCCAACAATTCTCCCTCTATCATGAATAATTTTTGTTCCCTATTGGATCACTCCCATTAGCATAAAAGCATCTTCTTATTCTTCCATATTAAAAAATACTCCCATGACCCTACTCCTCTCTAGCATCTGCCCCATTTCTCTTCCTCCTTTAGAGCAAATCTCCTTGAAAGAGCTGCCTATAATACCCACAGTCTCCGATTCATCTTCTTCCATTCTTCTTGAATCCCCTCTATAGAAACTGTTCTTTTCAGCAGCATCAGTAACTTCAATTCTTAGTCCTCATCTTCCTTGACCTATTATCACTCTATTTTCTTCATTTGGCTTCTAGAACACCACCCTTTCCTGGATTTTATCTCACCTTTCTGGCTAGGACTCAGTCTTCGATGGTTCCTTATCATCTCTCTGACCTTTAAATATTCAAGTTCCCCAGAGTTCAGTCTTCAACCTCTTCTATTTTCTACCCACACTAATTCTTTTGGCAATTTCGTTCAGTCTTATTAATCTTTATATTAATGACCCTAAATATATATTTCCAGCCTGGAACTCTCCCATGAACTCCAGACTCCTAAGTTCAACTTCCTACTTACCATCTCCACTTGCATTCCAATTAGAATCTCAAACCTAACGTATCTAAGAGCAAGCTCTACTGTCATCCTACCCACTAAACCCTGTTCCCTTTACAGCTTTCCCATTTCAGAAAATGTCAACTCCTTTTTCCAATTGCTCTGACCAAAACCTTAGAATCCTCTTTCTTTCACACCTTCCAACAAAAGCCTCATAAAACCTGCTGACAGCATCTTCAAAATGGATGCAGAATACAAACACCTCTCACCTCCTCTGCTGTTACCATCTTCGTCCAAGCTACCAAGAACTCAAGTACTGCAATAGCCTCATGACCTAGGATGACCACATATCTTGGTTGCCCTGTAAAGTCCCTGTTTTTGCTTTTTTGCCCTGGATTAATGCTTTGTTTCCTTCCTTCCTTTCTTTTTCTTTCTTTCTTTTTTTCCTTCTTTCTTTCTTTCTCTTTCTTTCTTTCTCTTTCTTTCTTTCTCCCTTCCTTCCTTCCTTCCTTTCTTTTTTGACAGAGTTTCGCTCTTGTTGCAATGGTGCAATCTTGGCTCACTGCAACCTCCGCCTCCTGGGTTCAAGTGATTCTCCTGCCTCAGCCTCCTGAGTAGCTGGGATTACAGGCGTGCGCCACTACACCCACCTAATATTTTGTATTTTTAGTAGAAACAGGGTTTCACCATGTTAGCCAGGCTGCTCTCGAATTCCTGACCTCAGGTTATCCGCCCGCCTCAGCCTCCCAAAGTCCCGGGACTACAGGCATGAGCCACTGCACCTGGCCCAATGCTTTCCTTTCTTTTAAAAGATGTCCTACTTAAACGACATTATATGACCACTCTACTCATAACTCTGCTTCTGCTATTGCCCTGCTTCTAACTGTCCTTTACACACAAGTCAGAGCAATAGTTTGAAAACCAAGTCAGATAAAGTCTCTCCTCTTCTCAAAAATCTTCCAGTAACTCCCAATTACCCTCAGAGTGAAAGATAAAATCCATATAGGAGCTGTATAACAGCCTATAAATACCTATGTGATCTGGCCTCCAATTTCTCCTCTGACCTACTCTCCTGTGACTTGAAAACTTGCTGCTCTGGCACATTCCTATTACAGAGTTTGTTGGTTTTTTTTTTTTTTTTTTTGGGTTACATGAGTAAGTTCTTCAGTGGTGATTTGTGAGAGTTTGGTGCACCCATCACCCATGTACACACTGCATCATATTTGTAGTCTTTTAACCCTCATCCCCTTCCCACTTGTCCCCTCAAGTCCCCAAAGTCCATTATATCATTCTTATGCCTTTGCGTCCTCATAGCTTAGCTCCCACGTATCAGTGAGAGCATACGATGATGTTTGGTTTTCCATTCCTGAGTTACATCACTTAGAATAATAGTCTCCAATCTCATCCAGGTCACTGCAAATGCTGTTAATTAATTCCTTTTTATGGCTGCATAGAATTCCATCATATATATACACATATATATGGATATATATATACACATATATATGATATATATATACACATATATATGATATATATACACATATATATGATATATATATACACATATATATCACAGTTTATATACACATATATGTATATATGTGTATATATATACATATATGTATATATGTGTATATATATATATATGGTGTATATATACATATATATGTGTATATATATCATATATATGTATATATATATACACATATGTGTGTATATATATATACATATATATATCATATATATGTATATATATATACACATATGTGTGTATATATATATACATATATATGTGTGTGTATATATATATGTATATATATATCACAGTTTCTTTATCCACTCATTAATTGATGGACATTTGGGTTGGTTCCATGATTTTGCAATTGTGAATTGTGCTGCTATAAATATGCATGTGCAAGTTTCTTTTTCGAATAATGACTTCTTTTCCTCTGGGTAGATACCCAGTAGTGGGATTGCTGGATCCAATGGTAGTTCTACTTTTAGTTCTTTAAGGAATCTCCACACTGTTTTCCATAGTGACTGTACTTGTTTACATTCCCACCAGCAGTGTAGAAGTGTTACCTGTTCACCATATCCACGTCAACATCTACTGTTTTTTGATTTTTTGATTATGGTCATTCTTGCAGGAGTAAGGTGGTATTGCATTGTGGTTTTGATTTGCATTTCCTTGATCATTAGTGATGTTGAGCATTTTTTCATATGTTTGTTGACCATTTATGAATCTTCTTTTGGGAACTGTCTATTCATGTCCTTAGCCCACTTTTTGATGTGATTGTATTTTTTTTCTTATTGATTTGAGTTCATTGTAGATTCTGGATATTAGTCCTTTGCCAAATGTATAGATTGTGAAGATTTTCTCCCACTCTGTGGGTTGTCTGTTTGCTCTGCTGACTGTTCCTTTTGCTATGCAAAAGCCCTTTAGTTTAATTAGGTCCCAGCTATTTAACTTTGTTTTTATTTCATTTGCTTTTGGGTTCTTGGTCATGAAATCCTTTGCCTAAGCCAATGTCTAGATGTGTTTTTCCAATGTTATCTTCTAGAATTTTTATAGTTTCAGGTCTTATGTTTAAGTCGTTAATCCATCTTGAGTTGGTTTTTGCATAAGGTGAAAGATGAGGACCCAGTTTAATTCTCCTACTTGTGGCTAGCCTGTTATCCCATCATCATTTGTTGAAAAGGGTGTCCTTTCCCCACTTTATGTTTTTGTTGGCTTTGTTGAAGATCAGTTGGCTCTAAGTATTTGGGTTTATTTCTGGGTTCTCTATTCTGTTACAGAGGTTTTACCCTTGCTTTTCCTTCTTCCTGTCTGCTCTTCCCTCAGACATCATTATGGCTTTTACTTCACCTCTTCCCAGTTATTACTCAAGTATCATCTCCTGATTGTGGCCTTTCCTCCTGGACATCCAATTTAAAGTTACAGAAACACAGACACACTTCCTATCTTTCTCTGCTTTACTTTTGTTCTTAGCACTTATCATTATCCAGCCTGCTACATATATTTTATTATCATCTCTCCATTGGAATGTAAACTACGTAAAAGCAGACATTTTTATCTGTTTTGTTTACTGCTGTATCCCTAGTGCCTAGAATAGTGCTTGGCATACTAAGAAGTTCACTAAATATTTGTTAAGTGAATGAATGTACAAAAGATGAACATGCAAATGATTATGTTCCATATTTGATAATATATCATGTACAATAATATACCAATAGAGGTATATTAAAGCATGACTTTATCAGATTTGGTTTTTGGTAAATAATAAGGAGGATAGGCTAGTGAAAAGAGATTAGTGGCTTTTGCAAATAGTTTAGGCTGTTGCAAAAGATGTTGCATCCTGAACTAAGACTGTGGTGGTAAGAACAGAGAGAAGTACATGAGCTGGACTAGTTGGGATAGGGACTAGGAAAGTCAATGGGTAGTAAGGGTGTGTGAGGATTGCGGGTTAATACTACTTAATCTTATGCCAGAGGTGGGCAGAAAAGTTTGGCCAGCTAAGGAGTAGAAAAAGGGACCTAAAAGTGGAAGTTCAGCCTCCATGGCTATTGTAACTATCCCCACTCCTTTCCCTCTGGGTAAATGCCAGACAAACAAGAAAGAAGAGCATCTGAGATCCACATATCACTGTAAAAATGGTTTCAGATTGTGTTTACTCTTCTACTTATTAGCCATAACTGTGAAGTGATAGGAGCTACTTAACTATTAGAAGCTGGAAATGAGAAAAACAAAATAAATCTAGACTGATGTAGAAGAACGTTCAAATTCCTTTTGACTATTTTATTAAAGAATATGCATATCAAAGTACATATATAGTATACACATTCATGGATTAAAAAAATTACATTTATGGAAAGTGTGAAAGTTGCCATTAGAGCCAAAAGAAGCTGGTCAGCTTCATTGTCATAGATGCCAGCCTCCCAAACCTTACTCCTTCCTTCTGCCCGTCTTAAATCCCACCTAAAAAGTCCATGCGGAAAGCCCTGTGAATTCTGGGGCTACCTCTGGCCTAAACTGTACTACTCAAGGGCTTTCCCATACACTTTCTTCTTAAGTTGTCAGAAGCCCTAATGAGCCCTGCAGTAGTTAGCAGTAGTCACCTTCCTCTATTTCACGTTGGACAGGGCTACTGCCCATGGAGTGGAGTCTGAACACTGTAAAAGGGCACTAGCAAAGGGGGCCCAGCTAAACTGCATTCAGCAATCCCTCTTCATGCACTCTGATCTTTGTCAGGAGGAGACCCCTTTTCTTTGCTCAGAGATGCTGTCCATATGCTGCGCCTCTCCAGACCTTTTCCATTTCTACAAAGGTACTTTCCAGGTTATCAGGGCCCTGACTTAGAGGGCCTAAACTGGAATTGTTCCTCATCAATTTGATGTTTTAAAAATGCCACAGAGTCTCTGGTCCTGTTTGCATCCTAATTCTGCAACCTTTCCTTATGCTAAAAATCTATGGTTCCTATTACCTGATTTTTAACAACTGTTAAACAGATGCTGCAACTTATTAAATTAGAAGGAAGAATCCTACAGGGGAGCCTTTACAATATCCTGAGGTCAAAAAGTGGCAAACAGACTTATTCACTGGAAGCTGTAAAATATTTTCTGGTTGAGAGTCTGGCTCTCAAGTCAGAAGGCCTGAACTCTACTCTGCCACTATTGGCATGACCTTGTGCAAGTTACTTAGTTTCCCTGTTTGTAAAATAGGAATAATGGCAATACATACCTTAGGTGTAAATAAGATAAGGCATGAAAATATGTAGTATCACTCAAGAATCCTTTTTTTGACATTCCCTGCCTCTGCCCAATGGCTGTTTGTGGCAACTACTGACACCCTTCTCACTTCTCCTGACCTGCACTACCCCCTCTTCTTGTCACTGCCCAATTCTTCAAATTCTTGGCTTTGGCCCTCAACTCGAATCTTATTTCTAGCTTTTGGTTGTCAGGTTCTGCTCTGGATCACTTGCTATATGTATAACTTGGGGTAAAATACTTTCCCCTTCCTAACGGTACCTGTAATCATTTCCTAGGGCTGCTGTAACAAATTACCGCAAACTGGGATTTAAAACAACAGAAATTTATTTTCTCATAGTTCAGGAGGCTAGAAATACAAAATCAAGGGTCAGCAGGCCATGCTCCCTCTGAAGGCTCTCAGGAAGAACACTTCTTTGCCTCTTTTAACTTCTGGTGGTGACTGGCAATCCTTGGTGTTCATCCTTGGTGTTCCCTGGCTTGCAGTTGCATCAGTCCAAATTGCTGCCTCTTGTCATCACGTGACCTTCTTCCCTCCGTGGTCTGTGTCTTCACATGGCCTTCTTACAAAGACACCAGCCATTGGATTTAGGGCCCACCTTAATCTAGTATCACCTCATTTTAGTGGATTACATCTTTAAATACCCTATTTCCAAATATGGTAACATTCTGGAGTTCCAGATGGATATATATTTTGGGGAGATACTACTCAACCCAGTGTAGTACCCAATTTCCCTTTGGTAATTATCTGTCCCTTTGCTGCTCTCCCACATGGGAAGCCTAAAGACTCCTCCCACCAGATCTTTCCTTCCCTCACCCAGCATAAGCATGTGTGTGACCTCACCTCAGGTGGGGTGTTTGGGGAGGTGATTAGATCATGAGGCCTCAGCTTTCTGTCTGAGCACCTTTAATCTGGAAGCTAGTAATAACAGGGTTGAAAAAGAAGTTTGGAATTGAAGGTCCCTCAATAAAATGAAACTCCAAGAATTGTTTGTTTGTTCACTGCTATATTTCCATAATCTAAAACTGTAAGTGGCAAGTATTTGTTGAGTAGAAGAATAACATATTCGGAGTGGGGAACCACTCTGAATGCTGGCCCTTTAGGTCTTTAGCTGTGGACATTCCTAGCTAAAGCTCATAAATTGGCTACTGGTTTTCTGCATTCTGTGCTGCTCTAGATCTAGGGTTGGCAAACTTTCTCTAAAGGTCCAGACAATAAACATTAGGCTTTGCAGGCAATATGGTTTCTGTTATGCAACTACATAACTCTGCCATTAAAATGTGCAAACAAATGGATGTGGCTGTGTTCCAATAAAAACTTTGTTAAAAATCAGGTGGCAGGTTAGATTTGACTTCAAGGGCTACCCAATCCCTGCTCTAGACAAATAGTGTTCTTTATGCTTCCTTTCCTATTATTCCCTATTCGTCCTTCCCCACTCCTAGCCACTAGAACCTCATTAAGAATGCCACATATTCCTGACAAAGATGCACCTACATTGAGAATACAATTTGGCATTTGCTGAGTGGATGGGTTAGTTCTCAAGAGCTCTAGACTGAGGGTACACAGAAAGCCCCCACTAGGGCAATGCCCAGAGGAGATGTTAGGGTACCTTAGAACTCAGATTGGTAGAGCCACCAATGTGCAACTCTGGCCTGGAAAAGCAGCAGGCAAGTGATTCCAACCCATCAGAGCTACAGCATGGGCTGTGTCCAGCAAAGCCATGGGGCTGGGCCATCTTAATTCTCAAGTGCCCAACTCCTGCCTCCATTATTCTCAAGCCTTGAGACTTAGTTTTTTTTTTTTAATTTTATTATTATTATACTTTAAGTTTTAGGGTACATGTGCACATTGTGCAGGTTTGTTACATATGTATACATGTGCCATGTTGGTGTGCTGCACCCATTAACTCGTCATTTAGCATTAGGTATATCTCCTAATGCTATCCCTCCCCCCACCCCACAACAGACCCCAGTGTGTGATGTTCTCCTTCCTGTGTCCATGTGTTCTCATTGTTCAATCCCCACCTATGAGTGAGAACATGCGGTGTTTGGTTTTTTGTCCTTGTGATAGTTTGCTGAGAATGATGGTTTCCAGCTTCACCCATGTCCCTACAAAGGACATGAACTCATCATTTTTTATGGCTGCATAGTATTCCATGGTGTATATGTGCCACATTTTCTTAATCCAGTCTATCATTGTTGGACATTTGGGTTGGTTCCAAGTCTTTGCTATTGTGAATAGTGCCGCAATAAACATACGTGCGCATGTGTCTTTACAATGAGATACCATCTCACACCAGTTAGAATGGCGATCATTAAAAAGTCAGGAAATAACAGGTGCTGGAGAGGATGTGGAGAAATAGGAACACTTTTACACTGTTGGTGGGACTGTAAACTAGTTCAACCATTGTGGAAGTCAGTGTGGCAATTCCTCAGGGATCTAGAACTAGAAATACCATTTGACCTAGCCATCCCATTACTGGGTATATACCCAAAGGATTATATATAGAGACTTAATGTTGTTTGCCCTGTTGGGTTTTGAACTTGGGGCCTATTTCTTCATTCATATTCTCACTTTTGGAATGGGAACATCCATTCTATGTCTGTCCTGTTACATTTTGAAAGCAC